>NC_000003.12:121584361-121887392 GCF_000001405.40 Homo sapiens | reverse complement strand
TTACATAGTTGTAGTTCTTGGCTAAGTATTGATAAATAAAATAGAAATAAAAATGAAGACAGATTAACTAAAGTTAGGCTAGAAAGAGAAAAGGAGAAAGCAAGATTAAAATAAAAACTTATAAATTAAAAAAAAACTACACAAATTCCAAAGGTAAGAAATTGAATTTAAAAATTTTTCATTATTGACGAAACTTGGAAGCAACCAAGATGTCCTTCAGTAGTTGAGTTGATAAACAAACTGTGATACATTCAGACAATAGGAGAGTATTCAAACTTAAAAAAAAATGGGCTATCAAACCATGAAAGACATGGAGGCACTTAAATGCATATTATTAAGTGAAAGAAACTAATCTGAAAAGGCTATGTTCTGTATGATTCCAACTACATGACATTCTGGAAAATGCAAAACTATGGAGACAGTAAGATTAGTAGTTGCTGGGAGTTAAAGGGAAAAGACGAATGAATAGGCAGAACAAAGGATTTTTAGGGCAGTGATACTATTCCGAATGTTACTAAAATGATGAATACACATTTGTCAAAAATCCATAGAATGCACAACATCAAGACTGAACCCTAATGTAAACTATGGACTTAGTGTAATAATGATCTATCAATGTAGGCTCATCTATTTTAGCAAATGTGCCACTCTGGTGTGGGATATTGATAATGAGGAGAGAAGAAATAAGACCTTCTCAACTTTGTTATGAACCTAAAACTTCAACTTTGCTATGAACCTAAAACTGCTGTATTTAATTATATATATATATCTTCATATATAATATATATTTATATATAAACTGTCTAAAAAACAATAAATAAATTTATATAAATAAACTGTCTAAAAAACAAATACATAACATCAACTGAAATTTCTGAATCAAATTTAATTTCTTTTATCATCAAAAGTTAAGACATATTTCCCTCAGTCTTAGGAATTTTTATTGTTAATACAAAATAAATTATACATGCTGTATAAATTTTTATTTATAGCTAAATATTTCTTCAGTCATCACTGTCACTTCCTGATTCACTCAGCTGCAAATCATTTCCTAAAATAAGAAAGAAATAACAAAACTGTAGTAATTAAATATTTAATATTATTTTTGCATAACACAAATTTTACACAAAATATAGCCCCCAAGCGTGATTCTGTTTACCTAGTATTTTGCTTATTCTGTAATTCAGTGACACAATTAGTAACTCAAATAATACTGTGTGTAAAGAAAAAATATACCACTAAACTTCAGCAGTTTTAGTATTTCCTGGCATCTATTTTAGTCTTCTTTCACATATCCCCATCACTCTTTTTTTTATATCACTGATTTAATTAAATCGGGAAATGAGAAAAATGTAGTTTAGAAGATTAAACTATATCACTTTGAAGAGTGAAAAAAATGTTATTTTTTTTTTACTTAAAATGGAGTCAAAATCATTAAATAATATATGTCAAGGATAATTCACCATTGATTCATTTTGTAATTCATCTATGTACTTACAGTCATGGAGCTTACAGTCCAGTGGGGGAGACAGACAGTAAACAAATAAACAAATATATAACATAATGCCAAGTAGGGATAAGTGCTATGGAAAAATGAAAATGGGTATGGAGATGGCAGTGGCAGGTGCTATTTTAAATAGGGTAGTTTTGAAGGCCTTTTTGAGGGGTGACATTTGAACAGAGATCCAAATATAGGAAGAAAGTCATAAAAAATGGAGAATGTGGAGGTGAAGTGACCAGGCCAAAAGAACAGAAGTGCAAATGCCCCAAGGCAGGAGCATATTTGTTGCATTCTCTGACTTGCAAGAAGGCCACTGTGGGTGGAATGGAATGAATAAGGAAGATAACAGTAGTAAATGAGGTCAGAAAGATATCCACAAGGTCATGGTAAAAACTTTGGATTTTGTTTGAAAATGTAATGAGAATTCATGAGAAAATTTTAAGCAGGCAACTAACTTAAAACCGGTTGTAGATCAGTAAATACGCCATAATGGTGTGGAAGAAACACAGAAACAAGAGAGAAGTTGTAAGTCTAATGCAGTCTCTCATGTAAGAAATAATGTTGGCTTTGACTCAGGTAGTCTGGGGGAGGTGAGGCTAAGTGGTCAGATTCATAATGTACTTTGAAGACAGAGTTTATAGGACTAATTAAAACATTGAATTTAGGGTACAAGAGAAAGAAGTGAAGAATGACCCCAAGGTTTTTGTTGTGAACAACTGGATAAATCATTTACTGAGTTATCATTTACTGAGATGAGAAACACCAGAGGAACATGGTTGTAGAAGAAAAATCACAAGTTCAATTTTCATGTGGTAAATTTGAGATACCTAGTAAATACCCAAATATATATGGTACTGGCAGTTGGATATACAAGTCTGGAGCTAAAGGTAGAGGCTGGACCTAGAAATAAAGATTTGAGAGTCATTGATCGTACAGGTTTATCTGAAGCAAACAGACTGAATGAAATCACTTAGGTAGTAAATTACAATGGTTAAAAAAATTCTTATATTTTTTAACTAATCCGCAATCAAAAAAGCTGGCATGTTTTGAAATCAATACCTAATTTAAGAAGAATAGTTTTTAGGCCACGTATAAATTATAAGATGTTTCAGTCTTTTGCATGAACTGCAGAACTGATAACATCATTTGATAAAGAAATCTGCGAGGTCGGGCACGCGGTGGCTCACGCCTGTAATCCCAGCACTTCGGGAGGCTGAGGTGGGCGGATCATGAGGTCAAGAGATTGAGACCATCCTGGCCAACATGGTGAAACCCCGTCTCTACTAAAAATACAAAATTAGCTGGGCATGGTGGCACATGCCTGTAGTCCCAGCTACTCGGGAGGCTGAGGCAGGAGAATCACTTGAACCTAGGAGGTGGAGGTTGCAGTAAGCCGAGATCACGCCACTGCACTCCAGCCTGGCGACAGAGTGAAACTCCTTCTCAAAAAAAAAAATAAATAAATAAATAAGAAAATCTGCTAAAACTTCTTCTGTGCATCTGGTTCTCATGACCATCTCATCACTTTCATTTCTTTTTTTTTTTTTTTTTGAGATGGAGTTTCACTCTTGTCACCCAGGCTAGAGCACAGTGGCGCTATCTCAGCTCACTGCACCCTCTGCCTCCCTGGTTCAAGTGATTCTCCTGCCTCAGCCTCCCGAGTAGCTGGGATTACAGGCATGCGCCACCATGCCTGGCTAATTTTTTTGTATTTTTAGTAGAGTCAGGGTTTCACCATGTTGGCCAGGCTGGTCTCGAACTCCTGATCTCAGGTGAATCACCTGCCTTGGCCTCCCAAAGTGCTGAGATTACAGGCATGAGCCACCTTGCCTGATGCATTTCATAATTTTCAAGGATTAAGTTTCCACTTACAGAACTATTATATGACATAAGAATGTTATATGATGCCTGTAATATGAGTTTTTCAAGCGACACAAACCCAAACGTACTCAGAGTTCCATTTTGCCTTTCTAGACTTTATGCTGTCAAGGTTAGGAAATATTCAGTCAAGTTTTGAAGATATAAGATTAGCCTTTGATTATGAGTTGCTTAGTAAAGAAAATATGTTTTCAATCATAGCTGTAATTATGACTCAGAAAAAGAGAGTTTACCCATAGAAATATATTCAGGCATTTAAATCAATAGTTATCACTGAGAGTAGTACTGCCCCCCAGGGGATGATACAGAAATTTACATGAGGGGTTGCTTGTCCTGTTGGCTGTAGATTGCTAATAGCATTTAGTGGGAGGGGAGTTTAGGAATGCTAAATGTCTTGCAATGGATGAACCAGTCTTGCACAATAAAGAACTCTTCTACATTCTGTGAAATTTTTGAAAGTCGGGTGGAATATGTACTTGGAAGATCTGTTTATAAATTTAAAACCAGAGCTGAAATACATTTTCATAAATTCCAAGTATTGTTTTGCACATATTTAATTGAAACTTACAAGTATGCAGCTATCATGTAAACTGAAGATGATTTTGTTTTGTATTTTTTAAAAACTTTTCAAAAATTTTCTTTTAAAAATAGTTTGGGGCAACACATTAGTAACATCAATGCTGCTCATTGTATTTGGAGCAGCAATACGCATAACAATAGTTGTCTGTATAGGCAGCTGTAGACGCAATTTTTTAATATATATGCATATACTTTTCTAGTCCTTATTTCTACAGGTTAAATAAAAAGAAAAATTGTTGATAATATGAGTTGAATGTTGTTTTGTTTTTCTTAAATCCAAATCTATGCATTAAAAGTAACTGCAAAAACATGGTTACTTCATTGTATCTTCTGATATAGCTATTCTTTAACATTTACAAAGTTAGAACACATATTATTATAAATTTGTTTTTCTTTTGCCTTTATATTAAATTAAATTAATGCTTTTCAAAGATGTATGTACACAGATTATATTAAGCTATGAAATTCATTTCAAAATAGTAAAGGAGAATTAAAAATATCTGTTACAAAAGGGGGTGTTGGGTCTCATAAAGCTGAGCAATGGGATGATTGCAGTAATGGTCAGAGATGGTTTATTTCATTAGGAAACTCCTAGTTTAGATACATCAGGAAAAGAAATTTCACTATTTTTACTTAAAAAAAAAAAACCACCACCTCCCAAGTGGTTATTACTGATAGACAAAAACACTACGGACTTTACTTTCGCATATATCTTTTGCATCTAGTAATCTTTCCAAATTATTTTATTAGTTCTATCGTTTGCTGATTCTTTTGGATTTCCTATGTAGATAATTTACATTCCTACAAATTAAGAGTATTTTATTTCTTGTTTCCAATTCTTATATCATATTTCTTTTACTTGTTTTATTGTATTTGCTAGCAAATTCAATAGAGTGCTCAACAGAAATAACATTAGTCCTCTTTGTCTTGTTCCTGAATTTAACGGGAATGCTCCTAAAGTCTCTATTAGTATGATGTTTGTAGGAGTTCTGTTTTTTGGTAATTAACTTTTATAAAGCTAAGAAAATCCTATTATATTCATCCTTTGGTAAATGTTTTTATTTATTTTACTTTTTTTTTTTTTTTGAGACAGAGTCTCACTCTGTCCCTCAGGCTGGAGTGCAGTGACATGATCTCAGCTTACTGTAACCTCCACCTCCTGGGTTTGAGCAATTCTCATGCCTCAGCCTCCTGAGTAGCTGGGATTATGGGTGTGTACCAGCATGCCTGGCTAATTTTTGTATTTTTAGTAGAGACAGGGTTTCATCATGTTGCTCAGGCTGGTCTTGAACTCCTGGCCTCAAGTGACCCACCTGCCTCGTCCTCCCAAAGTGCTGGGATTACAAGTGTGAACTACCATGCCCAGCCTCAAGTACATGTTTTCAAATTAATAAATACTGAATTTTGTCAAGTTATTCATTTGTTGAAATGATCATATGGGTTTACTTCTATAATCTGTTAATGTGGTGAATTAGATTGATACCATTTCATATGTTTAACATTTCTTACATTTCTGTGATGACCCTTATTTGGTTGTGATTTGGTAAATTATACTTTTTCTACAAAACCATCCGTTCCTATGTCAAATTTACTGGAATAAATTTTTTAATAAAATTATAATTAAGGCTGGGTGCATTGGCTCACACCTGCAATCACGGCACTTTGGGAGACTGAGGTGGGTGGATTGCCTGAGCTCAGGAGTTCGAGACCAGCCTGGGCAACACAATGAAACCCCATCTCTACTAAAATACAAAAAAATTAGCCGGGTGTGGCAGCATGCGCCTGTAGTACCAGCTACTTGGGAGGCTGAGGCAGAAGAATTGCTTGAACCTGGGAGGCAGAGGTTGCAGTGAGTTGAGATTGTGCCACTGGACTCCAGCCTGGGCAACAGAGTAAGACTCTGTCTCCAAAAAATAATAATAATAATACTAATTTTTTAAAAATAACCAATTGGAAAACCTAATGATAATTGATAAATTTGTGGACATATACCACCTACCAAGATTGAACCAAGAAAAAATAGAAAACATGAACAGGTCAAGTACAAGTAATAAGACTGAATCAGTAATAAAAAGTCTCCCATCAAAAAAAAGTTCAGGACCTGATGGCTTCAATACTGAATTCTACCAAACATTTAAAGAATAAATACCAATTCTTCTCAAATTCTTCCGGAAAACTGAAGAGGTGAGAATTCTTCCAAACTCATTCTATGAGGCCAGCATTACCCTGTTACTGAAACCAGACAAGGACACAACTATAGGTCAATGTCTCTGATGCAAATACATGCAAAAATCCTCAACAAATAGTAGCAAACCAAATCCAACAGCACATTAAAAGGATCATTCACCATGATAAGTGGGATTTATCCCAGAGATGTAAGAATGGTTCAACATACCCAAATCAATAAATGTGAAATATCACACCAACATAATGAAGGACAAAAACCATATGATTATCTCAATAGATGCAGAAAAAGCATTCGATAAAATTCAACATCGCTTTATGATAAAAAACCCTCAACAAACTAGGTCTAGAAGGAGTGTACCTCGACATAATAAAGGCCATATAAGAGAAACCCACAGTTAACATTATACTAAATGGGGAAAAGCCGAAAGCTTTTCTTCTAGGAGCTGGAACAATATAAGGATGCGCACTCTCACCATTCTTATTAAACGCAGCACTGGAAGTCCTAGCCAGAGCAAAGAAACAAGAGAGAAAAATAAAGGGTATCCAAATTGCAAAGGAGGAAGTCAAACTGTCCCTGTTTGCAAATGACAAAATCTTATAAAGAGAAAACCCTAAAAGCTCCACAAAAAACTCAGGATTGATAAACAATTTCAGTAAAGTTGCAAGATACAAAAATCAACATACAAAAATTATTGGCATTTCTATAAACAAACAAGAAGAAATCAAGAAAGCAGCATTCCCATTTATAATAGCTACACACACACACACACACACACACACACACACACACACCCCAAAACACTAAGGTCCAGGACAGTGACTCATGCCTGTATTCTCAGTGCTTTAGGAGGCCAAGGAAGGAGGACTGCCTGGGGCCAGGAGTTCAAGACCAGCTTGCACAACACAGTGAGACCCAGTCTCTATTAAAAAAAAAAAAAATTAGCTGGCATGGTGGTGCACACCTATAGTCCCAGCAACTTGGGAGCCTGGGGAGGGAAGATCACTTGAGCCTAGGAGTTCAAGGCTGCAGTGAGCTGTAATCATGCCATTACCTTTCAGCCTGGGCAACGGAGCAAGACCCTGTCTTTAATTAAAAAACAAAACAAAACAACAACAACAGCAACAAACCTAGGAATAAATTTAACCAAGAAGGTGAAAGAGCTTCACAAGGAAGACTATAAAACACTGATTAAAGAAATGGAAGTGGTCACAAAAAATGGAAAGACATGCCATGTTCAAAGATTGAAAGAATTATAATGTGAAAATAACAATACTACCAAAAGCAATCTACAGATCCAATGCAATACCTATCAAAATACCAAAGACATTCTTCACAGATACAAAAAAAACATAAGCTTCATATAGAACCACAGATGATGCCAAATAGCCAAAGCAACCCTGAACAAAAAGAACATAGCTGGAGGCACCACACTACCTAAGAAAACAGCATGGTATTGGCATAAAAATAGACACACAGACCAATGGAACAGAATAGAGAACCCAGAGATAAATCCACATATTTATAGTCAATTGATTTTTCACAAAGTCACCAAGAACATTCTGTGGGGGAAAGGACAGTCTCTTCAATAAATGGTGCTGAGAAACTGGTTATCCTTAAAAAAAAAAAGAAAGAAAGAAAGAAAAGAAAAGAAAAAAGGAACTAGACCCCCATTTCTCACTATAAACAAAAATAAAATCAAAATGGATTAAAGACTCAATTCTAAGACCTGAAACTGTGAAACTACTAGAAGAAAACATTGGGGAAACATTCTAAGAGATTAATCTGGGCCAAGATTTTTTTGTATGTAAGACCTGAAAACACTGACAACAAAAGTAAAAGTAGACAAGTGGGATCACATCAAACTAAAAAGCTTCTGCACAACAAAAGAAACAATCAATGGAGTAAAGAGACAATCTACAGAAGGGGAAAAAATATTTGCAAATTATCCATCCAACAAGGGATTAAAAACCAGAATATATAGAAATTCAAACAACTCAATGGCCAAAGAACCCCCATATAATACCAATTAAAAATGCGCAAATAAACTGAATAGATTTTTCTCAAAAGAAAACATTTAAAATCAATAATTTTAAAAAATGCCCACAGGCATATGAAAAAATACTCATCATCACTATTAGGGAAATGCATATCAAAAGCATAATGAGACATCATCTCACCCCAGTTAAAATGGCTATTATTGAAAAGACAAAAATAACATGCTGACAAGGACACAAAGGGAATGCTTGTGGGAATGTAAATTAGTACAGGCACTATGGAGAACAGTATGGAGGGTCCTCAAAAAACTATATAGATCTACTGTATGCTCCAGCAATCTCACTGCTAGGTATATATCCAAAAGAAAGGAACTCAGTATATCAAAGTGATATCTGCAAGCCTATGTTTATTACAGCATTATTCACAAGAGCCAAAATATGGAATCAACCAAAGTGTCCATTAATGGATTAATAAATAATTAATATACATAGAATGTTATTCAGACATAAAAAGGAATGGAATCTTGTCATTGGCAGCAGTATGAATGGAACTGGAAGTCATTATGTTAAGTGAAATAAGCCAGGCACAGAAAGAAAAATATCATATGGTTTCACTCACATGTGAGAGTTAATAAAGTCTATCTCATGGAGATAGAGAGTAGAATGATGGTTACCAGAGGCTCGGAAAGGTGAAGACAAGGATAAACAGAGGTTGGTTAGTGGGTACAAAAATACAGTTAAATAAATTTAATAAGTTCTAGTGTTCAATAGCACAGTAGGATGACTATAGTTAACAACAATTTATTGTATATTTCAAAATAGCTAAAAGAGAAGATTTGAAATGTTCTTAACCCCCCAAAAAGGACAAATGTTTGAGGTAATGTATATCCTAATTATCCAGACTTGATCACAACACATTGTATGCTGGTATCAAAATATCACGTGTAAGTCATAAATATGTATATTGTATATCAATAATTTTTTAAAATATAGTTATAATTTTAACTTAATTTTCTTCCTTAATATTGTCTATTTGAGATTTTTCTATTTTTCTTCTCAGCCCTTGTTAAAGATTGGCCTATTCTATTGGTCTATTTTGTTAGTTTTCAAAGAAACAAATTTTTAGTTTTGTTGATTTTCTAATGTTTCCTCATTATCTATTACATTAACTTCTATTCATCCATATTATTTTCTTTCTCTGCTTTAAGATGTTATTGTTTTTCTAGTACCTCAAAATGAACCTTTCACTCATTTATCTTCAATTTTTTTTAAATAACATTTTGAGGTTATAAATTTCCCTATAATGAGCTGGACACAGTGGCATATGCCTGCAGTACTAGGTACTGGGGAAGCTGAGGCAGGAGAATCACTTGAGCCCCTGAGTTCGAGGCTGTAGTGCACCATGTTTGCACCTGTGAATGACCACTACACTCCAGCCTGAGAAACAAAGCGAGACTCCATCTCTAAAATAAAGTTAATCAATTAATTAATTAATTAAATTTCCTATTCTCCTTTAAGACATTTCCTTGGAAGTACCAAAACTGCTATTTTATTTATTATTTATTATTTTTTATCTTCATAACAGTATTCAATTTTTTAATGTTCAATTATAAATATTTTGTAATCTCATTATAGTTGCCTTTTAACATGTAAGTTATTTGGCATGTGCTTTGAAATTTAGGTCTAAACTTATTTTAAAGTAATTTTTATTTATTTATATTTTCATATTATAATCATAATATGTTCATTTAAAAAGTGAATTCTTTGAAATCTGTTATTGCCTTTGTCCTAGTAAGAGGTAAATTTCTGTAAATGTTTCAAATGTACCTTAAATATGACCACTCACTTTGCATTTTTGGATTGTAGGATTCTATGTATTCACTATTAGAATAGGTATGTCTATTATGTATTTACAGATTTCATACCCTTACTGAATTTTTTCTGCTTGATTACAGATTCATAAAATCTCCCACTAAAATAGACTTGTCAACTTCTACTACTTCTGTTATGTTTTATACATACACACACACACACGCACACACACACATACATAGTGAAGATATGTTATTACATGCATACAAATTCAGAATTGTTTATCTTCCAGGTGAACTGAACATTTTCTCATAATTTACCAAGTCCCTTTATCTCTAGGAGTACATTTTGCCTTAAAGTGTATTATTTCTGATATTGATGATCCAGATTTTTGTTATAATTACTACTTAGCTAGCATCTTTTTTTCTATCTCTTTATTTTCCATATGGTTTTTAGACAATTTGTTATAATCAGCATATGGCGTTTTAAAAAAATCTAATCTGATAATCTGTTTCTTATTAGGTGGATATAATGCTTTGCTTTTGTTATTACTGATATACTGAGATTTATTTCTACTTCATATTTTCTGTTTTGGGTTGATCAATCACTTTCTTTCACTTCTCCTTCTCTGCTTTCTACTAGATAAAGTTTTCTATGTTCCCTGGTTTTCCCACTGATGATGTGGAAACTATAGATTGTATTTATTAATTAAATGGTACCCTTAACATTTTAGGATACATAACTCACTACAAATTTATCTAATAAAGTCAGATTCAGTGTATCTATCCTCCTAACATGACATGGATCTCAGCATACTTAAACTACTGATTGAATACTCTCTCAGCAACTATTGTCTAGAGTTTTAGCTTTAATCTTCAAAAAAAAATTTTCCAAATGTACAAACATCTAAAACAGACTTGTTATCTTTATAGTCAAAGGTTAATCAAATTTCCTGACATTTTATCTATTTTTTTGTTCACTACTGTTTCTCATATTCCACACTTTCCTTCTGTTTTCACTTTTCTTTCTGCTGAAATATATATATAACATATATATATGTCTGTTAATAATACATTTGCTAAATTCTACAGACAATAAGCTGTTTTCGTGTGCCTGAAAATTATTTTACTCTTGAATGACATTGTGTTTGGGTATAAAATTCTAGGTAGAATTATATTCCTTCAACACTTGAAAAATATTTCCCCCACTATCTTTTGGCTTACCTATCTAGCTAAGAGTGTCTGCTGTCAGACTATTCTTTTGTAGTTTGTCTTCTCTGTAGTTTTTAAGGTTATTTCATCCTTGATGTTGTGTAGTTTCACTATCATGTTTTGAGGTCTAGATTTATTTTTATTTACCCTGCTTATTAGCTGAAGTAAAAATTCATGGGTTTCTTCAATTCTGGAAAATTCTCAGGATTAAGTTTTTACACTATCTCCTCCATTCTTTCTTGGACTTCCTATTGTGTAATGTTTAGTCTTCTCAATCTTTTCTATCTCTAAGCTGGTCTCTCATTTTATTTTTCTGTCTCTCTTGTATTGTGTTCTGGGATAGTTCCTCAATATTATCTTCTATTTCACCAATTTATTCATCAACTGTATCCAGTCTACAGTTTTTCTTATTTATTGGTTTTTTAAAAATGTCAATGACCAGTCTAATTTATTCTTTTTTATAATCTATTAGATTTGTTTCATTTCTTCCTGGCATTGTTTTATCATTCTTTTAAAAGCTGTATCTTCATTTATCTCTTTGAATGTTTTTAGCGTACTTATTTAAATGTCTTTGTCTTAATTGCTCTGTAAAAAGATTTTCATTTGGAAAGAATCCCTGCTCTAACTGTTAATTTTGTTGGCTGACTTTCTTAGCATTAGACTTTTTTCTTCTGTTTTAGAATTAAGTTTGCTCATTTTGAGTGGAAAATTTCTGTTTTTCTCTATCCTCACACCACTCTGACAGGGTTTTGTAGTTCGTTCCACCTAGTCCTCTGAGCTCCATTACCAGAAACAGGTTTCATAATCACATTTGGAGATTGTTATCCTCTGGGTATATTGGAGATATGCTAGATCCCTTCAAGGAGTCAACGGATATCAAGGTTCTACAGACCCTATGCCCACACCTTCTAAAACACAGTAGCCTCAGTCAATATGTAAATGTCTATTTCTTCCAATCTCTTTTATTAATTGGCTATTTCTTCCAGTCTCCTTTTATTATTTATCCCCACCTCTATCAACCCTCTCTCCCTTTCCCCACTACCCCTCAACAACATGCATTCTCTAGCTTCAAATAGAAAATATGACTCAGGTTCACTGAATCAGAACATTTAAACTATTAAAACTATTAAAAGTTCTGATTATATTATTATAACTTTCCCTGAAAGTTATGATTATTTCCCTAAAAGTTTCCCTAAAAGTTCTCATTATATTATTATACCTTTCCCTGAAAGTTCTGATTATTTCCCTAAAAGTTTCCCTAAAAGTTCTCATTATATTATTATACCTTTCCCTGAAAGTACCAAGATCCTTACCAATATCACCTTCTTTTGAACTCAGATCCAATGGCTTCAGCTCCACTAAGCCCACTGTTTTGTGTTTATAGTCCAGTTCTTCTCTTTAGAGATGTTTATCTTATATTTGATTCTGGCCATGTCTGGGTTTTACCTTTTAATACTTTATCCATTGTTCCTATTTGTTTGGCACAGAAGGGGTTTTAAAAACACAAATTCACTATGCTATGTTTTACTAAAAAACTATTCTAGATTTAAAAAGAAATTCTAAAATATAAAATATCCTGAACCCCTTCAAAGTTCTACAAGGCAATGTGACCTCTACTTTCAATGAGGAAACTGAAGTTACAAGAAAGTTAAGTGTAGTGTTATTAGTTACATAGCTAATAAGTGATAAGGAAGTCAGGAATATAATACTGATATGCTGATTCCTAGACAGGTGCTCAATTTACTATAGAACTTATTAATTACTGGAAAATTTTTTCTAGCTTTTACTCAGATTCTCATTTAGTACAACCAAGCTGAGTTTTCTCCATGTTCTCTTGGCCATTCAAAAAATCAGATTTTCCAATATTACTTCCCAAGTCAAGAATAACACTAAATAACTGGAAATTCAAAGTATCTTTGCTGGTCCCTAATTAACCCATAGTTTACCAATTCTCTGCCTCTCAGTCTTGGCTTCTCCCTTCTTTAGTTCTATTATTAGGCTAAAGCTAGTCAGTCTTTCCTAGCTGCTTACTTTTTTCATTATTAATAAACATAGTGAGATTAATTTTAAATATACAGAAAATTCCATTCTCCCCAGGTAATACCAACCTGCATGCCTTTATTAAAAAGTATTTGCTGAGCATCTATTATGTGTCAAGTACCATGTGCTAAGTGCAAGAATTCAATGATAAGCAAAAACAAACAAGGTCCTTGTTCTCATGGAACATTATACTCTAGAGAAAGAGAGCAAATCACACAAATTAATGTAAATTTACAACTGTCAAACAATTGATATAAAGAAGACATATCTGATATTCTAAAGGTCTGTAAAAGATAGGAGCTTGTGGTGAAGCTTCTTAGCTTCAGAAAGGTGAAGACTTTCTAGAGGAAGTAACTTTGAACTATAATCTAAAGGAGAAAAAATTATGTGAAAAGAAGAAAGTGTTTCTGGCTGAATGGACAGCATGTATAAGGGTCCTGATGTGAGTGAAAGTATTTGAATATAGTGGCAAAAAGAAAGCACATGTTGTTAGAAAAGAAAAATCAAGACGATTATGTTAAGGTGTTTTGCCTCTATATTAAAAGAAATTACAAGCTATTAAAAAGTATAAAGCAGAAGAGATGACAAATTGTATTAGAATTGTGAAAAAAATCAATATGGCTACAGTGTACATAATGGATCAAAAATGGGCTTGACTACATAAAGGGGTGAACCAGTTAGGTCATTGTAGTAGGTAAGGCAAGAAATAATAGGTTGAACTACTGTGATAGTGGTGGAGATGCAGAGAAGCAGATGACTTTGAGAAATATAGAGGAGGCAAAACAAATAGGACTTGATGAAGGAGTGGCTACACTGTAAAGAGGAAGAACTTCAGCCATTGAAAATAATTAGACTTATGATTTGCATAATTAGATGTATGCTACCTTCACTAAGAGGTAACACAGTGAGCCAAAGATTGATTATGAGTTGGTTTTGGACAAAGTAAATTTGAAGGTGATGAGATGATGGGAGATGATGTTAAACATGTGTCTAAAGCCTAGAGGTTTGAATCAGAGATATAAATTTGCAAGTTACCTACACATAAGTATTGACTGCAACAGAAACATGGAGGAAGTTATTTAGGGAGAAATTGTAGAATGAAAAGAAAAAAAGAACCCAAAAGTAAGCCTTGAGAAACTCCAACTTTAATGACTGAGCAGAGGATCATATAAACTTGAAAAGGAGTGAGAGGAAAGATTATCTAGAGAGATGGGAGAAAAACCAAGAAGGCATTATGTCACAGATTCAAAAGAAAACCATAATTCAATAAAAATGTAATTATTAATAGTATCAAATGCATAAAATAGGAATCTTTTTCTTTATCCAAATATTAGGTCACAATCAATATGGCTCCACTATAAATTCTTACTTTTCCAATTGCCTGTGTTTATGTATACTTACTTAAAGTATTCATCAGAAGGCCACTGTTGTCTCGAAATCTATTATGACTGGCATCTATATCAGGAATCCTGTACTGTGTCATGGTAGGATGTCCTGAGACACAATTCCCTGTATCAGAAGTAGAGGATTTGCAATCTTCATCTTCTGAGTCACTAGAACTATCCTCACTACTTGAAGATGATGAACTTTTGGAATCTGATGAACTATCACAACTACTCATCTGGTCCATTAGACTAGCTTCTGCCTTCAGTTCTGAAAATAAGACAGAAATGAATAGATAGGTTAAATAAAAAATGCTAAATAAATATAATAAAAATTGAATGTATTAGTTTTTAAGAAACTGTTGAAACTAAAATCAAACATACATTTACAGTACTTGAAGCATTTTATTAAAAAACAAAACTCTTCTACCATCAAGCCATACTTCAATGATTGGATTACAGAAACTAAAAGGGATAGACAAGGTCTAAATCTAAACTCCACATTTATTTAAACCATTGTACTTAAGTATACAGGTAACTCAAATATAAAGTAAATACTGTGAAAAACTATAAAAATTAAAATCTATTTTGGCAGAAACTGTCTTCTGATTATTTTTTGTTCCTTTAAATACATATAATATAATGTGATAATGTAACAGATGAACTTCATTCTTTTCCTGGTTTTCCTAGAGAACATTTTGATGAAGCATCTATAGGTTTCCCCCCTGCTCCCTTAATAAGGATTTAAAATATTCTAAGTATTTTTGAAGAGCCAGTTCCCATTATAACTTTGGCTATAAATATTTCTGTAGATAAAAAGAATAATAATGATGTCTTCTTTTGTTTAGCATTTTTCAAGTTCTAGATACACAAAAAAATTATAGTTGGGAAGGTCTTCAGCTACCATTTAGAACAACTTCATAATTTTATAAATGAGGGAATGAAGATCCAGAAATGTCAAAAGCTGTCAGTTATTTATGAGTGGAGGCAAATCTACTGACTTTTAAGTCAATATTTTCCCATATGATACAAATGTCAAATAGTTGAACAAAATTTTTTAAACCAAAAAATGCTAAGTGAATAATACACTCAGTTAACACATTGACATTTGATATCATCTTAGTACACTGCTACATTAAGTTAACTGGTAATTTTTAGCCCACTTCCTCATTCTCCCTATTATAGACACACTGGCTTTCTATTATTTGACCACATTAAATCCATTTCCAGGCTATGTTCTTCGTACTAGCTGTTTCCTCTGCCTGGTATATTCTTCACCCAGATCTTTTGTTTGTTTGTTTAATACATAATTTCCATAAAGTAAAATGTACAGCTAGATAAATTTTAGCATGTATAAAACCTGTATATCTACCACTGAGATCAATATATAGAATATTTCCATTCCCATGAATATTCTCCTATGCTCTTTTCCAGTCACTAATCACCATTTTGACTTTTATTACCAAAGATTTTTGTCTATTCGTCTATTCTTGAACTTCATACAAATAGATTCACTCAGCATGTACTTTTTGGTCTGCCTTCTTTCAACATAATGTTTTTATATTTACTCATGTTATTGAATTAATCTGTAGCCTATTCTTCTCTACTGCTATGATATTATATTATATTATATTATATAAATATACCACAAGTTAGTTACCCATTTTCTACTTATGGATATTTGGGTTGTTTTCAGTTTTTGATATTATTAATAAAGTTGTTATGAAAATCCCTTTACAAGTCTTTTTGAACTTATATACACATTTCTCTTAGGTAGAAAGAGAGAAATTGCCAAGTCACAATAGGCATAGGTTTAATTTCATTAAAAACTCCCAGTTTTCAAACTGATTTTACACTCCAACCAGCAAGGTATGAGTCACAGATGCTTCATATCTTCCCTCACTAGGGCACACACACACTTGGTATAGTGAGTCTGAAGGGTGTACAATGGTATCTTCTTGTAGTTTTAATTTTCATTTCTTTGATGTGATAATATGAAGCAGTGTTTTTTTATATGCTTACTGGCCATTTGAATATCTTTTTTGAAAAGCCTGTTCAAATCTTTTGTCCATTTTTATATTTGTTTGTCTTTTTCTTACTGATTTGTAAGAGTTCTTTATAGCTAATTCTTCTGGCTATGAGCCCTTTGTCACACTTTTGGCATTTGTGAATATTTTTTCCAGGTTCCCCCAAGTCTGTAGCTAGGCTTTTCATTTCATTAATGGTGTCTCTTGAGAAGATTCTAGATCTCTGAAAGGCTGGCTCCTTCTTGAATCGGTTTAAGTGTAACCTTCTCAAAAGTTTCCTTCTTCTCCATTCTCCAACCCCCATTGCTTAGTTTAATTCTCTTCAAGACACTTATTTCTGAAATTCATTTGGATACTTATTTGTTTACTGCTTGTATCTTCCCTACCCTCCCTCTCACCCTCATCCATACTCCTAAATAAAATGTGAGAATAGCAATGTTGTCTTGTTCATGTTGCATAATTATTGTTATACAATGTTGGATTCAATTTGCTAATATTTCATTGATAATTTTTGAGTTTAAGTTCATCAGAGATATTGGTTCATAGTTTTCCTTTTCTTGTACTGTCTTTATCTGGTTTGGGTATTAGGGGTAATACTGGCCTCATAAATGAGCTTAGAAATATTCCTTCCTTTTCCTTTTTCCAGAAGAGATTGTGTAATGTTGGTGTTAATTCTCTTTAAATGTTTGGTAGACTTCTTGGTCTGGCTATTTTTGGGGTGGGTGCTTTTTAATTACTAATTTAATTTATTTAATATTGATAGCACTATTCAAGTTGCTTACTTCGCCTTAGTTGAGTTTTGGCAGTTTTTAGCTTTTGAGGAACTAGTCCATTTCCTCTAAACTGTCAAATTTATGAGCACAAAGCTATCATATTTCTTTTCTCTTCTTTTTAGATAGGGTCTTACTCTGTCACCCAGGCTGGAGTGCAGTGGCACAATTATGGCTCACTGCAGCCTCAACCTCTTGGGCTCAAGCAATCCACTCACCTCAGCCTCCTGAGTAGCTGGGACTACTCAGGTGCACACCACCACGCCTGACTGCCTGAGTAATCTAAAAAAAAAATTTTTTTTTTTGTAGAGACTCTGTATTGCCTAGGCTGGTCTCAAACTCCCGGGCTCAAGCAACCCTCTTGCCTTGGCCTCCGAAAGTGTTGGGATTACAGGTGTGAACCACCACACCCAGCCTACCATTTCTTTATAATACTTTTAATGGCTACTGGATCTATAGTAAATTCATTACTTTCCTGATTATAGATAGAAGTTGTACTTTACATTCCTGATATTCGTAATTTGTGCCTTCTGTCTTTTCATTTTTATCAATCTTACTAGAAGTTTATCAACAGTGTTCTCCGATGACTGCCTTTTTGTTTCATTAATTTTCTCTACTGTTTTCAATTTCATTGATATCACTTCTTATTTTCATTATTTGTCTCTTTTTGCTTGCTTTGGGTTTAATCTGCTTTTCTTTTCCTAGTTTCCTAAAAAAGGGACTTAAATTAATTAATATGATAACTTTCCTCACTTCTAATGTAAGCATTTAGTGCCATAAATTTCCCTCTTAGAACTTCTTCAGTTGCATTACACATATTTTGGCATGCTATGTTTACTTAATACATTTAGCTGCATGTATTTTTAATTTCCTTTGATGATTCTTCTTTAACCCATGGATCTTTTAGAAATGTGTTTAATTTTCAAGTGTTTAGAGATATCTCCTGTTGTCTGTTATTGATTTTTAGTTTGAATCCATTATGGTCAGATACATAGTCTGCATGACTTCAGTCTCTATAAATCTATTGAGATTTGTTTTATGGCCCAGGATATGGTCTATCTTAGTAAATATTCCATGGGCACTTGAAACAAAATGTGTATTCTGCTGTTGTGTGGCATGTTACATATCTGTCAATTACATCGTGTGGGTTGATTGTGTTACTCAGATCTCCTATGTATGTGTCGATTTTCTGTCTAGTAGTTCTATTAGTTGCTGAGAGCAGAGTGTTGAAATACCCAGGCATAATTGTGGATTTGCAGATTTCTCTTTTCAGTTCTAGCAGTTTTTGCTTCACGTTTTTCTCAGTTCAGTTCAGTTGTTAGATGTATACACACTTATGTCTTTCTGGTAAATCAATACTTTAATCATTGTTAATGTACCTCTTTGTAGTAATTTATTTATTTATTTATTTTTGAGATGGAGTCTCACTCTGTCACCCAAGCTGCAGTGCAGTGGCGTGATCTCAGCTCACTGCAACCTCCGCCTCCCAAGTTCAAGCGATTCTCCTGCCTCAGCTTCCTGAGTGGCTGGGATTAAGGTGCGTGCCACCGTGCTTGGCTAATTTTTGTATTTTTAGTAGGGATGGGGTTTCACCACGTTGGCCAGGCTGGTCACGAACTCCTGACCTCAAGTGATCTGCCTGCCTCGGCCTCCCAAAGTGCTGGGATTGCAGGCGTGAGCCACTGCGCCTGGCCTATTTTGCTCTTAAGTCATCTTTATCTGATATTAATATGGTCACATGTTTGTGCTTTTTAAAATTAATGTTTAAATGGTATATATTTTCTATTCTTTTACTTTCAAGCTACATATTTCATTAATTTCTTATAAACAGCATATAGTTGGGTGTACTTTTTATACAGCCTGCCAATATCTGCAGTTTAATTGGCTTATTTAGACAATATATGTTTAAAGTAATTATTGATATATGTTAGGGCTTAAGTGTGTCAATTTGTTATTTGTTTTCTGTTTGCTTCCTCTGTATTTCATTTCTCTGTTTTGCTTGTCTTGCCTTTCTGTGGGTTACTTGAAACATTTTAGAATGCCATCTCAATTAATTTATAAAGTTTTAAAAGGTGTCATTTTGTTTATTTTTCTTAGTGGTTGGTTTGGGTTTTTCAATATACATACCTGACTTGTCAATGCATTCCCATTCTAAGTAACCTCATATCCACTTTGAAATATCATTATTTTGGGAATCAGAAGGTATTATCATTTTTGTTTCAGTCATCACATATGATTTAGAAAAGTCATGAGGAAAATCATAATCAATTGTACTTATTGATATGTTTGCTCTTTCTGTTGCTGTTTCTCTCTTCCTGATACTCTAAGATTCCTTCATTTAACGTTTCTCTTCTGTCTGAATGACTTTATACAGCCAATATTTAAGGATAGTTTCCTAGGAACAAATTCTTTCAGTTTTCCTTTCTGAAGCAGGCTATTTGCCCCTCATTACTGAAGAATCATTTTGGTAGATACAGAATTCACACTTAACATTTTTTTTCTTTCAGCACTTGAAATATATTATGCCACTCCTTTCTGGGCTCCATGGCTTCAGATGAGAAATAGGATGTTAACCAAATGGTATTCTTTCATAGGTAATATGTCATTTCTTTCTTGCTTTCAACCCTTTTCTCTTTGCCTTTAGTTTTCAGATGTTTCATTATGATGTACCTTGGCATCAATTTCTTTGGGTTTATCCTATTTGGGGCTTGTTCGGGTTTTTACATCTGTGGGTTTATGTCTTTCATAAAACTTGGGAAGTTTTTGCACATATTTATTTAAATACTCTTTTAACCCTGCTCTCCCTCTTCTTTGAGACTCCAATGACACAAATATTGGATATTTTATCATTCTTCCACAGATTCTTGGGGACATGCTCATCTTGTTTCAGTCTATTTTCTATTTTCAGGTTGAGGGGATTCTATACATCCACAAGTAAACTGATTCTATCCAATCCCTAGCACTGAGCCCATCCAGTGAGTATTTTTGTTGTTATTGTATTTGTCAGTTCTATAATTTCCATCTGATTCTTACTTAAAACTTCTATTTCTTTAATGTGATTTTCTATTTTGTTTTTCATTTGTTTCAAGGGAATGTATAACTGAACGATATTCGTGATAATTGTTTAAAGATCATTGACAGATAATTCTAACATTTGATTCATCCTCGTGTTGGTGTCAGTTGATTGTCTTTTCTCATTCACGTGATTCTCTTGAATCACAAATTACGGTACGACAGGTAATTTTATTTTCTTTTTCTTTTTATTTTTTATTTTTTTTATTTTTTTAAGATGGAGTTTTGCTCTGTTGCCCAGGCTGGAGCGCAGTGGCACTATCTTGGCTCACTGCAACCTCCACCTCCTGGGTTCAAGCAATTCTCCTGCCTCAGCCTCCCAAGTAGCTGGAATTATAGGTGCGTGCCACCACACCCAGCTAATTTTTGTATTTTAGTAGAGACAGGGTTTCACCACATTGGCCAGGCTGGTCTCAAACTCCTGACCTCAAGTGATCTGCTTGCCTTGGCCTCCCAAAGTGCTGGGATTACAGATGTGAGCCACCGCACCCAGCCAGGACAGGTAATTTTCTATTATATCTTGGATATCTTGGTTTTTATGCTAGGGGAGATCTATATCTTATTCAAATTTTTAATTTTAGTAGGCAATCACTCTGTTTAGGTTTAGCATGCATATTCTTGCCTACTGTTGTGGGCTGTAGTTTAAATGACAATCTCGTTTTCAGAGTTTTTACAGTATTGTCTTGGTCTTCTCAACTAAATCTCCAGCAGCTAGGGTCCCCGATGATCCCTGCTGGTGCCACGTGAAGGAAAGAAGGGACTTCACCAGGCAAGGAGATGTGGTGCGTATAGGTGAAAGGGAGTCTCTTGCCTGGGATAAAGAGTGCTTCCTGAACCAGGCAATTTTTTGTTGTGATTGGCTCCCCTGCTTGGAGAGGTGGAGGAAAGGAAAGTGCTTCATAGCAAAGTGTTTGTTGTGGCAGGATCCCCTTTATTGGTGCGATCCAGTCTCAAGATGTCTTTAGATGAGAGAGAAGAATCTTAGGTTAATAGGGCAGGGGGGCAGGTCTGGGAGGTAGAGTGGTGTAAACAGTCTTCCCAGGCTGAATGCTTATTACAGTAGAATTCTACTTGCAGGGACCTTCTGGCCATAGAGTGTCTCTGATGGAGGAAGGGAACCTCAGGCCAGGCATGCAAGGAGAACACTTTGAGGAATGCAGTCACTCACTGTGGTATCATCCTATTTGTTGGTACTCCCAGCTGTGAGTTGTCTCCGGGTAGGGGAGTAGAATTTTAGATCCATCTTATTTCTTTTTTAAAAAAATATTTTTTTTTATAGAGATGGGGTCTTGCTATCTTAAACTCCTGGCCTCAAACGATCCTCCCACCTCGGCCTCCCAAAGTGCTGGGATTACAGGTGTAAGCCACTGCACCTAGCCTCTATCTTATCTCCCAAACTCAATTCTAGATAGCTCAAAGATGTAAATGTAAAATTTAAGCTACAAAAATATTAGTACAACTGCCAGACATAAACCTGAAAAGGTGATTCAACCATTTTAACAGTAGTCAGTGGCACAGTAGGGTCAAGAAAATATTTTATAGAATGCAATCTAAGGAATATGTTATACAAATATCTCAAGGTAAATGAAGTTCCATTCTCATACTAAGTTAGAAATAGAAAGCTTTATGGTTGGAGATTGTGTTAACCTCTACAACTTTCTTTTTTTTAACTTTTAATTTTTACAATTTTTTAATTGAGATGAGGTTTCACCATGTTGCTCAGGCTGTTCTCAAACTCCTGGGCTCAAATGATCCTCCCACCTTGGGCCCCCAAAGTGCTGGAATTATAGGCATGAGCCACTGTGCCTTGCCTCCTCTACAACGTTCTTTTCCCTGAGTTATGCTTTGATACAATGCTTTTATTAAGGCCTCTATTAAAAAACTACCACATGGAAGAACTTCTACTTGTACTGTAAAATTATTGTTGAGAATACTATATAAAGTTTAATGCTCCCTAGAAAAAGGTTCCATATGATGAATTCCTTTTAGAATTTAGTAACAGGAAAAAGTCTGATTCTTTGTAACCTATCAGATGATACAACATATGCTGCTTGTGTCTCCCTTATGTCTTGGTGATTAGAAGCTCAGAGCTAAATTATTATTACTATTATTATTATTTTTTGAGACAGAGTCTCACTCTGTCACCCAGGCTGGAATGCAGTGGCACAATCATGACTCACTGCAGGCTTGACCTCCCCATGCTCAAGTAATCCTCCCAGCTTAGCCTCCCAAGTAGCTGGGACTACAGGCATACACCACCACACCCAGCTAATTTTGCATTTTTTTGTAGAGATGGGGTTTTACCATGTTGCCCAGGCTGCTCTCAAACTCCTGAGCTCAAGTGATCCATCTGCCTTGTCCTCCCAAAGTACTGGGATTATAGGTGTGCACCACCATACCCAGCAATTTAATGTGTTAATGATTAGCAAATTTGCCTTCCCTTCCCCTTCAATATCTTGATTTTCTGTACCAATATTTTATTGTATTCATGTATATAAAGACATCATAATTCAAATCCATTTGGAAGCAGGCATGATGTAAAAAAAAATAAAATTCAAGACCCGTTGTATCGCCAAGGGTTCTGGACTTGTCTTTTTTATTGTTTGTATAGGAGCTACTAATCGATTAGAGAATGAATACTCTACTGGGCTTAGAAGGGAACACTGAAATTGGACAGCTATGTGAAAATTTTAAGAAGGCAAAGTGTAGAAGCAAATATGCTTTAGTGACCAGGGTCTCACTGCAGCCACAATTACTACAACATTGATAACCCACACTGCAGCTAGAAAAAAAATGGAGATTTAAGTTTTCTTACTTACAAAAGGACTGTATGTACTTCCCCAAAAATACCTCCCTTCTGAGAAGTAAGCAGCAATTCAGAAAAAGTTGCCTGCTTATTCTGCTTACTATATTTCCTCATTTCCCTATGGAATTGGTGACATCTTAAATATCTACAGTCTGGCCATACATAAAAAATTTTGACAGGAAGATGCTGTGAGGAATTGAATTTGAGTCATCACAATTGCCAAAAAGAAGAAAACTCCAGTTACATATATCTAAAGAGTCATTTTTTTTACCCTGAATAGTAATTTAAAATGATACAAGGGGAGGTTCCAAGATGGCTGAATAGGAACAGCTCCAGTCTACAGCTCCCACCATGAGCCACGCAGAAGATGGGTGATTTCTGCATTTCCAACTGAGGTACTGGGTTCGTCTCACTGGGGCTTGTTAGACAGTGGGTGCAGCCCACAGAGTGTGAGCTGAAGCAGGGCAGGGCATTGCCTCACCCGGGAAGTGCGAGGGGTCGGGGAATTCCCTTTCCTAGCAAAGGGCAGCTGTGACAGACAGTACCTGGAAAATCGTGACACTCCCACCCCTAATACTGTGCTTTTCCAATGGTCTTAGCAAACGGCACACCAGGTGATTATATCCCGCACCTGGCTCGGAGGGTCCCATGCCCACGGAGCCTCATTCACTGCTAGCACAGCAGTCTGAGATCAAACTGCAAGGCAGCAGTGAGGCTGAGGTAGGGGCGTCCACCATTGCTGAGACTTGAGTAGGTAAACAAAACAAAGCAGCCTGGAAGCTTGAACCAGGTGGAGCCCACCGCAGCTCAAGGAGGCCTGCCTGCATCTGTAGACTCCACCTCTGGGGGCAGGGCATAGCTGAACAAAAGGCAGCAGAAACTTCTGCAGACTTCAACGTCCCTGCTGACAGCTTTGAAGACAGCAGTGGTTCTCCCAGCACAGACTTTGAGATCTGAGAACGGACAGACTTCCTCCTCAAGTGGGTCCCTGACCCCCGAATAGCCTAACTGGGAGACACCTCCCAGTAGGGGCTGACTGACACCTCATACAGCCAAGTGCCCCTCTGAGACGAAGCTTCCAGAGGAAGGACCAGGCAGCAACATTTGCCCTTCTGCAATATTTGCTACTCTGCAGCCTCCGCTGGTGATACCCAGGAAAACAGGGTCTGGAGTGCACCTCCAGCAAACTCCAACAGACTGCAGCTGAGGGTCCTGACTGTTAGAAGGAAAACTAACAAACAGAAAGGACATCCACACCAAAACCCCATCTGTACGTCACCATTATCAAAGACCAAAGGTAGATAAAACCTTTATCTACCTTTTGGGATAAAAGATGGGGAGAAACCAGAGCAGAAAAGCTGAAAATTCCAAAAATCAGAGTGCCTCTTCTCCTCCAAAGGAATGCAGCTCCTCGCCAGCAATGGAATAAAGCTGGACAGAGAACGACTTTGACGAATAGAGAGAAGAAGGCTTCAGACAATTGGTGATAACAAACTTCTCCAAGCTAAAGGAGGATGTTCGAACCCATCGCAAAGAAGCTAAAAACCTTGAAAAAAGATTAAACAAATGGCTAACTAGAATAAACAGCATAGAGAAGACCTTAAATGACCTGATGGAGCTGAAAACCGTGGCACGAGAACTACGTGATGCTTCCACAAGCTTCAGTAGCCAATTAGATCAAGTGGAAGAAAGGGTTTCAGTGATTGAAGATCAAATGAATGAAATGAAGTGAGAAGAGAAGTTTAGAGTAAAAAGAGTAAAAAGAAATGAACAAAGCCTCCAGGAATACGGGACAATGTGAAAAGACCAAATCTACGTTTGATTGGTGTATCTGAAAGTGACAGAGAGAATGGAAACAAGTTGGAAAACACTCTTCAGGATATTATCCAGGAGAACTTCCCCAACCTAGCAAGGCAGGCCAACATTCAAATTCAGGAAATACAGAGAATACCACAAAGATACTCCTGGAGAAGAGCAACTCCAAGACACATAATTGTCAGATTCACCAATGTTGAAATGAAGGAAAAAATGTTAAAGGAAGCCAGAGAGAAAGGTCGGGTTACCCACAAAGCGAAGCCCATCAGACTAACAGCAGATCTCTCGGCAGAAACTCTACAAGCCAGAAGAGCATGGGGGCCAATATTCAACATTCTTAAAGAAAATAATTTGCAACACAGAATTTCATATCCAGCCACACTAAGCTTCATAAGTGAAGGAGAAATAAAATCCTTTACAGACAAGCAAATGCTGAGAGATTTTGTCACCACCAGGCCTGCCTTACAAGAGCTCCTGAAGGAAGCACTAAACATGGAAAGGAACAGCCGGTACCAGCCACTACAAAAACATGCCAAATTGTAAAGACCATTGATGCTAGGAAGAAACTACATAAACTAACGAGCAAAATAACCAGCTAACATCATAATGACAGGATCAAATTAACACATAACAATATTAACCTTAAATGTAAATAAGCTAAATGCTCCAATTAAAAGACACAGACTGGCAAATTGGATAAAGAGTCAAGACCCATCAGTGCACTGTATTCAGGAGACACATCTCACATGCAGAGACACACATAGGCTCAAAATAAAGGGATGGAGGAAGATCTACCACGCAAATGGAAAACAAAAAAAAAGCAGGGGTTGCAATCCTAGTCCCTGACAAAACAGACTTTAAACCAACAAAGATCAAAAGAGACAAGGAAGGCCATTACATAATGGAAAGGGATCAATTCAGCAAGAAGACCTAACTATCCTAAATATATATGCACCCAGTACAGGAGTACCCAGATTCATAAAGCAAGTCCTTAGAGACATACAAAGAGACTTAGACTCCCAAACAATAATAATGGGAGACTTTAACACCCCACTGTCAATATTAGACAGATCAATGAGACAGAAGGTTAACAAGGATATACAGGACATGAACTCAGCTCTGCACCAAGTGGACCTAATAAACATCTACAGAACTCTCCACCCCAAATCAACAGAATATACATCCTTCTCAGAACCACATCACACTTATTCCAAAATTGACCACATAGTTAGAAGTAAAGCACTCCTCAGCAAATATAAAAGAATAGAAATCACAACAAACTGTCTCTCAGAACACAGTGCAATCAAATTAGAACTCAGGACTAAGAAACTCACTCAAAACGCACAACTACATGGAAACTGAACAACCTGCTCCTGAATGACTACTGGGTAAATAACAAAATGAAGGCAGAAATAAAGATGTCCTTTGAAACCAATGAGAACAAAGACACAACATACCAGAATCTCTGGGACACATTTAAAGCAGTGTGTAGAGGGAAATTTACAGCACTAAATGCCCACAAGAGAAAGCAGGAAAGATCTAAAATCGACACCGTAACATCACCAGTCAAAGAACTAAAGAAGCAAGAGCAAACAAATTCAAAAGCTAGCAGAAGGCAAGAAATAACTAAGATCAGAGGAGAACTGAAGGAGATAGAGACACAAAAAACCCTTCAAAAAAATCAATGAATCTAGGAGCTGGTTTTTTGAAAAGATCAACAAAATTGATAGACCACTAGCAAGACTAATAAAGAAAAAAAGAGAGAAGAATCAAATAGATACAATAACAAATGATAAACGGGATAGCACCACTGATCCCACAGAAATACAAACTACCATCAGAGAATACTATAAACACCTCTATGCAAATAAACTAGAAAATCGAGAAGAAATGGATAAATTCCTGGACACATACACCCTCCCAAGAATAAACAAGGAAGAAATTGAATCCCTGAATAGACCAATACAGGCTCTGAAATTGAGGCAATAATTAATAGCCTACCAATCAAAAAAAGGCCAGGACCAGACGGATTCACAGCTGAATTCTACCAGAGGTAGAAAGAGGGGCTGGTATCATTCCTTCTGAAACTATTCCAATCGATAGAAAAAGAGGGAATCCTGCCTAACTCATTTGATGAGGCCAGCATCATCCTGATATGAAAGCCTGGCAGAGACAACAAAGAAAGAGAATTTTAGACCAGTATCCCTGGTGAACACCGATGTGAAAATCCTCAATAAAATACTGGCAAATTGAATCCAGCAGCACATCAAAAAGCTTATCCACCATGATCAAGTCGGCTTCATCCTTGGGATACAAGGCTGGTTCAACATATGCCAATCAATAAACATAATCCATCACATAAACAGAACGAATGACAAAAACCACACAATTATCTCAATAGATGCAGAAAAGGCCTTCGACAAAAATCAACAGCCCTTCATGCTAAAAACTCTCAATAAACTAGGTATTGATGGAACGTATCTCAAAATAATAAGAGCTATTTATGACAAACCCACAGCCAATATCATACTGAATGGGCAAAAACTGGAAGCATTCCCTTTGAAAACTGGCACAAGACAGGGATGCCCTCTTTCACCACTCCTATTCAACATAGTGTTGGGGAGCTCTGGCCAGGGCAATCAGGCAGGAGAAAGAAACAAAGGGTATTCAATTGGGAAAAGAGGAAGTCAAATTGTCCCTGTTTGCAGATGACATGATTGTATATTTAGAAAACCCCATTGTCTCAGCCCCAAATCTCCTTAAGCTGATAAGCAACTTCAGCAAAGTCTCAGGATACAAAATCAATGTGCAAAAATCACAAGCATTCCTATACACCAATAACAAACAAACAGAGAGCCAAATCATGAGTGAACTCCCATTCACAATTGCTTCAAAGAGAATAAAATACCTAGGAATCCAACTTACAAGGGATGTGAAGGACCTCTTCAAGCAGAAATACAAACCACTGCTCAAAAAAATAAAAGAGGACACAAACAAATGGAAGAACATTCCATGCTCATGGATAGGAAGAGTCAATATCGTGAAAATGGCCATACTGTCCAAGGTAATTTATAGATTCAATGCCATCTCCATCAAGCTATCAATGGCTTTCTTCAGAGAATTGGAAAAAAACTACTTTAAAGTCATACAGACACAAAAAACAGCCCGCATTGCCAAGACAATCCTAAGCCAAAAGAACAAAGCCGGAGGCATCACGCTACCTGACTTGAAACTATACTGCAAGGCTACAGTAATCAAAACACCATAGTACTGGTACCAAAACACATATATAGACCAATGGAACATAACAGAGGCTTCAGAAATCACACCACACATCTACAATCATCTGATCTTTGACAAACCTGACAAAAACAAGCAACGGGGAAAGGATTCCCTGTTTAATATATGGTGCTGGGAAAACTGGCTAGCCGTATGTAGAAAGCTGAAACTGGATACTTTCCTTACACCTTATATAAAAATTAATTCAAGATGGATTAAAGACTTAAATGTTAGACCTAAAACCATAAAAACGCTAGAAGAAAACCTAGGCAATACCATTCAGGACATAGGCATGGGCAAGGACTTCATGACTAAAACATCAAAAGCAATGGCAACAGAAGCCAAAATAGACAAATGGGATATGATTGAACTAAAGAGCTTCTGCACAGCAAAAGAAACTACCATCAGAGTGAACAGGCAACCTACAGAATGGGAGAAAATTTTTGCAATTTACCCATTTTACAAAGGGCTAATATCCAGAATCTATGAAGAACTTACACAAATTTACAAGAAAAAAACAAACGACTCCATCAAAAAGTGGGCAAAGGATATGAACAGACACTTCTCAAAAGAAGACATTTATGCAGCCAACAGACACATGAAAAAATGCTCATCATCACTGGTCATCAGAGAAATGCAAATCAAAACCACAATGAGATACCATCTCACACCAGTTAGAATGGCGATCATTAAAAAGGCAGGAAACAACAGGTGCTAGAGAGATGTGGAGAAATAGGAACACTTTTACACTGTTGATGGGACTGTAAATTAGTTCAACCATTGCGGAAGACTGTGTGGCGATTCCTCAAGGATCTAGAACTAGAAATACCATTTGACCCAGCCATCCCATTACTGGGTATATACCCGAAGGATTATAAATCATGCTGCTATAAAGACACATGCACACGTATGTTTATTGTGGCACTATTCACAATAGCAAAGACTTGGAACCAACCCAAATGTCCAACAATGATAGACTGGATTAAGAAAATGTGGCACATATACACCATGGAATACTATGCAGCCATAAAAAAGGATGTGTTCACGTCCTTTGTAGGGACATGGATGAAGCTGGAAACCATCATTCTGAGCAAACTACTGCAAGGACAGAAAACCAAACACCACATGTTCTCACTCATAGGTGGGAATTGAACAATGAGAACACTTGGACACAGGGTGTCCATCACACACCGGGGCCTGTCATGGGGTTGGGGGAGAGGGGAGGGATAGCATTCGGAGATATACCTAATGTAAATGATGAGTTAATGGGTGCAGCACACCAACATGCCACATGTATACATATGTAACAAACCTGCACGTTGTGTACATGTACCCTAGAACTTAAAGTATAATAAAATAAATAAAATGATACAAATTCTCTTATATGGATATTGCTTACATAAAACTAAAAATCATAAGCTACATCATTACCCAGAAAAATGCGTAATTACAAAAAATATTATGCTCTTGGTAAACATTTATAATTAGTACCACTGTTAATTAAAATGAAAAAATTCATTTAGCATTTTTTTTTCTTTTTTTTTTTTTTGAGATGGAGTCTCACCGTCACCCAGGCTGGAGTGCAGTGGCGCAATCTCAGCTCACTGCAACCTCTGCCTCCTGGGTTCAAGTGATTCTTCTACCTCAGCCTCCCGAGTAGGTGGGACCACAGGCACATGCCATCATGCCCAGCTAATTTTTGTATTTTTAGCAGAGATGCGGTTTCACCATGTTGGCCAGGCTGGTGTTGAACTACTGACCTCATGATCCGCCTGCCTCGGCCTCCTAAAGTGCTGGGATTACAGGTGTGAGCCACCATGCCTGGCCTTAACATTTCTTAATTATCTCTTATAAAGGGATGTTACATATACTTAGATTTTACCTCTTTCGATATCATCTATTGGAGATGCTGGGGACATCTTATCTTCAGATGGAGAATGTTTTACAAGATTGGGAGTCCTGGCTGAATTCCACATTTGTTGTTGCTGTTGTTCTTTACGATACTGAATTTTACTGCTTCCTTCAACTCTGCAATTAAGAATATCAAATATTGAAACAGGTATGACAGCAATGTAACAAAAATTTAACTTACAAAGTTACTAAAACTGACCACTTATTCTTTTCCTAAACATCTTTAGAATAATATTCCATAATTAAAACATTAATTTAGTTCATTATTTAACAAGTATTTATCAAGTTCTATTTCTGTGATACACATGTCCATTGAGGGATACAAACAAGAACAAAAACAAAACCAGTGCCAGGCTTGGCGCCTCATGCCTGTAATCCCAGCATATTGGGAGGCTGAAGTGGGAGGATTACTTGAGGCCAGGAATTCAAGACCAGCCTTGTCAACATAACGAGACCCTGTCTGTATAAAAATAATAAAAATATTAGCTGGGCATGATGATGCACACCTGTAATCTCAGCTATTTAGGAGGCTGTGGGAGGATCATTTGAGCCCAGGAGTTAGAAGCTGCAGTAAGCTATGATTGCGCCACTGCACTCCAGCCTGGGTGACAGAGTGAGACCCTGTCTCATAAAACAAAAACAAAAATCCAGGCTGGTGCAGTGGCTCATGCCTATAATCCCAGCACTTTCGGAGGCTGAGGAAGGAAGATGGTTTGAGGCCAGGAGTTCAAGACCAGCCTGGGCAATATAACGAGACCCTCCATCTCTATTTAAAAATAAATAAAACAACAACCAAAAAAAAAAAAAAGCCATTGCTTAAATTGAACAGATAAGATATTCACAAATGACTAAAATAAAAGGAAAAATATAAGTGTATAACAGGTACGATATATTCCGTAAGTTCTAAGATTATCATTTCTGTTAAAACTAAATCACTTCTAAAGTTTCCATTCATAACTTAAGACAGGCATGATAATAAAGGAGATTCATATACTTTTCTTTCAATATCTTTAAGAAGAGTGTAGTATAATAAAAGTATGCTTGATTTTTGCCTCTCCCATTTCCAGTCACCAAATCCTGTCAGTTCTTCCTTCAAAAAGTCTTTAGAACCTCACTTTCTCTTCATTCCTGCCCTCAAAAATCCTGGTTTATACATTTTTCTGATTCCTACATTGTTTCATTTACTCAGTTTCTCTACTGAATTAATGTTTTAAAACAAAACTGTAAACATGCCAATCCCTGGTTAAAAAGACTTTAATATGTAACGACTACCAGCAAGATAATGTCCTAATTTCTTAGTTAATATTGATGGCACTAACCTCAACCAACAAAATTACAACCTTACCTCTAGCCCAATATCAACATCGCCCCCTACTTTCCAAAACGTATACACAGGTACAGAGACAAACCTCTGCTCCGTTCAAGTAGGTCTTACTCATTGGCCCTGAATAAATCAGATATCAAACTTGTCTTACATTCTCATCTCCTCTCTAATCAATTAAATCGGTATTGCACAAACTTTCTTCTGGTGTGAATCACAGCAGGGCATGGATGGTAGGGGTGAGGGGATATTAAAAAATAGAGTTTCCCAGGATCCTTCCCTGATTTAAGGTTGGATTCGGGAACTAATTTTTAACAAGCACCCAAGGTAATTCTTATGATCCTAACCTCCTCTTAAGGTACATCAAAAAGGCCTCCCTGAATTTTCCAATCTACCATTACTTCTCCTTTTTCTTAATTCCTAGAGCAATTTTTGTCTATACTATTTGCATGGCTTTTAGAGCAAACATCCTTATATTACAGGGTAAGTAATGTGTTACCTATTTCCAAAAAGGATTTGAGATGGGTATATTCTCCTATTGACTTTTTAAATGGAATAGTCTGTTTATCTGAATAAAATGCAGAAGTTTTGAGGTGTTTGCAGAGCAAACTTTCCTTTTTCTAGTACCTTACACATCCTAGGTACTCAATAAATTTTTACTAATGAAGATGAAATTATTTTAGAGAATGTATAATGGCTTCCTTCAATCCAGTTATACAGAAGTATCTACAATAGGATAAAAAGTGTACCTATACCTATAGAAAGCATTTAGAAGCAAAACAAGCTTTTATATATCACAGGGTAATGTGGTAAAACGCTTTTTGCTTAGGATCTCCACCAAATTTAAACTTAGAAAAAGATTAAAACATTTTTGTACCACACAGAAATAACTCCTATATTATAATGTGACTTAATAAATTTTTTATTGACATTTCCTTAGAAATTTATGTTTATAATATAATTTATTTCATTAAACCACATACCTTGTTTTTTTTACAGTGATGTTGCTGCTGAGTTTTTCTAGCCGACATTCTCCAGTATCATGGTTAATAATCAAAATGCATTCTTTTAAGTAAGGTTTTTTTGAACCTTTGAAAACAGTTACTGGTGGAGTTGAACCCTGTTTAAAAAGTTAATTATTATTACTTAAAATTTATCATAGGAATTCACTTGGGAAGGCCTTTGAAATCTTGATTCTGGGTTTCTCCTTCTATGTTATACTTCAAGTCACCCATAAACTACCTAAATTTACTACCCTGAATCCAAAGAGTGTAGTAAAAAAGACAGATGAAGATAGGCTGAAATCTCAAAGCTGCTGTCATTGAGGAAAGGGAAGACAGGAGGTACTCACCTTGGGACAGTAAAGATTTGTTTCTTTGGCCTATAATGAGTAATTGAGATTCAATTCGAACACAACCAATATATTTTATGGATAAGGAAACAGAGCCTTGAATCATATTTTCTATTCCTCCTTTTTTTTTTTTTTTTTTTGAGACAGAGTCTTGCTCTGTTGCCCGGGCTGGAGTGCAGTGGCACGATCTCGGCTCACTGCAACCTCCACCTCCTGGATTCAAGTGATTCTCCTGCCTCAGCCTCCAGAGCAGTTGGGACTATAGGCATGGACAACCACGCCCAGCTAATTTTTATATTTTTAGTAGAGACGGGGTTTCACCATGTTGGTCAGGCTGGTCTCGAACTCCTGACCTCAAGTGATCCACCCATCTCAGTCTCCCAAAGTGCTGTGATTACAGGCAGAAGCCACTGTGCCCAGCCTCCTCATCTTCTTTCTTATTGCTTTATAAGTTTAATTTTTAAAATCTGGCATTTTCTTAAAGCAGTACCTCCCTATGCATATTAAGGAACACCTCTTACACTAAACCCACTAATTAAATTTAGCATAATTAAAAGTAAGATAAGCAGACATTATGTGCTTAATGATGTCATATGAAAGTACACTGCGCCATCCATAAAATACTCTTGCCAAAAACCACACAAAAACCCCAAAGAATTTAATTCTTATCAAACCCCAAAGAATCTGTAATCCAGCCTGCCCTTAGATATATAACTACCAATATATAGAAAATAGAAGGAATAGAGGAACAAGTTAAATACATCCAGATAGAAGTAATTTGAAGTCCAGAATGTAGGTATATTCTCTAGGACAGATAGTACGGTTTTTCCAACAAACCAATGGCATAAAAAAGAGAAGAGAGCCAGGTGCAGGCACTGTAGTACCAGCTACTTGTGGAGGATGGGTGCTGAAGCAGGAGGACAGCTTGAAGCCAGGAGTTCTAGGCTTCAGTGTGACATAATCACACCCGTGAATAGCCACTGCACTCCAACCTGGGCAACACAGTGAGACCCTGTCTCTAAAAAAGATAAATTAAAAAAGGGGTGGAGAAGAAAGGAAGGGACTTTTAAAGAATAAAAGAGACAAGAAATACAATATTCAAATACAATGTAGAAATCTTATTTGGATTCTAGTTAGGACATTTTACAGACAAATGTCTGTAAAAAACACGTTTTTGAGATCATCACAAAATTGTGACTATGGACGAAGTATTATCAATTATGTTATTTGTGATAATAGCATGGTGCTTAGATAGAAATGTCCTTATCAGTTAGAGATACATAAGTAAGCATTGATGAAATGGCACATTGTCTGGGATTTGCTATAAAATATGCCAAGGAAAAAAATGGTAAGACATTAGATTAAAAAATAAAAAGATTAGCAAAATGTTGATAATTGTTAAAGCTCAGTGATGGGTACATGTAATTCATTATACAATTCTGTTGGCAATAAAAGAAACCTAGATCATTACTAATAAACTACATCTACTTACATGCTCCTCCCCTATCTTTTGTCCCTGCTCCATCAAACCTGAAGGAATTTTACGTTTGTCATTCTTTTGCTTTATCCCACATATATGTATTTCTAAACAATTATTTGTGTATGTTTGTCTTTGGAGTTTATAAAAGTACATTAAATTTTAATGGATTTATCATAATAATTTTATCAAATATTACAAAAATAATAAAATAGTACTGTTAGATCAGGTTAGAAAAGGATGACCTCTAAAAAGGCTAAGTGGTGTATCATATTAAAGTTAATCATTAGAGATTTACTAAATGAGCACTAGGAGGAGTATAAGATAAATTAGGTAATTGAAAATGCCATAAAAGATGGGTAGGTTAGAGATTTCTGAAGGTATGGAGGGAAAATTATAAATGTAAAATAAAGGAACAGTTGTTTGTGGGTTTTTTACCTCTCCCAAAGACTAAAGTAATCTACAGAAAATCAAGAATGCACAACACGTAGATGAAGACATGTCTGGGCTAGCTCTAAAACGGTTAGATGTGGAGCACTTAGTTGAAGCCCTGGTAAGCTGGAGAGTCAGGAGCATGATTATAACCAAACAAAGTGGGTCTACTTGGCTGGTAAGTAAATTTTTCAGATGTGTTGACTGAAACAAGTAAGATACCCCAAAATAGTTACCTAAGGACTCCAAATTACAGTTGATAAGAGATTTGTGCAAGATATTCTTAATGATATCTGTACTCTTAATTAGAATGGAATACATCTAAAAATTACAATGTATTATTGTTCTCTGAGCTCCTGAAAATAAGAACTAATCATTAATTTTTAAAAAATTGCTCTCAGCACCTGAAGAAGTATCAAGACCTTTATAAATATTCAATGAAGGTTAAATATGAATAATATAGACAATTTCTGGTCATAAGTAACAAATGAAACAAATCTTTCATAATCTCTACACCTGCCATCTACATTTTGAACAAGTTTTATAAATGTAAACTTTCTCCCTCATTAAATTGAACACCATTCCTAACTTTTAAGCTTCAGTTTCTGTCCATTCCTTATTCAATACCCCAAGAAAGGCAACTACTAAAGTACCAGACAACTACTAAGCATATGAACTATCATTGCCTCTAAATAACTATTGAATACCACCTATCGGCTCCATGTTCACTGTGATGACACACCTTCAATCGTCATTCACCTAGATTATTGTTATTCTCCTCCCTACTCTCTTTCCAATTTTGTTCCCCATTCTGTGAGCAGGCAAATCTAATCGTATTGTTCCCTTGCTTAAAAATCTTTCTGTGCTTAAAAAACTGTGTATTCAGATAAAGCCATATTCCATAAACCTGCACATGGACCCTCCATGATCTTCTCATCTACTCTCCAACTTTCTTAATTTGCCACTGTTTACAAACCACATAGAATTGCTTATAATTGGTTCACATGAATGACTGACTTAGGATTGTCAACCAAAAGACAAAACTGTAAAATAAAATATAAAATAAGTGAGTGGGTCATGTGTGGTGACTCATGCATGTAATCCCACCATTTTAGATGGCTAAGGATCACTTGAGCCCAGGAGTTTCCGACCAGCATGGGCAACATGGGGACAACCTGTGTCCACAAAAAAAAAACTAAAAATTAGCTGGGCATGGTGGTGCACATTTGTAGTCCTAGCTGCTTGGAAGGCTGAGGCAGGAGGATTGCTTGAGCCCAGGAGTTGGAGGCTGCAGTGGGCTATAATTGTGCCACTGCACTCCAGCCTGAGTGGCAGAATGAAATCTTGTCTCTAAAAAATAAATAAAATAAGTGCGTGCATATGTTATTTGAGGGAATAAAAGGACTCTTAACCATACAACAAAGGAATCAGAACCAACACCTCAACATAGGGGAATGAAGAGAAAATATAAATATAAATAAAAGAAGTGATAAAAGAAATCTGGCTATTTATATATACTTAACTTTAAATGGATAAGAATAGACTTGGCCGGGCACGGTGGCTCACGCTTGCAATCCCAGCACTTTGGGAGGCCAAGGGAGGTGGATCATCTGAGGTCGGGAGTTTGAGACCAGCCTGGTCAACATAGTGAACCCCCAACTCTACTAAAAATGCAAAAAATTAGCTGGGCATGGTGGCGGGCACTGCCTGTAATCCCAGCTACTTGGGAAGCTGAGGCAGGAGAATTGCTCGAACCCAGGAGATGCAGGTTGCAGTGAGCCAAGATTGCGCCACTGCACTCCAGCCTGGGTGACAGAGTGAGACTCCGTCTCAAAAAATAATAAAAAAAAGAATAAGAATAGACTGTCTGAGAATGTATAATGTAAGAGCTAAATAAGTATTCTTGACATGAAGATATTCTATAATGTAACACAATATCTTGGCAAAAACTTAGGTGCTTGGCTGAGGTGGAAAGAAAGAGAAGTGGAAGGGAGGAGAAAAAAAGTCTTATTATTAAGGGATAATAAATGTATTCTAAAAATCTCACTTGATAGAGGTAGGAAAATAATGGAGGAACTCAGTTTTCATATAAGAAAATAAAATCATATGCCTCATTATGAACACCAGGAAAAGAAAATAATCAATAATGGAATGGAAAAGTATACTAGTACTCCCAAAGTAATAAGAGTAATCAAAAAAAGCAATGAAAAAAAAATCAAAGACAAAGGGAAAAAAAGAAATGGTTGGTAAAACTAATAAAGAATATAAAAGAAGAAACAACAAATATTTAAAAACTAATAAACTATAAGATAAAAATCAAGTATATCAATTTTGAACTAAATGTGAATAGACTGAATAGACAGTATTCTCCCAATAAAAATAGAAAGTGCCAAACTGGGTTTAAAAATAAAACAGCATACTATATTAACAAAAGATATACTTCATACAAAATGTCAGCTAAATAAAAGGAAGAAACACTAAGATTCTATGAATACACAAAAGAAAAAAAGTAAAGATAGCTATATAAATATCAGCTAAATAAAAGGAAGAGACACTAAGATTCTGTGAACACACAAAAGAAAAAAAGGTTGATATATATATATATACATACATATATATATATATCAGAGAAGTAGGCACTTAAGCTTAAAAACACAAAAATAGGACAAAAATGTTATTTTGTAATAATTAAAGATATACTTCATTAAAAAATATAACTTTAAAACAATGTTAAAATAGGACTCTGGTCCTAAAATCAGATGAGGTCCCAAGAATGTAATGGACTATGTTCCTGTGTCGGCTAAGTAAACCCATTGGAGAAAACCAGACTAGGTTCATTTGGGAAGGGACTTTGCCCAAGAGGGTCATCTGGAGTACCCCTCATACATATAGGAGCCTCATAAGTGTAGGATTTGAGGGTTGAATTATACATAACCACTAGAAATGCATTGCCTGAATAATAGAAGGATAGTTAGAAGTTTGCAGTGGGCTATTTCATAAAAGCCCACAGAAGCACCCCATAAGATAAAGAGTCAATGCCAAAAATATGCCAATCTCAGCACCAATGACAAGTCTTAACAGTCAAGTTAAGTAAAACTTTTTCTTTCAAAATTCGACACTTTGAAATTTTGTAGCAATCATGGAGAACTGTTTGTAAGGAAGAGAGATTCGTAAATGCCCACTATTTAACCAGACTATCAGTGTTCGTTTTTATTAATTTTTTTCTATTTGGTAATACCATAGAAACCTAAGACAAATGGAATTAGAAAATCTACCCTATCAAAGAACCAAACGTACTCTTAAAATTATAATATAATAAAAGCTCTATTTTATGGTCTGACTCTAAGCTTCCTAGGCAGTTATACCAGGATGACGAAAGCAAGTTCATATAAACAATAGAAGAATCTAAATGCCTCAAACTAATAACCATTACATTTCCACAAAAAACCTACAGAATTAAGAACACTGAAGAAAAGCAAACCTCCTACCTGCTTAAAGATGTTCTTTAAGTGAAGGGGGAAACCCCTCACAAAGTCTATCTGAGAATGTAATTTCCATTGTTATTCATGATTGTTCAAGGACTACATACCCAGGAGAAACAATATTTGCTTTTGACAGATGGTGATCTAAATAACTCTTTCATTCTCTTTTTTTTGTGTGGGGGGGGGCTTTTAAAATAACCCTTATTTTTTAAAAGTTAATATGTGCACTATAGGAAACTGAAAAGCACAAGAAGCAAAGAACAAAGTCATTTACAATCACAAGCAGTTTATAGTTTGACATGTTCTTCTAGATCCTGTGTGTGTGTAGACACAACATCCAATTTTATGGGACTGCCATTGTACAGTATGTATCACGATTTTTCACACATCATGAATATTTACCAATTCAAAATCCCAAAGCTATATGAGTATTTTGATAACCAAGAATACACTACACCAACTCAAACTGCTAAAAAAAAAGTGATCCTGCCTTTCTTGGGACAAAAATTTCATAGAAGACAAAAATGGCAACACGCCTCTAGATAAAAGCATTGGCAGAGTTGCGATTTAAATGCTGCATTCCCTTAATGCTCAATTTAAAATGAAACACACAGCAGCAGAATACACTAAGTATAATGTTTTTAAGAGAATTCATTAGCAGATCTATACCATTAAAATATTAGCAAAGTATATTTCCATTGAATTACTTAATGTACTCCTATAGTGCAGCCAAAAGAGATGCATACATCAATGGCTATCAAAATGTAAATATGGACATATATGGACACATCTGCATACATCTCTGCCTGTATACTTCCTTCTGCCCCTCTGCTGCCAACCTAATGAACAAGTCCTGACATACACTGCTCAGAGGCGGCTTAACAATTCCATGTCCAAAATGCATCTTTTCTATCAATTATAACAAAGGTATTTACAAATTGGCTAATTCACTAGCTCTAGTTTTTATCATAAGTTGTCACCCTATTCATAAAGCTTAGATGTTGCAAAATAATGAACTTTGTCCACAATGAACACAGGCACTTTAGTAAAAACGCTCATATAGACCTGTGGTTATCATCTAAAACCATTGTCTAGATATGGAGATACTAGCAAAGAGCCCTTCCCTTCATCCTTCCTCTTCTCCCTCTTCTACCATCCCAGTGACTAAGTATAGGATGTCTAGCTCCAAGAGATGGACTAATAAAGGTCACCCCCAGAAGACAGGCCTTCCTAAAAACTAATAAAAGGACATTCATAAAGGGACTGATTTACTACATCTATTTTTAACATACTTTGAGCATTAAGACTTATCCTTTAATACACAATATTAACTAAAATGCACATATAAAACAATGGTTAGACCATCTGAACTAATCTCAGGAGCACAGAACCCTTCTCCTTGCATACTTCCTCCCCCCCTCTCCCCAACTCTTTCATTTTCACTGTTTAAATGAGTTATAATTAATTTATATTATATAATAGACCCTTTATCAATCTGATTCCTAAATATCTAAATATTACCCTCCTTGTCCTCATATGCACGCCTTTTGACCTAGCCTATATATATGCCTACATATGTAACTACATATATGCCACTAGGCATTATATGTAGTTCTTCAAATGTTTAACAAACTTTCTTTTGTTGTTGTATCTTAGTCCTTGTCTTTTTCTTTTCTCTGACTAAAATGTCCTTCCCTCTCTCCTTTATCTGGGTAACTTTAACTCATCTTCAAAACTCAGTGTGTCCTGATGTCTCCTCCCTGTACCCTGGCTGAGATACCTCTCTTTCCTGTTTCTTTAATATTCTATGTATATCTTTTTATAGTTCTTAGATTTCTACATTTTAATCAGTTATTTCCTGTCTCTCCCATTAAATGATAAAATGTTTCAGGACACTGACTGTGTCTAGTCTACTTCTGTATTCCCAGTGGCAGCTACCTAGAATAGGACTTATCACACAGAATGTCCATGCATATACACACACACAAATACTGAGGCATATTCTTTTTTGGACATATCTGTGGGGGCTTGTGGAAAGGAGCGGTGGTGGTGGTAGTGACTTTTTCCCAAATGATTTCTTTACAATTTCTGAAATTTACAATTCACAGGCTTGAAAACATAGGCCTCCTGTAACTGTGCTTCCTTTAAGACATATTTCAATTGAGACCATAACCAAACACCTGGAAGATGGTAACTCTTGGTTAAAGCAAGATATGAATGAATGACAAGGGTTTATTATTAAACATAAGAAACCTCATTTCTTTGGAGGAGAAGAGCAATGCAAGGGATGAGGATGGGAGGATGGCAACTTGAGAAAACAATATTCTACTTGGCAAAAAAAAAAATCCAACTAAAGTGATTCTGCAAACCAATCATTACTGATCAATAATACTGTATAGCCTGAGACAATAGACTAGTGGTTCCTGTTTGTTGTTGTTGTTGTTTGTTTGTTTTTTGAGACAGAGTTTCGCTCTTGTTGCCCAGGCTGGAGTGGAATGGCGCAATGGTTCCTGCTGTTAATGTGAGGCTTTAACCTCTTAAAATTCAGTGGTTGGTTCAGGTTTTTCTTTAATAAACATCATAAAGCAAAGAAGCCTTAGGTTACTGGAGATTAAATTTCCAAATTGTTTTAGAGATACTAGAACCTGAACAATTTTTCATAACAGAGTAATACAAAGATTAACTTATCTACAACATCTCATACTAAATAGATTTTTCATTTCCTTCAGTTCCAGAGAGAACAAATAGAAATATTCAATAAAAAGCCCATACAAATTTAATTAGCCTTAGGAAAATCTCCAGAGACGGTAACTGACACAGTCTGACATAATAGTGGGCTCTCAATAAATGGTTAACTGATAAAAAATAAGAAAAAGACAGCAGATGAGAGGATAGAGAGTTTACTTGCTATATGTATAACCACGGTAAACCATCTCATTAATGCATAAAGGAGAATGTGGACGGACTAGCACAAAACCACCCCATTACAAAAATTAAACAAAACAAAGAAAAAATCTCAAAAAATCCAGCATTTTCTTTATGTATTAAAGTATAAAGTTACAGTCTTGATTTTTTTCTGAGAATAGACAAAGTCAGTATAAAAGAAAAGAAAAAGAAACTTAAGCTGAATACTCAAAAATTTCTAACTCAAGGACTGAGAAAACTAGAGCATACAACAAAGAACTTATATTTGTATGCGAATAGTATTTGGTACCGTTACTTGGATACATCTGGAAATTTTTTTAATGGACAAAACTTTTGGTTAGGGCCTCCCCTGACAGTCTCTTTCTTTTTAAAACCACTCCTCAAACTCCAGCTGAAGTTCTTTCAAAAACACAATCTAATCATTAGAATTCTAATCATTGGACTTTCAGCCAGAGTTTGAGGAGTGGTTTTAAAAAGAAAGAGATTTTCTAATCTAAGAAATCTAAATCTAATCATGTTACCTCTCTGTATTAAAACTTCTAATGGTTTTTTAATACCTATGGGATAAAGTCCAAATTCTACATTACAACATAAAATATCCTTCACAATTTCATCTTGACCTACTTTTCTAGTCTCTGTTGCTATCAATCATTTTTCTTTTTCTTTTTCTTTCTTTCTTTTTTTTTTTTTTTTTTTTTTGAGATGTAGGAGTCTCGCTCTATCGCCCAGGCTGGAGTGCAGTGGCGTGATCTCGGCTCACTGCAACCTCTGCCTCTCAGGTTCCAGCGATTCTCCTGCCTGAACCTCCCAAATAGCTGGGACTACAGGTGCCCACTACCACGACTGGCTAATTTTTGTATTTTTAGTAGAGTCAGGGCTTCACCATGTTGGCCAAGCTGGCCTGGAACTCTTGACCTCGTGATCCACCTGCTTCGGCCTCCCAAAGCGCTGGGATTACAGGGGTGAGCCACCGCGCCCATCCCATTTTTCATTATACTATGATTTACTACGTAAAGTCACTTATTCCACAAACTCTTTGTTCTTTCGGCATCAGAGCTTTTCACATACTGTTCTGTTTGCTTATTCTACTCCTTGTCTACCCAATAAAATCTTACTTGTCCTTTAAAGGCTCAGCTGAAATATTGCTTGCTTTATGAAGCTTTTTAAGATTCCACCAGGCAGAGTATTTGCTTCTACTTATGTGGTTACATAGAATTTCATATATGCTCTAACTTATAACACTAGATGTTATGTGTCTGTCTGCTATAAAAGATTAGGACTAGAAGGCAAGGGATATGTTACTATCCTAAGGTCAGTGTTTAAAATCTGGCTTATAGTAGGAATTTAATAAATATTTGTTTAGACTCTAATTTTTTTTCAAATCATTTGCTATGATAGTTCTTGGAACTATTAAATGGACTAAAGTATTTTAAGTTTTTTTTGCCTAAAGTAGTTTAAAATATGGTTTTTGCTTATCTGTGCTTACTAATTACTTTAACCAATTATCACTACACAAATTGTGCAATTATTTTCATTTAAATTTACTGAGAATCCCACAAAAGTGATCACTTTAAAGATACAGAAATACTCACTTCTATATTTGGCAGAGTTATGGTCACCTGTTCACCTTCACCAACCTCAAGGTATCCTTCAGAAGAAGTGTCAATAGAAGCAGGTTTGAAGTCATCTAAAAATAGATACAAATACCAATTTTTGTAAAATGTAATGATATTTGGATATAAAAATTATGAGCATGTTTCAGAATGATAAATCATTTTTCAAGAGCTTTGTAATTAAAATGGTTTAAAGTATTCATATTACAAATGAACAAACAAAATACAATCTAGTTTATTTATTTCTGTATGCATAATTCTGAGAAAAAAGAAATAGCTATACTCTAAAACAGAATTACTGACACTCATGCTTCCATAGAATCCTGTTTAGACAAGATGAACCTGACTAACATGTTCTACTGCTAAAAACTAAATAATGTCAGTGTTTTCACAACTTGCTAAAAAACTGATATAGGTAGAATGTTTTCAATTTTCAGTCCTTTTTTCCAATAAATTTTTCTTTTTTATGTCATTTTTAATGGCTGCTGACTTAGTTCATGAATGTTGGCCCATAAATTTTTTTTAAAGCACCTTTGGTGCCTACTACCACTTGTCTGTCATTCTACTACCACTTGTCTGTCATTCTATCCAAACAAAATGAATGAATACATAGCAAATACAGTACATATTAATGAAGAAACTTAAGAAAAAGTAATCTTTCTAGTTTAACAGTTTTTTTCATGAATATGTACACCACTAAATGATGTATAATTTAACCAAATCTGTCACTTTAGAAGATCTTAAAATACAATTTAATTTTGAGTTAAATCATAGTTCAAACGATGCCATTAAAATCTATCATCTAGGAGGAAATTCAGGGTACTAAGATATTTCACATGTTAAACAAGCTTAAAACCCTCTAAGCAATTAAAGCCATTTAAAACTAATTCATACGAATATACATCAACAGCTAATAATTCTGATATATAGTTCCCTGTGTTATATATACATTAGCTCCTTATTAAAATATGGTATAATGCAAAAGAGAACAAAAATTAAGCTTTGACTTTTACACAGTGACACATGTAACCACCAACCAAATCAAGAAATAGAACATTACCAGCTCCACGGAGCCCCCTCCCAGTTATTACCCATTGTTCCAAAAGATTAATCTTCATATTAACAAAAAGGCCCCAAAGACAGAAAGTCTAAATCCAAAGTAATGGATATTTATAAGTGGAATTTAGGGAATTATAATTAGAAAACCTTGGGAAAGGAGAATTTTCCAATAATCATCAAATTATTGCTCTGTAAATAAACAAAGGCTGGCCCTGCTTCACGATGACAATTAAAATAGCTGACATTTATGGAACACTTACTACATGCCAGGCACCATGCTTAACACTTCATATTTACCTCTTATAACAACTCTGAAATAAATGAAATCCATTCCTCTATTCCTTAAATAAACATAAATGCAAATGAATATAAACAATTTACAGAAAGTATTTTTATAATATATTCTTCATGCTGCTTTAATTAAAAATTGAATAAGATCTTGATGCTTATTCCTAGATTTTAAGATACAGTTATAAAAATAACATAAGCAATATGAAAATGTGAAAGAGTTTTGATTTACAGTATATCCCTAGAAAGTATAACTGAAGAGTCAAAGGATAAAGATTAGACTGAAAATAAGTTGAGGAGTTTGTTAGCAGTGGCAAAGTGAGAAAAGTGAAAGGTATAATTAAGGTGTTAAGTTTTAGATGCTTGAAAAAGGGTTTGGACTGAGGGAAATAAGTTTTAAATAATGTCAATTGTTGAAAGGACAGTGCTATTGAGGAGAAAAAAATCAGAACTGAACTTGAGTAAGTATCACAGAGATAAAGTAGAAGAAGCCAGAAAATCTAAGAGAATGAACACAGATATGAACAAAAACAACAATAACAGCTATTACATGCTGATCAATTTTAAAAGTTTTTCCTGATGATTTTTACTTTGAAGCTTCACACCAATCCTGAAAAGTAGTGAATACCCCATCTTACAGATAAGGGAAGTGAGGGTGGAAAAAAATTAAGTTCCTTGCCCAAGATCATGCAACTGTTTTCTAAAGCTAGAAAAACGAACTGCAAAACCCAGTTAGAATAAAAAAGATGAAAGGTTGGCCAAGATATATCAATGTCAACAAAGAGAGAAAAAAACTTTAGTTTGGGCTATCAAATACCATTTATGAATCTAAAATAAGAACCAAAGTCATTTAATATGGATATATACAGTATAAATGAAGTAACTGCCTCATAAAATCTTTCACTATTTATAAATAAGTTATCGTCATGCCCTATGTGGGTGCCTATACTAGTGGACTTTGTTGATCCGCAACTTTATTAATTATTATTATTTTTTGAGACAGGGTCTCACTCTGTCCTGCATGCTGGAGTGCAGTGGCTAGATCTCGGCTCACTGCAACCTCTGCCTTCCGGGTTCGAGCGATTCTCCTGCCTCAATTTCCTGAGTAGCTGGGATTACAGGCACATGACACCACACCCGGAAATTTTTTTATTTTTTTATTTTTTTTTTATTTTTGAGACGGAGTCTCTCTGTCGCCTAGGCTGGAGTGCAGTGGTGCGATCTCAGCTCACTGCAACCTCCGCCTCCCGGGTTCAAGCGATTCTTCTGCCTCAGCCTCCTGAGTAGCTGAGATTACGGGCGTGCACCACCATATCCGGCTAATTTTTGTATTTTCAGTAGAGACGGTTTCACCATGTTGGTCAGGCTGGTCTCGAACTCCTGACCTCGTGATCCGCCCGCCTCGACTTCCCAAAGTGCTGGGATTACAGGCGTGAGCAACTGCGCCCGGCCTTATTTTTTATATTTTTAGTAAACACGGGGTTTCACCATGTTGGTCAGGCTGGTCTTGAATTCCTGGCCTCAAATGTTCCACCCGCCTCAGCCTCCCAAAATGCTGGGATTACAGGCATGAGCCACTGCGCCTGGCTGGTCCTCAACTATCTATTTCTTTCTATCTTTTTTCTTTCTTTCTTTCTTTTTTTTTTTTTTTTTTTTTTTTTTTTTTTTTTTTTTTGAGACAGGGTCTCCCTCTGCCGCCTAGGATGGAGTACAGTGGCGCGATTTCGGCTCACTGTAACGTACGCCTCCTGGGTTCAAGTGATTCTCCCGCCTCAGCCTCCTGAGTAGCTGAGATTACAAGCGTGCGCCACTACAGCCCGACTAATTTTTGTATTTTTAGTAGAGGCGGGGTTTCACCAAATTGGTCAGGCTGGTCTTGAACTCCCGACCTCAGGTGATACGCCCGCCTCCGCCTCCCAAAGTGCTGGGATTACAGGCGTGAGCCACCATGCCCGGTAGTCCTCAACTTTCTAATTGTAACTATCCTTCAAAGTTCTGCTCATCAATCTAAGGATTACTCTAAATATTCCTCTATGTCGTTCATCATTTACATCTAATTATTATATCTTCTTTAATATTTTTCAAAGCCATCCCCTTCCATTCTTGCTGTGGACAAGCTAGTTTTCAATCAGCTAAACTACTGGAACACCTTATGGTCTGCCCTTCTGCTTTTCTCTATCCTTTTGCTCTCTTAGAATTTGAATCCTATTTCAAAGTTCCCTCTTCTCTGAAGCTATTTCAGGGTGCAGTCCTTTCCGTACTACCCAGAATCTCAATTTCTTCTCCATTCCTGTAGCATTTACTAAACCATTAATCAAAACCTATCATAAACTACCTACCTGATATTATTTACCTTTTTTTTTTTTTTTTTTTTGAGACGGAGTCTCGCTCTGTCCCCCAGGCTGGAGTGCAGTGGCGAGATCTCGGCTCACTGCAACTTCCGCTCCTGGGTCCATGCCATTGTCCTGCCTCAGCCTCCCGAATGGCTGGGACCACAGGCGCCCGTCACCACTCCCGGCTAATATTTTTTGTACTTTTAGTAGAGACGGGGTTTCACCGTGTCAGCAAGGATGGTCTCGATCTCCTGACCTCATGATCTGCCTGCCTCGGCCTCCCAAAGTGCTGGGATTACAGGCGTGAGCCACCGCACCCGGCCCGTTTTTTTTTTTTCTTTTTTTTTTTTTTTTTTTTAGACGAAGTCTCCCTCTGTCACCAGGCTGGGGTGCAGTGGCGCGATCTTGGCCCACTACAATCTCCGCCTCCCTGGTTCAAGCGATTCTCCTGCCTCAGCCTCCTGAGTGGCTGGGATTACAGGCACGCGCCACCACAGGCCGCTAATTTTTGTATTTTTAGTAGAAACGGGCTTTCTCCATGTTGTTCAGGCTCGTCTGGAACTCCTGACCTCGTGATCCACCCGCCTCAGCCTCCGAAAGTGCTGGGATTACAGGCGTGAGCCACCGCGCCTGGCTTTTTTTTTTTTTTTTTTTTTTCCTGAGAGAATCTCACTCTGTCGCCCAGGCTGGAGGCAGCGGCGCGATCTCGGCTCACCGCAACCTCCGCCTCTTCGGTTCAAGCAATTCTCTGTCTCAGCCTTCCAAGAAGCTGGATTACGGGCTCCCGCCACCACGACCGCTAATTTTTGTATTTTCAGTAGAGACAAGGTTTCACCATCTTGAACAGGCTGGTCTTGAATTGCTGACTTTCGTGATCCATCCTCCTCAGCCTCCCAAAGTGCTGGGATTACAGGCGTGAGGCACGGTGCCCGACCTATTATTTACCTTTTCGTGGACATGTCCTATTAGATTGTAATTTTTTAAAGCATAGTACTCATACTTTAATTTCTCCACATAGTGGCTCTAGCACAGTGCTTTTAATGTAATGGATACAGAAGAGATCTTGTAGTTCATTCAGGTTCATATTGTTCACTCTTCTCTGAATCACTTCTAAACTTATTTTAAGTATATATAAAGTGTCAAATTATGTGTAAAATACTTGTTTTCTAATTATTTTCTGTGGCTCAGATTCATCTCTACTTCAAAACTCTCAATCTCTTTAGGTTAGACTGCCATTTTCCTTTCATACTTTTCACCGGTATACTTCTGTTCTCATAGACAGCATCCATTATTAATATTTGACAATAAAGAATTTTTTATGATAAATATTTAAAACCTTAGAAATGACATCCCAGAATAAAACTATGGCCCTCTGACTTCTAATATTTTTCTCACAGTAACACAAAGGGAAATACTGGAAGGTATGGTTGTCATTTAACTACAGCTAAATGATGCTTTAGAGAGGCCAGCAGGGTAACCCAGGCAGTCAAGCTGACCAGTGGGAATCATAGTCACACGGAGGATGAATAAACCCAATCTCATAACTCTGCTCCACCCAACTGCTGCCAAGAGAAGATATGGGATCAATGTTGCCAGCTTATCATCTGATTTTTAAAGATAAGCTGAAAATCTAGATTTTTTATATAAAAGGTCCTGAATGTTAGGTATTTGCAACTAACTCAAGATAAAACAACAATGGTGTGGACCAAACAAAGCACTTCTAAAGTCAAGCTCAGCCTATATGCTATTAATCTATAACCTCTGTTTTAGTGTTTATGAAGTGATTTTTTTCTTTACAATATACTATCAATTTTAATCTTCACAAAAAAAATTTTGGGTTGAACATTTTGCCCACCTTTTACTAATGGAGAACTCCTCTAAAGTAATGAAGTCAATAAATGATGAAGTCAGGAACTCAAGCCACATAATTTATCTCCTCATATTATATAGCCTGTTTGTCTTACATCCACAGATCTTAACTTGTATGTATGTGTATGGGGAGCAGTATTAGGAGATGAGAGACAATCATAAATCCATCCCTATGAAAACCTGATGAAAATTATAGACCAATCATTGATCCTCTCCACAGAAAAATACATATATGAACATACATATCAAATACTGTACAATCCCAAGGGGTTCACAGGTCCCTGAAGACTACATAGATGCCTATAGTATATGAGATTATCTGCAAGAGACAAATGTATGCAAAATATCTTTAGCTTTACTTAATGATAAACATGAATTCATAATCAATAAATCTGCCAAAACTATTCTGAATCTATTTACATTTCTAATTATTCTACTGTTAGGATTAATAAACTCTACTCTTTATTACCCATTATATCAAGCAGTGTTGTCTTTTGTCCTCACACACTTTTTTAAAAGTATATAACTTCCGAGTTTCAAGTGGTTGAGTTCCAGAATTAAAGAATTTGCTGATTAATCTCATATTCATACTTTCTGTATGCTTCTAAATGTCAAACATATTCTCTTCCAAGTTGCTATGATTCCAGACTAAATAGTTCATTTCTCAGTTCTCCTTGGTTTGGAAACCCTACCACCAACTTTACCATTTATTTATTCTCTCTGGATTTCTTTCATCTATGCAATTTTTTCAGGTTTACAATGGAATTACTTATTATATTGCATGAAGAGTAGAAAACCATTTTCTACTTTGTATTTAATACCTTTTCTGCCAATGTTTATCGCTTTTCTGATTATTTTAACTGTAACATCACATAATGCCAATATTTTCATAAGAATCCACAATTATTATCATCAGTTTATTTTCCGGGATTTGAATGAATTCAACCAACTCCAAAACCCACACTGCTCATTAGCTCATCATTTAAGGACACAAAAAAGTGGTGTCATTTACAAACTTAGGATTTCACAATTCATTGCCTTATCTGGATATAAATAGTAAAACTAGTACTACTCCCAATTCAAAATTGATTCTAGTAGGTCCTGTTATTGAAACTCTTCTACCCGGTAAAGCACCTGTTGCTAAGCATTCAGCTTATCGTTGATAGAACATCCCATGCCCTTCCTACCACATGCCAGACTATCTTTTTGATAGTTTTTATTGCTAAACTCTGATAAATGCTGTTTCAAAGTCTGACTAAATTACATTCATTAGCACCCCTCGTACACATATGAATATAACTCTTCAACATTAATGGTGACTACTATTTATTCTCTACCCTGTGGCAAATATTGTTCCAGGTTGTTTATGCTATCTTATTTAATCCTTACACAAACCATGAAATGTAAATATTACTATTATCTTTTAGCCATAAGAAAACTGAGGTTGAGAGCTTAGAGAATGTTCCCAAAGTCACATTATATATATAGGTGGTGGAGACCAGGATTCACATCCGGGTTTGCCTGAAGTCTTATATCAGACAGGCAGAATTGCTCCTGTAAATAAAGGCAGAATATTACTTTCTCTCCAATGACATTGGCTTGAGGGTTGGTTATAAATTAGGTCCCCCTTATCTGCATGAACATCAGCTTCATACTATTCTACAATTTTCAAACCTCACTCTGAGTTCTTAAGAGTGAGGATTACATTGGAAATGAACCTGTCCTCAAGAATAATAAACAGTTTTATTTAAATAAATCTAAAATGATTCTGTGCCATTACCACACCTGCTTCAACAACAACAATAAAAGAAAATAAGGACTGAAAACTTTTCTAATAGTTCTGTCTTCCACAGGACTAAGTGTGTATTCAAACATGTATGTTTGTTTATTTATTATTGTCATTATTGTTGTTTTGCTTATTTTTGTTTATTTTCATTCTGGTAGCTGGATCATCTGATCCTCTGACTTTCAAGATACTGGCATTTTCAGAACCTTTATAAATGAAAGGCTGTGAAGGACCTGCAAGATTATTTTCAAAGGCAATTTTTTATTCATTTAAATTGGGATTTGTGCCCTACATAAGAGAATATATACCCAAATCATATAGAAATATATTCTTAAGCAAATTTTTATAATCTTAAGCCCTTGTAACTTGAAAAATTAATATTAAGACTATTGCATACCTGAGAAGGAAGAGAAAAGGAGAGAGTAGATACTATTTGAGAAAAAGGCATGGAAAAACCAGATAAAGACGCATATCACACTTCCGGAAAATGGGACTGAAGAGAGAGAAACTGCAGAGCCAGCACAGCACCATCTCATCGTGGGGAGCTCTGGATGAGAAAGTATATGATAAAGAAGAATAAACAAGGGACACTGTTGAAGAGTTTCTGTTCACAAATATCTCACCCATTTATTCTACCAATTGGATGTTAATTTTGCTTTAAAAAAACCCTTTTAGTAAATATATTCTTGCAGGGTTAAAACCAGTGGTTCTTCATACCTTTACTTTGAGTAACTATAACTAAATTGTCTACAACTTAAATAAACTTTTGGGAGAATGTATGCTTTAATTAGTTGTTTTGATTGAACCATGGAACATTTCAGAGTAAAAACCATAAAGGTCTCTAAACAACCCGAGAACAGAATGACTGAGAAAGGCGGAATGATGAGATATTAAGGAAGGGCAAGGCTGGGGAAAGGAAGTGAAAAAATACTTACAGTTTTACCACAGAAAAATGAGAAGTTATAATTCAGTGATCTTGAAGTTTCCTTCCCGCTCTACAATTCTATGACAGTTGTTATGCAAAAAACGAATGTCTTACACATAAAAACTTATATGCTATATTTTCCTTCCTGGAATCTATATCATCCAACTGCTAAAGCAAAAGAGCTCCTTTTTCTACTCCAACAACATAAAAGAGAATAATTTATTAAAACTAGTTCCAGAGGACATAAAGAAAACCAAAGGGTAGAAATCATAGGGAGGTAAGCATCTTCCAAATAAAGAAATTAATAACACACCCTCGAATACTTTGATAATCAGTATTTGATAACTGAGTGAAATCTGGGGTCCAAAGAGATATACAGATCATTGGGATGGTTGAGAATTTCTCCCTTTGCAAAGAACACACCAAATAAGAACCCTCATCTGCCAGAGGTGAGAAAAAGTGATGAAAAGAGAGAATATTGCCCCACCAGCCTCAAGGCATTCAAGTTCCCCGGCATTCGGTCCTTAGTCCCTTCCCATTTGTCACCTTATTATTTTCCTGTCCACCCCTGCATCATCCACCTGTCACGTCTGTCTCCACAGTCACCTCTACAGACTTTTTTCACACTTTCCCTTCCTGTCTGCTGGTCTCAACGCTCTCTGTCCAGGGTTTACCCACATTTGCTCTACTCCGATTCCTTCCACCGACCCCCTAAGACTCCGAGCAGGTTAGAGGATCGCGCTGCCTCCCCCCTCCCCGCCCCGTAGTCTCCAACAGTGTAAGGGGTACTGTGGGAACAAAACCCAGAGGGGTTTGTGCCTCTTCACCCCCATCCCGGGAGGCTCCCCCTCTATCCCCGGATGGTCCTCACTCACAGCGCACAGTGTGGAAGGCGCAGCGCGGCTGCTTCTCGAAACTCTCCCCTAACTTGAGAACCCGCTCGCGACGGTCTAGGTGTGAGAATCCCGCTGCGCTATTCATAATTACTCTCCTGCTTTGACTTTAACTCCGCCACCAGCGCTCACTATCTGCCACCTCAGCCTGAAGCAGCTGCACTTGATCCCGCCAGCCAAGTCACCCAGACTCCACCCCGCGCTCGACGCGCACCGCCCCACCGGAGCGTCTCACGTTCTGATTGGCTTATTAGCAAAGGGCGCTCCGCCCCTTGACTCCGAGGCTCCTAGTCCCGCCTCCAGGCCCCTTCCCGCGTCGCGACGCACGCTGCCCCGGAAGGCCGCGGCGCTGTAGTGCGGCGTGGGAGCCCCAGGTTCTTTAGTGGAAGAACGCGAAGCGAGGATGAGGTAACTTATCTGAGGTGGTGGCTGGGGAGGGAGAGGGCCCCAGGGCGCCTACCAGGAGGCCAGGACCCCAGGCTCCTGGACGAAGTCAGCCGGCTTGTAAGAGCTCTTAACGGGAGAATCGGCCTGCCCTCACGCCCACTCTGTAGAGATCTGGTGTGGAAACTGAGGCCTGGGGAGGTGCAGTGTCCAGGCACAGGGCCTAGTGTCTTATCCAAGGCCTGGTAGCGCGAAAGCCGGGTCTAGAATCTGGAGTAAAGGAGCCCAGAGGCCCCAGAATCTCGGTCCTTAGACTTGAAGCGACGCTGTTACCTCAGTAATCGTTTTCTGACCTTTTTGTACCAGAGGAAGTTTCTTGTGGTCCTAGGACTGGAGAAGGGGATGTGTAGTGGGGAGGAGAAAGAGGATTCGGAGATAGCAACTGCAGACATTTAGGATCAGCCGCAACAGGATCGCACTGAATTTCCTTTTCATTTATTTTCCTCACAGTGATCCGTGGAGGCAGTAACAGGCGCGGCGAGGGAGAAGTGATTCCCGAAGAATCAAGGCTGGGCCGGACCCGGTGGCCTGGCAACAGGGTAGTAGCCTTAAAATAGATAAATAATTGTCTTTTTGTGTCAAATTTCATGAATTTAATGTAAAGATGGGAGAAGTGTTGAATTATAGGAGAAACACTCGAGAAAGTTTACAGATGGTTTCCATAACAGGTGGTTTTTCAGGGTAATTACGCAATCCAACTGCACTCCCTCACCTTCTGCCTTAGGCACATTTGTCAATTGATTTTGGGGTAGGTGGTTATGTCTCCTTCAACCTGTCTGTGTAAATCCTACCCTTTGAAGGTGTGCCGAAGCTGTTTCATATCGTAGTTAAATGCTTTAAGGCAGATGGTGGCTCTAGTTTGAACCCCTGCTTTATACTTAACAGTGTGACTTTGTGCCAGCTAATTACATTCTCCAGAGTTTAAGTATGCTCATTGTTCAAATTGGGAAAAAAATAATAGTATCTGTTCCTTAGAGTTGTTGGAATGATTAAATGAGTTAATACATGAAAGCAATTAGAACAATTCCTGGAGCATGATAAGAGGTCTCCAAATGGTTATTTAAGGCCCAGCTCTACACTTATACTACATTTTAAGACCATCTTGGTGGCTGCCTTCTCTTCTAAATAGAATCATTCTAGGAGGTAGGAATTGCTATTTTGTTTACAGCAAGAAAAATGGTTCAGAGAAGCCCAGTCCTCTGACTTTATGGCCTGTATTCTTATCTGTGTCATCTATTTAGCATTTAACATATATCTGATATTCTTAAGTATATTTTTTTGTATCTGTGTGTGTGTACACATGTACATAAACATACTTTTCTTTCCCAACCAGAACAATAGCAGAGAGTATGTCTTGTGTAGAATCTTTGCATCCCCTGCATCTACCATACTGCTCTGCACATATTTGTTGATGACAATAATGATTTAGTGATGTTTTATTACGGTAGCCAGGAGGGCACAAACTGTTTTGAGCCTATTTTACGTTAGAGAGGCTTCCAACTATAAATCTGAGCTTTCTCTATTGTAACAAGAGAAAAACAGAAAGTCAAGAAATTGAGGCTCAGAATGCCTGAGGTTTGTGCATTTACTCATACTTTCAACCTGTATTTAGCAAATCCTAGTACGTGCCAGGTACTAGTCTAGCCACTGGGAATACAGTTGTGAACCAAAGATATAAGAAGGCAGCCAGCAAAGATGGTCTTAAAATGTAGTATGATGGTAGAACTGGGCTTTAATAATAACCATTTGGAGAGCTCTTACTATGTGCCAGGAATTGTTCCAATTGCTTTCATGTATTAACTCATTTAATCATCTCTAAGGGATAGGTAGGTTGCCCTCATGAAGCTTACCTTCTGAGGTGAATTTTCTCCAAACATATATTAAAATGAACTATGTTGTACTAGCTCAAGAATAGACAAACAGATTAAATTACTAGAAACTAAGTAGAGTCCAAAAAGATACCCTGTGTATGTGTATGTATACATAGTGCATGAAAATGTGACGTTTCAGATTGTTTCTGTTATGTCTATTCATAACTAGTTACCTTATGAATTTATGACTACTGTGTGCATTTTTTAATCCATCAATAACTTTAACATTAAAAATTAGATTCTTATATGACACCATTCACAAAAATACCTTACTTTAGAAGATATGTAAGGAAAACAAAACCAAAAAAACATGAAGATTTGGAGAATGTTTTTTATCTCTTGGGTTAGAGAGGACCTTTCTAAACAGGACACAAAAGACAGATGCCATAGAGGAAAAGATTGTTATATTTCATATGTAAAAATTGTAAAAATGGCTGGGCGCTGTGGCTCATGCCTGTAATCCCAGCACTTTGGGAGGCCGAAGTGGGCAGACCACTTGAGGTCATGAGTTCAAGACCAGCCTGGCCAACATGGTGAAACCCCATCTCTACTAAAAATACAAAAATTAGCTGGGCACGTTGGCACACGCCTGTAATCCCAGCTACTTGGGAGGCTGAGGCATGAAATCACTTGAACCCAGGAGGTGGAGGATGCAGTGAGCTGAGATTGCACCACTGCACTGCAGCCAGGGTAAACAGAGTCAGACTCTCTCTCAAAAAAAAAAAAAAAAATTGTAAAATTATGGTAAAGACCCCATAGTCAAATTTAAAAAAATAAATGACAAGGAGAAAATTTTACAGCCAATATAAAAGAGAAAAGATTCCTATCCATGTATGAAAAGCTTCTGCAAAAGAATAAGACAAACCGATAGAAATATAGTCAAGGGATATGAATAGAAAATACATAAAAGAAATAATGGCCAGTGAACACGAAATGTGCCTGACATCCCTAATAATCAAAGAAATACAAATTAAAACACAATCATACCAATTTTCATCTAACAGATTGGCAAAAATGTAAAGGATCATGTGTATATTCATTGCAGTGTTGCTTGTAATAGCATACAGCTTGAGTGACCTCCAGTAGAGGTGATGTTTAAATATATTTTGCTGCATTCTTAAAAGGAAATGTAGCATAATGCAGCCATTTGGAGAGAATGAGATAACTATATGCACTCTCTTTGAAAGTTTTGTGACTACTATGTGCCGGGAGTTGCACTGGGCTTTCTTTAAGGTATTTTCAGCAAACCTGTCTTTTAATGATTTATATTGTACCTAATAAGAGATATATGAATGGAAAAACAGTTTTTGCTCTCACATCATGACAATCAACACAAAAGACTTCTGTGACCAAATGTGTGGAGTTTTCTTCCACCAACAAGCAAGCAATCAATTCTGCAGCGGACACCAGCTGGGTATCATCTAATTCAATTCTGACACTGTCTACTTGGAGATAGGGTCAGATCCCTTAGGTTTAGGGCTTAGTCCTGCAAGAGGGACCCCCATTTCTGATGCCAATCCAAGCCCTAAGTTGTTTTACCTGTGCTTCTGACTGACCAGCTACACATGAGGAATCCTATTAATACACACCTTGGGGTGTATTAATTTGCTAGAGGAGCTAACAAAACTGAGGGAAACATGTTTTCCAGTTTATTATAAAGATATTACAGAGACCCTGGGCAACATGGAGAAACCCTGTCTCTACTAAAAATACAAAAAATTAGCCGAGCGTCATGGCTTGCAAGTGTAGTCCCAGCTACTTGGGAGGCTGAGGTGGGAGAATCACCTGAACCTGAGAAGTCTAGGCTGCAGTGAGCCATAATTGTACCATTGTCCTCCAGCCTGGGCAACAGGAGTGAGATCCTGTCTCCAAAAAAAAATACTAGGATACAAATGAAGAGATGCATACTGTGAAGTATGGGAAGGGGCACAGAGCTTCCATGTCCTCCCTGCCTGTGATATCCAGGAAATTCCTCCAGGAACTTCCACATGTTCAGCTATCCAGTAGCTCTTTGTACCCCATCCTCTTGAGCCTTTTATGGAGATTTCAATGGATAGGCATGACTGAAGCATGGACAATCATTTTGGAAATGTGATTGGACAAAAAAGATATGATCTGATACTAACAGACTGAGTGGGGAAACCCAGCAAGGCCTGTCTGCTCAGATTCTTCTTGGCTTCTCTGTTCAGCATTCCTTCCAGGATATAGGGCAAGACCCATTCTGAAACAGGGGTCTTATGACCTACAGCTAGACAAGATAGGTCAGAGAAAGGCAGGGATGATTAGAGTTCTGCTTTGGAGAGAAGGAGCAGGTGAAAGGAGGAGAGGAGGAAGTCAGAAATAGATTCTGTTTTCTGAGGCCTAAAGCACCCTAACATAACAAGACTGTAACAAAGGCTATGGGAGTTATGAGCCAGAAACTGTGGACAAAAACATATATATGTATATGTATATATGTATGTATGGAAATGATCACACGCTCTATCTACTTCATAGCCCTGTTGTGAGGATTACACAAGACAGTGTATAGTATATTAACATAGTGCTTAGCTTATATTAAACAGTTGATACATGTTAGCTTTACTATAAATAAGGAAATACGCTTTTATTATATAAGGATATCTTTGAGCTTCAAATGCTTTAAAACTTTTTTTTTTTAGAGACAGGGTCTTGCTTTGTTGACCAGGCTAGTCTTGAACACCAATTCTCAAGCGATTCTTCAGCCTTAAACTTTTTTTACATAGAGAAAGTTTTAGCAACAAATTAGGATGTGGACCTTGTTTTTTAATGTTAGGAGAATTGATTTTATTCAATATACTATTTACTTATTTATTAATTATTATTATTATTATTTTGAGACAGAGTCTAGCTCTGTCACTCAGGCTGGAGTGCAGTGATGTGATCTCAGGTCACTCAACCTCCACCTCCTAGGTTCAAGCTATTCTGCCTCAGCCTCCTGAGTAACTGGGATTACAGGCACGCGCCACCATGCCCAGCTGATTTTTTGTATTCTTAGTAGAAATGGGGTTTCACCATGTTGGCCAGGCTGGTCTTGAACTCCTGACCGCAAGTGATTCACCCACCTTGGCCTCCCAAAGTGCTGGGATTATAGGTGTGAGCCACTGCCCCTGGCCTTATTCACTATACTATTTAGAAGCAATCTTTGATTATCTTATATTTATGTAACATTTCTGAGCATTAGTGTGTTGAAGGTCAGTGCTTCACTAGGAGGGCTCACAGGACTCAGAATATAGTGTACTTACAGCTATGATTTATTACAGTGAAGGGAAATAAAGCAAAATCAGCAAAGGGAAAAAGCATATTGGGGGAAATCAGGTACAAACTTCTGAGTTCTCTCCCAGTGGAGTTACGTAGGATATGCTTAATTCCTCCAGCAACCAGCTATGACAACATGTTTGAAGTGTTGTCTACCAAGGAAGCTCAACTAGACACTCAGTGATCAGAATTTTTATTGGAGGATGGCCACATAGGCACCCTCTGTATAGGTACTCTCGACTGGCATGTACCAGAATTCTAAGACTCCTGGAAGGAAGGCGGGTATTCAGCATGAACCACATTGTTTTTCATAAACAGTTTTAGGCACAGGGAGCCACTCTTACCAGAGAATGGCAGAAACCCTCCTGAAATCTAAGTTCTAGATGCCAGTCAAAGGCCAACCTTGTAAGCACACCTTTGAAAGTATAGTAGTCTTAGGCCTGTCATGTTAGCTCTTTTTTGCAGTTCTTCTTGTGTGATTAAAGGAAGTTAATTCCTATCCTAGAATTATTGTGCAGATTAGAGAGAGAATGTGAAGCTCCTATCACAGTTCCTGACTCTTAGTGAGTGCACAATAAACAATACCTGCTATAGCTGTTACATGTGAGGTATAGGAATCTTGAGCTCTTTTACACTGGTTAGAAAAACCAGTTTTCTATAAGGAAGAAATGAAAAAATCTACATTCTGCCTCTCAAACAAGGCAAGAAAAGCTGTTTTTATTTATATTGAAATTATATTTCAAACATTATTTAGGTAGTGAACATTTCCTGGCTTTTTGACCTTTATTCTCTGATTCTGTTAAAATATAGGTAATAAGAGAAATGAAGCCAACAGGTACAGACCCAAGGATCTTATCTATAGCTGCTGAAGTTGCAAAAAGCCCTGAGCAGAATGTCCCTGTTATACTGTTGAAGTTAAAAGGTAAGAAAATCTTTTTGTGATTAGATAGCATTTTAAGTGAAAAATGGTTCCATCGTTGGTACAATTTTAACATTTCTTTTAAATTTGTTCAGAGAGGTCTTAACACTATAATAGAACAGTAATTTTTCCTTCTAATATATTTTTAGTGATTATTCAACATATAAAAATACAAATAGCTCCTGGATGTATTAAGCAAAAATAAATATATCTTATTTCCTTTTGCCTTAGAAATAATAAACATCACACCTTTAGGAAGCTCAGAGTTGAAGAAAATCAAACAAGATATATATTGTTATGATCTCATTCAATATTGCCTCTTGGTCCTCAGTCAAGATTATTCTCGAATCCAGGGTGGTTGGACTACAATTTCCCAGCTTACACAGATATTAAGGTAAAATAAAGCAGTAAGTCAGCTGTTCTTGAGGGATGTAGTAGTTGATTCTGATTTTCAACATTTGCTTTTTATTTATCTGCCTAACAAGCATTGGCAACCTCCTGTTGTAGGTTTTGGTTGTACTTTTCCTTCATATTATATGTTATTATTCATAATTTTACTTCAGATTATTTGACTGTCTAAAATTTTCCTCCACAAGCTTAATGAAGATGGTGATCATTTTTTTTCTCACCACTGAATTCCAAGTGCCTAATATACTTTTTATTGATTAAGGAATTTTTAAAGAAGTGAAGAAATTAAGGCACTGGCTCTGTACCTGAGAAACTTAAAATAGAGATTGGGTGACAGTCATGTAAGTATATGATACAAAGCAGAATGAAATCAGTGCTAAAATGAAAGTATGCAAGCAAGTACTATAGGAGAACTGATAAAGAAACATTTTATTTCACTATATCAATGTAGCTATCAACTGTGTATTTCATTAAGCAACCCAAATACTGTCAATAAAATTTAGAAGTAGAATTTACTGATCTACTGCCATGCTAGAAATTAATAGAAGAGAAATAAACATTTTTTAAAGGAGGTAGTAAAATAAACCAGATGTTCTTAGTGCCTAAGCTACTTCCTGATTAATAAGTGAAAGTGTGTATTTACTAACTGGATCCTAGCCTTCTTTTTTTGTTTTTCCTAAATAAGCCATTTGAATTTAATAAGCTATTCCCACTGAAAGGGTTTGTCTTGGATGCTAGATTTCTAAGCTGCTTAATCCTACTGTGTTACTTGGTAAAGGCCAAATTTAAAGCACACAGTTACAAAGAACAGTTGAAAAATATATGTGATATTCTTTTTCATACTTTAATTTTCAAGATTGATTTTCTTAAGTAAATAAAGCCTTATGTTTTTGTTTTGATTCGATATGCTAGTTTATGATGATATTGATTAAGCCAGGCTCTCGGGTGGAATTCAAGACTTAAGAAATTCCCATGTTTCTGAATGCACAAATAAACATAATTTCATTTGTTAATCTTCTCAATCAAAAAAGATACTCTTAAGTAATTAACTTTAGGAACCAAAGAGAAAAGAAAAGCTGATACATGTGAGCATTAGCCCATTAACTTTAGGAACCCAGGTGCAAATAAACAACAACAACAACAAAAAGTGATACATGTAAATATTATCCACTTAGGTTTTTTTTTAACTTTTATTTTAGGTTCAGGGGTACATGTGGAGGTTTGTTTTATAGGTAAATTGCATACTCAATGTTTGTTCTCACTTATAAGTGAGAATATGCAGTGTTTGGCTTTCTGTTCTTGTGTTAGTTCACTTAGGTTAATGGCCTTCAGCTCCATCCATGTTGCTGCAAAGGACATGATCTTGTTCTTTTTTATGGCTGCATAGTATTCCATGGTGTATATGTACCACCCCAAAGAAATATACCATTTTCTTTATCCAGTCTGCCATTGATTACTTAGATTTTTAACATGCTCAATACATAGTTGTTATTGCTTATTAGTGTCCATACATTTTGTTGAAAAGACTCAAACAGCAGTTTTTGTTCATTAGAGTACACACATAGAGACCATTCTTGGGTTTGAGGCTCTTTTGAATGTTAGTTTACAGAAAAACCTTTTATTATTGGGACTTCTGACTTATGTACAGGAAATGACTTTTATGTACAATTTTAAGAGGACCTTTTTCTCTAAGTGACTTTCTCTCCTCTAATGTATATTGTAAAGTGTTCCTACTAGAGTTAGGTTTTGCCGTTTGTCCTTCTGATATAAGGAATATGCAAATGAGTATTTTGCAAAAAGTAGATCTATTGGAAGGTAAAATTGGTATGAAATTAGTGTTTGGTTTCCTTATGTATCCCTTGCAAACAAATCCTACTTGGGCATTTTTCAGCTATTAGGTGTCTAAAATGTATTAGTTAACACAAATGCTTTTCATAAATTAAACTCTCAAGGTATCCTATAGCTTTGAGAATGATTATAGCCAATTCACTGAAAACTTAGCTTCTCTTTATTGTGAGCCAAGTGTCTTTTATTTGCTGAATGAGCTGATATGTAGGTTTTTAGGATACATAAATCCCAGACCTAAGTACAAGCATGGTCCATACCACTGTTTACTTTTCTAGAAAGTTGTTAGACTAATTTTTCAACAAAAATTCTTTATTGTCTTGGTAACAAAAGAAGCATACTAAAAATTCTCAATAAGGCACAGTGTCTCTAGAAGCTTGAGCATTCAACATAAACTTCTAATTAACACGAACTTGTGCTCTTATTTCAGCCATTGCTGTGTGGGCTTGGAGCCAGGAGAAGATGCAGAGGAATTTTACAATGAATTACTTCCATCAGCTGCAGAAAATTTTCTAGTTTTGGGGAGACAATTACAAACATGTTTTATCAATGCAGCTAAGGTATGTGTTTATTTAGTCTTTTGTAGCTAAATCAGTTTAATTCTTAAGAAGCTGTTCTGTTATTTTTTAAATGTGCAATATTTGGCTGAAAGTACAATTAAAGTAGTGAATTTAAACATTTTCAAAGTTACAACCTTCCAAAAATCATCTCTATGTTTGAAAAATTTTTAATGCTGACTGAAGCTTGCCATTTGATTTTTTGAAGGATCTGCCTTGCTACTTTACTTGTTGGGCAGCACCCATAGACAATTATTTCCATAACATCTTTCTAAACATACTTTTTACTTAAATTAACAGTAGAGGAAAGTATGTTCTCTAGGGCTAGGGCTTTTCTAAGTAGCTCCAGTAGTGAAGAATAAAGGTGAACTTCCTATTTGATCTCTCATATCTTCTCCAGTCAAAATATTCAACCCAAACATAGGGGTCTTTTCAAGTATTTCTTGGTTGCATTATGCTAGATGCTATACATGTGCTCTTTTTTTGACCCAGGGATTTAGAAGTGTGTTGCTTAATTTCCAAATATTTGAAGATCTACTAGATACTTTATTGTTATCAATTTCTAATTTAATTATGTTTTGGTCAGATAACATTCTCTATATCATTTCAATCCTTTGGAATTTTTTCAGACTTGTTTTATGGCCCTCCGCATATGTTTTATCTTTGTGAATGTTCATTAAAAGAAACTTTTGTGGGCTGGGCGCAGTGGCTCACACCTGTAATCCCAGCAGTTTGGGAGGCCGAGGCGGGCGGATCACCTGAGGTTGGGAGTTTGAGACCAGCCTGACCAACATGGAGAAACCCTGTCTCTACTAAAAATGCAAAATTAGCCGGGCATGGTGGCACATGCCTATAATCCCAGCTACTTGGGAGGCTGAGGCAGGAGGATCACTTGAACCCAGGAGGCAGAGGTTGCAGTGAGCCAAGATAGTGCCATTGCTCTCCAGCCTGGGCAACAAGAGCAAAACTCCATCTGAAAAAAAAAAAAAAAAGAAAAGAAAAAGAAACCTTTGTTTTGCACAGTTCCATCTTAACTGAAACTCGTGCATGTCAGAACCATGCAAAGGTTTTGATATGCACAGGTTTTATTTAATATGGTGCCATGCAAAAGCTAGGACTACTTGTATACCCAAATGTGAACTCTGCAGTTGTATGTAATGTTCTATAAGTGTTAATTAGGTCAATTTGGTTAGTAGAGTTGTTGAAGTCTTCTAAATTCTCTTTTTTTTTTCTTGTCTACAGTTCTACTTTTTAGTGAGCAAGGGTATTAAAATTTCCAACTATGGTTGCGGATTTGTCTAATTCTGTCTTTAGTTCTATATGTTTTTGCTTCATGTATTACAAAGCTCTGTGATTAGATACATACACATTTAGGAATATTATATCTTCTGGATGAATGAAAGCTATTATCATTATGAACTGGTCTTTTTTTTTTTTTTCAACCTTACTCATGGACTCAGGTCACATGAAATGATATTTATCTCTGATAATAGACCTTATCTTGAAGTCTACTTTGTTTACTATTACGAATATTGCCACTCCAGTTTTCTTATGATTAGTGTTTACATGATACACTTTCTGCAGTTTCACCTTTCATGGTTTCAGTTACCCATGGCCAATAGTGGTTCAAAAATATTAAATGGAGAATTCCAGAAATAAACAATTAAATTTTAAACGGCATGCTGTTCTCATAGCATGATGAAGTCTCATAGTGTCCTTCCCAGGATGTGAAGCACCCCTTGACCAGCATATCAGCACTGTACAGGCTGCCTGCCAGTTGGTCACTTAGTAGCTGGTCTCAGTTTTCAGATTAAAAAAAAAAGTATATATAGGGTTCAGTACTATCCACACCTTCAGGCATCCACTGGGGGTCTTGGAATATGTCTTCCATGGATAAGGGGGAGACTATTGTACATCATTTCTCAACCTTTACTTTTTAACCTCTGTCTTATACTTAAAATGAGTCTGTTTTAAATAGCGTATTGTCAGGTCTTGCTTTTTCATCTAGTCTGACAAGCTGTTGTTTTAAAGGGTATCATTTACTTGCATTTAATCTAATTTGTGCTATGGTTAGGTTTAATTCTACCATTTTGCTATTTTTAAGAAATTTGTTCCCAGTTTCTATCTTTTGTGCTATTTTGTCATGTATTTTACTTTTACATATATTATGAAATCTACCATGTGTTATTTTTACTTTAAATAGTGTATTGACTTTTCAATAATTTAAAGAAATGAAAGAAAAATGATTTTTTTATATCTACTATGTCTGGTTGTCTTTATTCCTTCAAACAGATCTGAATTTTCATTTGGTATCATTTCCTTTAAGCCTGACAACCTCCTTTAGCATATCTTACAGTGCAATTCTGCTGGTAATGAATTCTCTCAGCTTTTTGGTTATCTGAAAATGTCTTCATGATGCCTTCACTTTTGAGGAATATTTCTGTTGCATGTGTATAATTCTACTTCATCAATTTTTTTTCCTCTTTTTGCACTTTAAAGATTTTTTTCCATTGTCTTCTGGCATCTTTTGTTTCTGATGTAAATTCAGCCTTCATTCTTCTTGTCATTCTCCTATACATATTGCACCTTTTTATCTTTGGCTTTTTTAAGATGTTCTCTTTGTTTGGTTTATTTTGTTTTATTTTCAGCAATTTTACTTTGATGAACCTTGTTGTAGATTTCCTGATGTCTATCTTGCTTGGAGGTCCTGAGTTTCATGTGTCTGAGTTAATGTATTCATATTAAGAAAATTTTCAGCTAATATTTTTTCAAATACTTTTGTTTGCCCTATTCTCTCTACCTTCACTCTGGGACTTCTGGTTGTTGAGGCTGCCTTCATCCTTTTCTTGTTGTTGTTTACTTCAGTTTCGATAATTTCTATTGTTCTGTCTTCAAGTACACTGACCCTATCTTCTACAGTGTCTAATGTGCTAATAATCCTACCTAGTGAATTTTTCATTTCATATATTGTATTGTTCTATGATTTTTATTTGCTTCTCTTATTGATTGTTTACCATATTTATTATAGTTATTTTTAAGTTGTTGTTTATAAATCCAATACCTGGATCATTTGAGAGTCTTTTTATTATCTGTTTTTTCTCTGGGTCAAATTATCTGGGTCAAATTTTTCTGCTTCTTCACATCTCTGTTAATTTTTTGTTTTATAATGGTAACTGTGAATGACACATTGTAGAAATTCGTATCTTCCTCTGAAGACTTGAGAGCAGTTAAATTCTGGCAGATCAATTGTTCCTGTGGAGGCTTGGTTTTAGCCTTTCTTTGGAGAGGTTTACTTCAGTTTTGCCATTAGAGTATTGCCCTTAGTCCTGGTTCACAGTCCTTATACCTAAGGTGAGATCCTTCTGTGGTTTAAATGGAAAGCCCACCATGTTAACCCAGACCATCTGACTTGGAAGAACCTAAACTCCAAACTCTGTATACCCAGCACTAGGCAAAAGATGAAATTGCTGGTAATTTCTTTCAGCCTTTCAGCTGTAGATTCTTCTGGGCTCCGTGGAGCCTTTTCTCTCATATGTACAGTTTAAGAGTCAAGAATTCAATGGAAGTTTGTATATAGATTTTGAAGCTCTGTACTTTGTGGATCACTTCTTTAACTGTTCTGGCAGCCCCAAGCTCCAAATTCTGACTCCTCAGCCAAGTTATACTGCAACTTCTTATTTGAACTCTTTCCCTATGTTGATAAACACACACTGGGAAAAGCCAGGCATATTAGTCAGGTCTCTCCAGAAAAACAGAACCAATAGAAGATATATGGAGAGAGAGAAAGAAAGAGAAAGTGCTTGATTATAAGGAATTGGCAATTATGGAAGCTAACAAGTCCTGAGATTTGCAGTTGGTAAGCTAGAGACCCAGGAGAGCTGATGGTATAGTCTGAGTTTAAAGGCCTTAGAATCAGGAGAACTGATAGCATAGTGCTAGTCCAAATGCCAGCAGACTCGAGATCCATGAAGAAGCAGTGTTTCAGTTTGAGTCTGAAGTCAGGAAATACTGATGTCCCAACTCAAAGGCAGTCAGGCAAGAGGAATTTCCCTTTATGTGGGAGAGGGTCAATCTTTTGTTCTACTCAAGCCCTCAACTGATTGTATGAGGCCCACCCACATTAAGGAAAGCAATCTGCTTTACTCAGACTAAAAATTTAAATGTTAAACTCATCTAAAAATACCCTTACAGAAACACCCAGAATATCTTTGACAATCACACAAGATAAATTTAGATTTCAGTCAGTACATTTTATTTCAGGATCATGTCTGTGTGCCTTTGCTTGCTATCTAAAACCTTCAAACAGTTGCTTTTTATATTTTTTCCCGAGTTTATACATTTGGTCAGCAAAAGCTTAGGTCAACAAACTATGGCCTGTGGGCTAAATCCAGCTTATTTTTAAAAATTAAGTTGTATTGGAACACAGCTGCACCTATTTGTTTATATTATCCATGACTACTTTCACTATAGCCACAGAGTTCAGTAGTTTCTAGAGACTATAATGCCTAAAATATTTTCTGGCCCACAACTAACAGGAAAGTAAGTTCTATAAAGGGGAAGAGTAGGGAACAACCAATGTGAACAAGAGTGATTCCAAAAAGCTTTGTGGAGCCAATGGTACCTGGTCTATCTATCTCTAAAGCATGGATGAGATTTGGAAATATGAGGGCATTACAGGCAGCGGAAATGGACAAGACCAGGAAAGAGGAATAAGTATGACATCTTTGAGTCCCAGTGCAGATTCCTACCAGAGTTAGATAGAGTATTCTCATTCAGAAAGATTGAAGGCCAGATGCAGTGGCTCACGCCTGTATAATCCCAGCACTTTGGGAGGCTGAGATGGCAGGATCACTTGACCCCAGGAGTTCAAGACCAACCTGGGCAACATAGCAAGACCTAGCCAAGTGTGGTTGCACATGCCTGTCTTCCTAGCTACTCAGGAGGCTAAGGCAGGAGGATTGCTTGAGCCCAGGAGCTCACGGCTGCAGTGAGCTATGATCACGTCACCGCACACCAGCTTTGGCAACAGAGCAAGATCCTATCTCTTTAAAAAAAAAGAAAAAAAGAAAAAAAAGGAAAAAACAGAAAAAGTTTGAACTTGATTCTACGATAGTGAAGAGGCTTTTTTTTTTGAGGAGACATAAGAGTATGCTGGAGAGAGCGGAAGAAGAGACCATTTTAAATTATTGTAGTAAGCTAGAAGAACTAAGGTAATAAGTGTCTTGACTCACTATGACTTTGGAAAAATAGAGGGTCAAATGAAATATTAAGAAAAAAATTGTAAGAATATAAAAGGTGTACTATCAGACACTGCTTTTATACAGATAATATATAATATATTAATGATGAGTCTAAGTTGAGTCTAAGGTTTCAAGGCCCTACAGATGTTTAAGAGAAGTGATAAGCCAGAGGTAAAAACTGGGAAAAAGGATGCAATCCCTTTGAAGTTAGTTGCATTTTCAAGTGGAAATGTCTAGGATGGAATTGAAGTTGGATTGAGAGATCAGGACTATGGCTATAGGTTGGAAAGTCCTCTTATGAATGCTAATTAAAACTTTGAAGAGGAGCATACTAGAGGATGAGCTTTCCTAGGGATGTGGTGTAGAGATAATATCTGAAGGCTGTGTTCAGAGCCTTAGAGATGTCTGACATAGATGCAATGTATTTGGGCAAATTGAGGAATTATGGCTCAATATGCTAGATGGATGAAGAAAACTGAAGGCAAAGAAGTTGAGGCCATTTTTAATTTTTTAATAAATATTTGTCATCTCGAAGAGATGAATTTGCTAGGTGCTCTACCTGCCATTTAAATAATTTAAGTAGTGATGTCTAGTACATGGCCTCATGGTCTGTTCTGCATGGTATAATATGGTAGCCATTAACCCTGTGTATCAGTTGAGCAATTGAAATGTACCTTTGTAACTGAGACTGAAAATTTTATTTAATTTTAATTATTTTAAATTTAAAAATTGATGATCAATTCTGTTAGGAAACTTAAGTGTGTTTGGAACAACTTGAGTATGTGAATCTACTTTTACAACTGTAAGTTTTATAAAATCTAAATACATACCAAGAATTTCTAATGAAAATTTAGCCTCCAAGTAGAGATCTGCTCCAAGTATAAATATTCACCAGATTTCAAAGAAATACCAAAAATTTTTTATATATATTCCATGCTAAAAATGCTAATATAAAATATATTGTTATTTGTTTTACCTATTTCTTTTTACTCTTTAAAAACATTGCTACTAGAAAACTTAACATTATCTAGATGGCTCACATTATATTTCTATTGGATGGCAACACTATAGAGTTAGATTACTCATGAGTAAAAATCATTCAAAATTCAGCATGATATTTGTTTCAGGTATGCTCATTCTCTTAAAACAAGACTAATAAAGTTGAAAAAGCATAATTATTAATCATTAATTACTATGTTTAATAAGTACATAATTGGGTATAAGATATTAAAAATATGAATAACTAGATACTTTTAGGTACTTATTGCATTATTCTTTATGTCAGGGGTCCCCAGCCCCCAGGCCACAGACTAGTACTCATCCATGGCCTGTCAGAAACCCAGCCACACAGGAGGAAGTAAGTGACGGGCAAGTGAGTGAGCAAAGCTTCATCTGTATTTACAGCCACTCCCCATTGCTCACATTACCGCCTGAGCTCTGCCTCCTGTCAGATCAGCGGTAACATTAGATTCTCATAAGAGCATAAATCCTATTGTGAACTGTGCAGGTGAGGGATCTAGGTTGCAGGCTCATTATGAGAATCTAATGCCTGATGATTTGTCACTGTCTCCCATCACTCTCAGATGAGACTCTTTAGTTGCAGGAAAACACGCTCAGGGCTTCTACTGATTCTACATTATGGTGAGTTGTATAATTATTTCATTATGTATTACAATGTAATAATAATATAAATAAAGCACACAATAAATGTAATGGGCTTGAATCATCCCCAAAACATCCTTCCCCTTGACCCCCTAGTTCATGGAGAAATTATCTTCCATGAAACCGGTCCCTGGTGCAAAAAAGGTTAGAGACCACTGCTTTAAGTAATTTTAAACACAGTTCTCTAACTTTAAGTTGATTTTCCTTATTGAAAGGCGCTTTTAAAAGTTGCTGTTTGCTTCCACCCTCACAACATATTTCCAGTTTATTTACTTAGCTTCAGATTTAGGTCCTCTTAAGCTTTGTCTGAATGCCTAGCTTCTGACTGCCTTCTAAATTTAACTTTTTCTTCATTTACACACTGATTCTAGGTGCCTTTCTGGTTCTTATTCGTGGTCATCTTCTGACCTTTATTGCCTGCACCTGCATGCATTTGACATATAGATATTATAATCTCTCTTTTAAAATCTGTTCAGGTTTTTTTGGTAATACTTATCAATTATCAATCAGTCTCTTGCTTGTTTTCTTGTTTGTTTTTCCTAAAAGTGTTTACTCTCTCCTTTGGGCTCTATCTTCAAGTTGTCTAATAACTACAAGCTCACATGTCTTTAGTACTACCTTGACTTCTAGCTGCTGGGCCCTGCCCTAAGTCCGGTTTACTTACATGCTTCTCTCTTCTTTTGGCATCCCTGTTTGAAGACAGTTTCTTAGCTCCATATGGGGAATGTAGCAGGATTATTTTGCTCCAAGCTGTCATTTGATTTTTTAAAAAATGATATTTCCTCACTAGGTACCCGCAAGTGGGAATCCAAAAATAAGTAATGAGAAGAGTGGAACTGGGCATTAATGAATACATTATATTAATATGCAAACTATTTTTACCTTTTGACAGCAGAGGTTCATCTTAGAATTTATAAGAAGTGATAAGTCTACAAGGCTGAAACTCCTTTACCTTAGAAGAGTTCTTGGCTATATGTACATTTGGGCCTACTACTATATCAGAGCTTGAGCAGATTCACAACTGTTGTCAATTATGGACAGATATTAATAACTCAGTCACTTGACTTACTCTGTTCAGGCTGCTGTAACAAAATACCATAGACTTGGTGACTTAAAGACATTTATTTCTTATAGTTCTGGAGACTAAGAAGTCCAAGATCAAGAAGCCAACAGATCCACTTCCTCATGGGGCCCACTTCCTGGCTTGCAGACAGCCACTCTCTTGTGTGCTCACATGACCTCCTGCTTGTGTTTGTGTGGAGAGGGAGAGGGAGCTCTCTTGTCTCTTTCATGTCTTTTCCTTCTTTCTTTCTTTCTTATAAGGGCACTAATCCCATCCTGAGGACACCACCATCATGACCCAATCTACACCTCCAAAGTCTCCACCATCACATTAGAGGTTAGGGTTTCAACATATGAGTTTTCAGGGACACAAACAGTCCATAATGATCACCAGGTTATATTAAGTTCTATTTATGGTGCTTTGAGTATATAAAGAATAGACACAGTCTTACATTTAAGGAATTCCCAGGCTAATAGAGTAGAAAAGGTCTTAGCCATTTTTAATAGAAAACCTAAAATAGATGTATTTTTAGTTTAAGAATTTTTCTTTAATTAGAAGAATGAAATTGAATGAGAGGTATAATAGTACAGACAACCTGCTGCTTTGAGTATAAGAAATACTGTTGGCAGACAATTTCTTTTTCTTTTCTTTTCTTTTTTTTTTATTATACTTTCAGTTCTGGGATATATGTGCTGGATGTCCAGGTTTGTTACATGGGTATACATGTGCCATGGTGGTTTGCTGTACCCATCAACTCGTCATGTAGGTTTTAAGCCCTGCATGCATTAGGTATTTGTCCTAATGCTATCCCTCCCCTTGCTCCCTACCCCCTGACAGGCCACAGTGTGTGATGTTCCCCTCCCTGTGTCCATGTGTTCTCATTGTTCAACTCCCGCTTATGAGTGAGAACATGCAGTGTTTGGTTTTCTGTTCCTGTGTTAGTTTGCTGAGAATGATGGTTTCCACCTTCATCCATGTCCCTGCAAAGGACATGAACTCATTCTTTTTTATGGCTGCATAGTATTCCATGGTGTATATGTGCCACATTTCTTTGTCCAATCTATCATTGATGGGCATTTGGTTTGGTTCCAAGACTTTGCTGTTGTAAATAGTGCTGCAGTAAACATACGTGTGCATGTGTCTTTATAGTAGAATGATTTATAATCCTTTGGGTATATATCCAGTAATGGAATAGCTGGGTCAAATGGTATTTCTGATTCTAGATCCTTGAGCAGTCGCCACACTGTCTTCCACAGTGGTTGAACTTACATTCCCACCAACAGTGTAAAAGCGTTCCTATTTCTCCACATCCTCTCCAGCATCTGTTGTTTCCTGACTTTTTAATGATCGCCACTCTAACTGGAGTGAGAGGGTATCTCATTGTGGTTTTGATTTGCATTTCTCTAGTGACCAGTAATGATGAGCTTTTTTTCATATGTTTGTTGGCCCCATAGATGCCTTCTTTTGAGAAGTGTCTATTCATATCCTTCACCCACTTTTTGATGGTTTTTTTTCTTGTAAATTTGTTTAAGTTCCTTTTAGATTCTTGATATTTGACCTTCATCAGATGGGTAGATTGCAAAAATTTTTTCCTATTCTGTAGGTTGCCTGTTCACTCTGATGATAGTTTCTTTTGCCATGCAGAAGCTCTTTAGTTTAATTAGATTCCATTTGTCTATTTTGGCTTTTGCTGCAATTGCTTTTTGTGTTTTAGCCATGAAATCTTTGCCTATGCCTATGTCCTGAATGGTATTGCCTAGGTTTTCTTCTAGGGTTTGTATGGTTTTAGGTCTTATGTGTAAGTCTTTAATCCATCTTGAGTTAATTTTCATATAAGATGTAAGGAAGGGGTCCAGTTTCAGTTTTCTGCGTATGGCTAGCCAGTTTTCCCAGCACCATTTATTAAATAGGGAATCCTTTCCCTATTTCTTGTTTTTGTCAGGTTTGTCAAAGATCAGATGGTTGTAGATGTGTGGTGTTATTTCTGAGGCCTCTGTTCTGTTCCATTGGTCTATATATGTGTTTTGATACCAGTACCATGCTGTTTTGGTTATTGTAGCCTTGTATAGTTTGAAGTCAGGTAGCATGATGCCTCCAGCTTTGTTCTTTTTGCTTAGGATTGTCTTGGCTATACGGGCTCTTTTTTTTTTTTTTTTTTTTGGTTCCACATGAAATGTAAAGTAGTTTTTTCTAAATCTGTGAAGAAAGTCAATGGTAGTTTGATGGAAATAGCATTGAATCTATAAATTACTTTGGGCAGTATGGCCATCTTCACGATATTGATTCTTTCTATCCATAAGCATGGAATTTTTTTTCCATTTGTTTGTGTCCTCTGTTATTTCCTTGAGCAGTGTTTTGTAGTTATCCTTGAAGAGGTCCTTCATGTCCCTTGTAAGTTGTATTCCTAGGTATTTTATTCTGTTTGTAGCAATTGTGAATGGGAATTCACTTATGATTTGTCTCTGTGTTTGTCTATCATTGGTGTATAGGAATGCTTGTGATTTTTGCAGATTGGTTTTGTATCTTGAGACTTTGCTGAAGTTGCTTATCAGCTTAAGGAGGTTTTGGGCTGAGACGATGGGGTTTTCTAAATATACAGTCATATCATCTGCAATCAGAGACAATTTGACTTTCTCTCTTCCTATTCGAATACACTTTCTTTCTCCTGCCTGATTGCCCTGGCCAGAACATCCAATACTATGTTGAATAGGGGTGGAGAGAGTGGGCATCTTTGTCTTGTGCTGGTTTTCTAAGGGAATGCTTCCAGCTTTTGCCCATTCAGTGTGATGTTGGCTGTGGGTTTCTCATAAATAGTTATTATTGTTTTGAGATATGTTCCATCGATACCTAGTTCATTGAGAGTTTTTAGCATGAATGGGGTGTTGAATTTTATTGGCGGCCTTTTCTGCATCTATTGAAATAATCATGTGATTTTTGTCATTGGTTCTGTTTATGTGATGGATTACTTTTATTGATTTGCATGTGTTAAACCATCCTTGCATTGAGTGATGAAGCCGACTTAATCATAGTTGATAAGTTTTTTGATGTGCTGCTGGATTCGGTTTGCCAGTATTTTATTGAGGATTTTCGCATTGATGTTCATGAGAGATACTGGCCTGAAATTTTCTTTTTTTGTGGTGTCTGTGACAGGTTTTGGTATCAGGATGATCCTGCTCTCAGAAAATGAGTTAGGGAGGAGTCCCTCTTTTTGTATTGTTTGGAATAGTTTCAGAAGGAATGGTACCAGCTCCTCTTTGTACCTCTGGTAGAATTCAGCTGTGAATCCGTCTGGTCCTGGGCTTTTTTTGGTTGGTAGGCCATTAATTACTGCCTCAATTTCAGAACTTGTTATTGGTCTATTCAGGGATTCAGCTTCTTCCTGGTTTAGTCTTGGGAGGGTGTATGTGTCCAGGAATTTGTCCATTTCTTCTAGATTTTCTAGTTTATTTGTGTAGAGGTGTTTATAGTATTCTCTGATGTTTGTATTTCTGTGGGATCAGTGGTGATATCCCCTTTATCATTTTTTATTGTGTCTATCTGATTCTTCTCGCCTTTCTTTTTTATTAGTCTGGCTAGCGGTCTATTTTGTTAATCTTTTCAGAAAACCAGCTCCTGGATTCATTGATTTTTTGAAGGGTTTTTCGTGTCTCTATCTCCTTCAGTTCTGCTCTAATCTTAGTTATTTCTTGTCTTCTGCTAGCTTTTGAATTTGTTTGCTCTTGCTTCTCTAGTTCTCTTAATTGTGATGTTAGGGTGTCGATTTTAGATCTTTCCCACTTTCTCCTGTGGGCATTTAGTGCTGTAAATTTCCCTCTACACACTGTTCTAGCTGAGTCCCAGAGATTCTGGCACATTGTGTCTTTGTTCTCATTGGTTTCAAATAACTTATTTATTTCTGCCTTTGGTTATTTACCCAGTACTCATTCAGGAGCAGCTTGTGCCGTTTCCATGTAATTGTGTGGTTTTGAGTGAGTTTCTTAATCCTGAGTTCTAATTTGATTGCACCGTGGACTGAGACTGTTTGTTATGATTTCTGTTCTTTTGCATTTGCTGAGGAGTGTTTTACTTCCAATTATGTGGTCGATTTTAGAATAAGTGCGATGTGGTGCTAAGAAGAATGTATATTCTATTTATTTGGGGTGGAGAGTTCTGTAGATGTCTATTAGGTCCGCTTGGTCCAGAGCTGAGTTCGAGTCCTGAATATCCTTGTTAATTTTCTGTCTCATTGATCTGTCTAATATTGACAGTGGGGTGTTAAAGTCTCTCACTATTATTGTGTGGGAGTCTAAGTCTCTTTGTCGGTCTCTAAGAATTTGCTTTATGAATCTGGGTGCTCCTGTATTGGGTGAATATATATTTAGGATAGTTAGCTCTTTTTGTTGCATTGATCCCTTTACCATTACATAATGCCCTTCTTTGTCTTTTTTGATCTTTGTTGGTTTAAAGTCTGTCTTATCAGAGACTAGGATTGCAACTCCTGCTTTTTTTTGCTTTCCATTTGCTTGGTAAATATTCCTGCATCCCTTTATTTTGAGCCTATGTGTGTATTTGCATGTGAGATGGGTCTCCTGAATACAGCACACAGATGGGTTTAGACAGTTTATACAATTTGCCAGTCTGTGTCTTTTAATTGGGGCATGTAGCCCATTTACATTTAAGGTTAATATTGTTATGTGTGAATTTGATCCTGTCATTATGATGCTGGCTGGTTATTTTGCACATTAGTTGATGCAGTTTCTTCATAGTGTCATGGGGCTTTGTATTTTGGTATGCTTTTGCAGTGGTTGGTACCAGTTTTTAATTTCCATATTTAGTGCTTCCTTCAGGACTCTTGTAAGGCAGCCCTGGTGGTGACAAAATCTCTCAGCATTTGCTTGTCTATAAAGGATTTTATTTCTCCTTCATAAGCTTCATAAGCTTAGTTTGGCTAGATATGAAATTCTAGGTTGAAAATTATTTTCTTTAAGAGTGTAGATTATTGGCCCCCACTCTCTTTTGGCTTGTAGGGTTTCTGCAGAGACATCCGCTGTTAGTCTGATGGGCTTCCCTTTGTAGGTAACCTGACCTTTCTCTCTGGCTGCCCCTAAGATTTTTTTCCTTCATTTCAACCTTGGAGAATCTGACAATTAAGTGTGTTGGGGTTACTATTCTCGAGGAGTATCTTAGTGGTATTCTCTGTATTTCTTGAATTTGAATGTTGGCTTGTCTTGCTAGGTTGGGGATGTTCTCCTGGATAATATCCTGAAGTGTTTTCCAACTTGGTTCCATTCTCCCCATCACCTTCAGGTACACCAAGCAATCGTATGTTTGTCTTTTCACATAGTTCCATATTCCTTGGAGGCTTTGTTCATTTCTTTTCATTCTTCTTTCTCTAATCTTGTCTTCACACTTTATTTCATTAAGTTGATCTTCATTCTCTTATATCCTTCCTTCTGCTAGATCAATTTGGCTATTGATACTTGTGTATGCTTCATGAAGTTCTCATGCTGTGTTTTTCAGCTCCATCAGGTCATTTATGTTCTCCTAAACTGGTTATTCTAGTTAGCAATTTGTCTAACCTTTTTTCAATGTTCTTAGCTTCCTTACACTGGGTTAGAACATGCTCCTTCAGCTCAGAGGAGTTTGTTATTACCCACCTTCCGAAGCCTACTTTTGTTAATTATCAAACTCATTCTCAGTCCAGTTTTTGCCCTTGCTGGGGAGGAATCGCGATCATTTGGTGGAGAAGAGGCGTTCTGGTTTTTGGAATGTTCAGCCTTTTTGTGCTGGTTTTTCCTCATCTTCATGGATTTGTCTACCTTTGATCTTCGATGCTGATGACCTTTGGATGGGGATTTTGTGTGGGTGTCCTTTTTGTTGATGTTGATGTTATTGCTTTCTGTTTGTTAGTTTTCCTTCTAACAGGTCCCTCTTCTGCAGGTCTGCTGGAGTTTGCTGGAGGTCCACTCCAGACCCTGTTTGCCTGGGTATCAGCAGCAGAGGCTGTAGAACAGCAAATATTACTCACACCTCCTTCCTCTGGAAGCTTCGTCTCAGAGTGGCACCTGCCTGATTCCTGCCAGAGCTCTCCTGTTTGGAGGTGTCTCCCAGTCTGGAGGCACAGGGTCAGGGACCCACTTGAGGAGGCATTCTGTTCCTTAGCAGAGCTCTAGCACTAACAAATTCAAATTCAGTATATCAACTGTGCTGGGAGATGCGCCGCTCTCTTCAGCGCTGGCAGGCAGGAACATTTAAGTCTGCTGAAACTGCACCCACAGTCTCCCCTGTCCCCAGGTGCGCTGTCCCAGGGAGATGGGAGTTTTATGTATAAGCCTCTTACTGGGGCTGCTGCCTTTGTTTCAGAGATGACTTGCCCAGTGAGGAGGAATCTAGAGAGGCAGTCTGGCCACAGCTGCCTTGCTGTGCTGCAGTGAGTTCCACCCAGTCCAAACTTCCCAGTGGCTTCCTTAACACTGTGAGGGGAAAACTGCCGACTCAAGCCTCAGTAATGGTGGATGCCCTTCCCACCACCAAGCTCAGTTGTCCCAGGTTGGTCGACTTCAGACTGTTGTGCTGGGAGCGAGAATTTCAAGGCAATGGTTCTTAGCTTGCTGGTCTCCGTGGGAGTGGGACCCGCTGAACAAGACCTCTTGGCTCCTTGGTTTCAGACCCCTTTCCAGGGGAGTGAACAGTCTGTCTTGCTGGGGTTTTAGCCACCACTGAGGTACAAAAAGAAACTCGTGCAGCTAGCTCAGTGTCTGCCCAAACAGCTGACCAGTTTTGTGCTTGAAACCCAGGGCCCTGGTGGTTTAGGCACACAGGGAATCTCCTGGTCTGTGGGTTGCAAAAACCATGGGAAAAACGTAGTATCTGGGCCAGATAGCACAGTCCCTCCCTTCCCTTGGCTAGGGGAGGGAGGTCCCCAGCCCCTTGCACTTCCCAGGTGAGGCAATGCCCCACTCTGCTTCTGCTTGCCATCTGTGGGCTGCGCCCATTGTCTAACCAGTCCCAATGAGATGAACTGGGTACCTCAGTTGGAAATGCAGAATCACTGCCTTCTGCATTGCTATTGCTGAGAGCTTCAGACCAGAGCTGTTCCTCTTCAACCATCTTGCCAGATCCCCCTGGCAGAGAATTTAACTCAGTGGTAGAGCATATGTGTTCCATGTAACAGGTTACAAATTCCATTTCTGATATCTCCACTGGCATTTTGTGGGATGTTAGCACTAAATAAATATTTGCTAGATTTAGTTTAATTCAGGTTAGTTGAAGCCACATAAACTATAGGAATTGTGTTGGATTTGATTTCTTTTGCTGGCTGTGCCACAAACTAACTCTAGGTTCTATAGCAAATCACTGGATTTCACTGTATCTCATTTTCCTCATTTGTAAAATAATTTCTGTCCCATTAATAGCTCAGACCATTATGTAAGCTTTATCTTTTCTTCAAAGCACCTTTATTTAATATTCCTATTTAAGAGCATTAATAATTCTTTTTCCTTATATATTATTAAAATTATGTATTAATATGTTATGTATTTGTATATTACTTTCATTATAAATATACTTATTCAGTTAATTATTTTCATTTATAGAATCCTTAATACTTTTCATAATATTTTTCTGTCCTTTATTATTGTATTTTTATTGAGATAAAGATTCTTTAATGTTATCCAAGAATTAATTGGCTACAGAAAAAGTAAGGCCACTTAACCACAGGGCAAAATTAAAACAGGGGCATAAAAAAGATGTGGCAAAAACTTGAATTAATTTATTAGTCTATTTACCTAGGAGCTTTTCAATCAGATTTTTGTTTTAATTAGATAGTACATAGTTAGTAGATCATATGGTGGGACATACACGTTCTGACCTAAAATACAAAGTGGTTTTGTGTGAGTATATGTGAGAATTTCGATTTAAAGGTAAATTTTGTTAACCTGCCTCAAGAACCATGAATTTGTGGGTGACATTATCTAATGTGCATTTTAAGGAAAGTAGGAAGTCTAAGAGTACAACACTATCTTTTGGGATTGACAACAATGAGAATTACCATGCCCTTTCTGATGTATCTTTAGGTAAAACTCTGGCAAAGGTAGCTTCCTGAACTAAAAGGATAAAAGGATTCTTGCTCTAATGTGACGTTTCTTATGGGTTTTTTTTTTTTCCATTGTTATATTCAAGTCAGCACTTGTCCTAGAATATTCCTAGGATATTAGGAAAAAAATACTTTCATTATTATAAAGAATAATCATGGCAATCATAATATTTTTGCGGGTCTCATCATTACTTTTGTGCTATAGTACAAACATTCAGGACATGGATAAGATTAGTGACCTTTATCCAACATTCCACTAAAGTTACATGGCCAATAAATGACAAAATTGTAAATGGAATCTATACTTCTTATTTCTCCTTGTGGCACTCTAATTTATAATAATTTCTCACCCTACTTTCCAGAAAGGAAGAGCCAGAAAAAACTGTCATTTATTTGTTGACTAAATGTTGATTGAACATTTACTATGTGTCAGAACTGTCCTAGAAACTGAGTTTGTATGGGGAGCTAAATGACACGATCTTTGCCCTCCTAAACTTATGAGTAGAAACTGGAACTGAAATACACTATTAATAATGCTTCTCATGCTGACATCTACATTTGCATATTGCAGTTATTTTCACCCAAGTTGTAAAACCAAATCAACCACCTAACTTTGTGCAAGTACAGATATCCAGACTGCCTTTGGAGATTCAAATTCAGTATATTTGAACTAAAGCTTGTGCATAGATGTATTTAAAAAGCTCAACAGGTGATTCTGATGCATAGCAAGTATTAAGACATCCTAGTGTATCAACTTGTAGCCCTTACACTACTTATGTTGTTTTATTTTATCTGGATAACAACCATTTCTAGTAGATATTACTATCCTGTAACCACAAGTTTTACAAATTAAGAAACTAAAGGCAACAAAATCATGTCCCTCATAAATAGCTAAGTTAGATCCAGAAACTGTATCCTCTAACTCCCCAGAGAGAAGTCTCCTTAAAAAAAAAAAAAAGGAAAAAAACTATAGAAAAGTAAACTGGGCTTATCTTTTATGTTAAGGCTGAAGAAAAAGATGAATTACTACACTTTTTCCAAATTGTGACTGATTCTCTCTTCTGGCTTTTGGGAGGCCATGTTGAACTTATTCAGAATGGTAAGAGAAAAGATTTTAATGTAACTAATAGCTATTGTAGAGTCAACTGCTAACAGTTTGATCGTTTTTTCCAAAAACAAATGCCACATGAACTGTGCAGATAACCACACTGAAATGAAACCATGTTGAAATAAGCTCACAATTTTTTAAAATGGATATTCCAGTTTTACATAGCCTACATCAACAATGTGAATATTAAATTAAGGAGAATACTGTTGAAATAAAACTTTAGCTTTTTCTGTTTAGCAAATCTAAGATAAAGACAAATGATAATTTGAGCAGTTTATTCCTAAAAATAACTTTTAAGTTTAAAAGATTACAGTCAGTGTTTTAGACCTATCATGAGAGAAATCCCTATGTTCAGGGTGGATATGATTTAACTCATATAGTCTAACTATCCAAGTAAGAGTAAGCTTTTATTTAATGACCTTTTAGTAAACTTGGAAGTTATAGGATATTTCTGTTTACATTGAGAGATATAAACATGTATGAGTTTTATGTTTTCTTAAGACTGAAAAAATAATTCTTAGTTACATTCATGGTGCTCTCCCTAGAAAAATTTCATCTAATATAGATGTAACACTCTTAAGAATATTTTTTAAGTAATACTTGAACTGAAATTTTACTTTAAGCTTTTCTCCTCAGAATCATTGCATGCACATAATTTAAAGAGTCAAATAGTTCTGTAAGGATCATTAAAACACACACAATCCCTGACCCTCATGCCCACTCCATTTCCCATTTTCCAAAGGCAACTACGTTCAGTTAGTATAACTAATACCTTTGGTAGTTATGCTCAGTTATTGAGCATGGAATGGAATGGAAACTGACATTTATTAGAAATGTTCCCTGTTCTAGGATATTTTACATTAGCTCATGTGAGAGCTATTATTTCTAGTTTTACAGATGAAGAAATGGTTTCTAAGAGGTTAAGCAACTTGTATAAGTATCCAGTGCTAAATCGTTATAACTGGCTGCTCAGAGCTTAAAGATTACAAATCAATAAAAGGAAATTTTTGTAGTTAGCGTATTCATTATTATATAAAACAATATGTCACAAAATTAAATTTTTTAAGGTTGTGAGCAACCAATTATAGTCATCTGTGCCATTTCCGTTTCCTTATATTCTGTCTTTGCAGGAAATTTGTTTTTATTCACTGAAATTCATTGATAGAAGAAAAAGATTCAGATTTAGGATATGATATTTTCAATTTAAAGAGATAACAATAGATTCTTAGCTTAGTATTTATGCCTATTTTCTGACTATATTCATAAAAATGAAATGACTTATTTATCGCTATTTAAAATTGCCATGAATTTTACATCTTAAAGTCTTCTTTATCGTAGAGTCTACAAAGTCAGAAAGTTTAGCAGAGATGGTCATGCTTTGATTTGGTTTGAAAAGAACAAAATCTTCCTTTGTTATCATAAAATCTTTACTTTAATCTTTCTTTTTTTTTCTTTTCCTTTAGTACTACAAAGTGATCATTTCTTACATTTACTGCAAGCTGACAATGTCCAAATAGGATCTGCAGTCATGATGATGCTACAGAATATACTACAGATCAACAGGTGACTTGGTTTTTACAAAATGTTACTGCTTTTTTTTTATCAGAAGCATTACCAATTTTATTCCAATTTTGCTAAAATTGACCGCATATGATTTGTATATAATGTATATACAAGTATATGCACTATATACTCGTATATAATGTATATACAAGTATATGCACTATATACTTGTATATAATGCTGAAGTTCCATCACCATTGTCTTTCAGAAAAATTAATATAAAATACTACAAAAGACTGGAAATTTATTATTAAATTGATACCTTATACCAGAGCTTAAGATTTTTAGCTCAAATCTCAGGCTTAAAGAAGAGAATTAGTGTGATAATCTGAAGAAAAATATTGAGATCACAACAAAAAATGTTTAATCACATTTATTTAATAAACTTCAAGCTTGGTATTTTTACAGATGCTCAAGAAGGGTATAAAAGAAGCAATTGGCAATTATTCAGGGTAACATGGAAGGGCAGAGTATACACAATTGAAATAATCCATTCTTTCAGTTTAGTATGAATTTATTATGCAGCTGCTGTCTGTCATTGCAATTATAGAGTTGATTAAGATATAAACCTTGTCTTCAAAGAGCTTACAATAGAATGGAAAACACAAACATCATTGTATACATTAAATTACAATATTAAAAGTGACCATAAATGTTAAAGGACCTTCTAACCCAAACCGAGGGGAGGTGCTTCCTGGAGAAGGTAATATCTGAGATGAAACTTCAAGGATGGTATATTGGCCAGGGAGGAAGAGGAGAAAGAGAAAGCAGTAATTCCAGGCAACATAAACAAAAGCACAGAGATAAGAAACAACATGCTGAGGATGAAAAGTAGGTACAAATTCATTATTGTTGGGATATAAAGTTCCATATAGGGAGGTGACTAGCAAGCTCGGCTGAGACTCAAAGTCATGAAGAATTTATATGCTGTGTTGAGGAAACGGAGTCTAATCCTATAGGCAACGGGGACCATTGAAGATTTTTAAAGTAGACGAAAGTGGTCAGATTACATTTCAATTTTGTTACTCTGGTGACTATGTGAAGGTAGATTAAGGGGAAGAAAACTCTAGACACAAAAGGCAATCATACTAATCCAAGTGAAGTAATGATAACTTGTCCTTGGGCATTGGTACCTGGGATATGGAGGTTTTAAAATAATGAATTAAAATCATCAGGACTTTACTTCCACTTCTGATCAAGATGGAATAGTAGGGATGCATTTATCCTCCCACCTGAAAAAAAGGACAAAAACATGACACATAATTTTTTGAGAAACTGGGTATCAGTCAGTGAAAGAAAGTAAGCCCAGAGAAAAAGGAATAAACAAGGTGAATCTTACAATTGCTCTAACTTACAGTATTGAGAGAGTTTCCAGGTTGAAGTATAGGGAGAGGCATCCCAGCCAGCTTGAGTTGAAGTGATAGAGCTCAGAGTCTGGAGAGAACAAGATAACTAGAGTTCACAAGTCAGAATACTAGAGAAGAGAGCTATACATGTAGAGAACCCCAGAGATCTGCAGAGGGTATCCTTCAAGTATTAAGTAGAGTACTGATCTGCACATTGTAAGGAATACCCAATGCCAGGGAAAACAATAATCCAAAAGGATTAAAAGGAACAGTGCAAGGAGCTCACACAGGGCCAGAAATAGTGCCTGTTTCCAACAGCCAAACTGGAAAGCCTCATAAACAGTGCGTCATTGGGTAGAGTGTTCAGGAAGGTTTTACTCCAGTAGTGAGGAATAATTAGCATTAGAATGAGCACTATTCCAGATCATAAAAGCAAGACCCAAAAGGGTCAAACTGTTTCCAAGTAACTTAACTGCATGTGGTTATTGAACCTGGCTGTATTTTAAAATTAATTTTATTGTAGGTTATACAAAGGTAGGAAGTTCACTAGAAATGGCTATCCTTCGATTTGGCTTTAAAAAGGATGAGAAAAATCCCACTTGTGCCATCATAGAATATTTGCTTTGATGACTCTTTTTTTCTATTTCTTTATTACTGTAAAATGACTATTTCTTGCAGTTACTGATAACTACTTGCAGTACTGCATGTATCTTGCAGTACTGATACATGATAGATTATACAGTCATGACTATGCTACAAAACATACTACGATTCAACGGGTGATTTGATTTTACTGGTACTGAAGTACTGGGCATGCAAATAAACAAGAAAACAGGATCTAAAATGAGAAGAATTAATCAAGACTGGTACATATGTTGGAATTAACAGACAAGGACACTAGTTATTATAACCATACTCCATATATTTAAAAAGTTGAATACAGACATATAAGACTCAAAGTGAATTTCTAGACATGAAATCTACAATATCTGAGATGAAAAATACACTGGATGGGATTAACAGCAGATTAACATTGCAGATTAGTGAACTTTAAGGCGTATCAGTAGAAACTATCCAAAATGAAACAAAGAAGAAACAAGAGGAAAGAAAAGCATATCAGTGAACTGTGGGACAACTTGAGCAACCTTACATAAGTGTAATCAGAGTACGTAAAGCAGGCAGTAGGGTCACAAAAAAATGTGTGAAGAAGTAATGACTTAACATTTTCCAAATTTGATGAAAACTATAAACATGCAGATGCAAAAAGGTCGTCAAACCCTGAGGGCAATAAATATGAAGAAAATTCCACATTGAGGCACATCGTAATCAAAATGCTCAAACCAGTGATAAAGAGAAAAATCTTAAAAGCAACCAGAGATGAAAAAACATTATATAGAGAAATAGAGATAAGGATGACAGCAACTTTCTTATCAGAAACAACACAAGTAAAAAGACAGTTGAATACTGAAAAAGAAAACTGTCAAATTAGAATTACATGCTCAGCAGAAATATATTCAAAAGCAAAGATGAAATACTTCTTCAGAAATCACCAGCAGACCAACACTACAAAAAATATTCAAGGAAGTCCTTCCATCAGAAGGGAAATTCATCTACACAAAGAAATAGAGTATCGGAAATGGTGATTACATAAACATATAAGATAGTTTTTCTTATATTATTTTAATATATCTATAATATGTTTGCCTACACAAAAATAATGCTGTATTTGAGGAACATATGTATAAGTAGAATGTATTCCAAAAGGGCATTAAGGCTGGGAGGAGATAAATGGAAGTATACTGATGTAAGACTCTTATACTATACATGAAGTGGTATAATATCACTGTGATAAGTGATAAGACTGTGAGAAATTGAAATGTATACTTTGAACCTCAAAGCAGTGAAGAAAATAGCAAAACAAAGAATTTACAGCTGATAAGCCAACAAAGGCAATAAAAATTAATCATTAAAAAATACGCAATCCAGAAGAAGGAAGTAAAAAAAAAAGAAGAACAAAGGAGAAACAAAACCAAGTGGTAGATTTAAACCTATCTATCTTAGATGTAAATGTGGAAAAACTAAAGTTAAAAGACAGATTGACAGATTGGATTTAAAAAGTACAAGCCTACTATATGCTGTCTACCAGAAATGCACCTTAGATATAAAGACACAAGTAGGTTAAAAGTAATGGGGTGGAACAAGATATACCGTGCTTATACCACAGAAAGTTGAAGTACCTGTATTAGTATCAGATAAAGTAAGTTACAGAACAAAGAATATTTCTAGTGCTAAAGAAGGTTATTTCATAATCATAAAAAAAGTCAGTTCATCAAAAGGATGTGTTTATTGACCTAATAGAGTTTTAAAATACACAAGCAAAAATTGACAAGAACTACAAGGAGAAATCCTCAATTAAAGCAAAAGATGTTAATATACCTCTTTTGATATTTAATAGAATAAGTAGACAAAAAAATTAGTATGACCACAGATTTGAACAATAATATCAACCAATCTGACCTGATTGACATTTTACAAATATTCTACCAAACAGTAGCAGAATACATGTTCTTTTCAAATGCAGATGGAACATTTACAAAGAAGGGTGCATATTCCGAGCCATAAATAAAGTCTCAAGAAACACAAAAGGGGCCGGGCACGGTGGCTCACACCTGTAATCTCAGCACTTTGCTGAGGTGAGCAGATCACTTAAGTCCAGGAGATCCAGACCAGCCTGGGCAGCATGGCAAAACCCCATCTCTACAAAAAGTACAAAAAATTAGCTGGGCATGGTGGCAGGTGCCTCTAGTCCCAGCTACTTGGGATGCTGAGGTGGGAGAATCTCTTGAGCCCAGGAAGCAGAGGTTACGGTGAGTTGAGATCACATCACTACACTCCAGCCTAGGCAACAGAGCAAGACCCTGTCTCAAAAAAAAGAAAAAAGCAACGTAAAAGGATTTCAGTTATACAAAGTATGTTCTCTGGCCTCGATGGAATTAAGTTGGAAATTGATGCCAAGAAGATCTCTGAAAAGTCCCCAAATATGTGGGAAATAATAACATTCATCTAAATAACTCACAAGACAAAGGAGAAATCAAAAGTGAAATTAGAAATTATTTTTAAATGAATGGAAATAAAAACAACATGAGAATTTCTGGGGAAATTCTTAATTAAAGCAGAATGATACTTAGGGGAAATTTATATCACTAATGCCTATATATTAGAAAAGAAGAAAAATCTCAAATCATTGACCTCGGCTTTCCCCTTTAAGAAACTAGGAAAAGAAGGGGGAATTAAACTCTAAGCAGAAGAAAGAAAATGATAAAGGTTGAGCAGAAATCAATAAAATTCTAAGCAAACGTGATAGAGAAATAAACCATAAACTGGATCTTTGGGAAGATTGAAGTTTTTTGAGAAAACAAACCATAAACTGGCTCTTTGAGAAGAAACCTGTAGCAAGATTAATATGGAAAGGAAAAGACATAATACAAATGACCAATCTCAGGAATTAGAGAGGTAACATCGTAACAGAGTCTACAAATACTAAAAATATCACAAGGGAATAATATAAACAACTTTATGCTTATAAATTTAACAACTTAGATCAAATGGACAAATTTATTGAAAGACGCAAACTACCAAAATTTACTCAAGGAGCAATAGAGAACCCAAATATACTCTAGATAGCTATAAAAAAAAATTGAATTTGTAGCTAAAAACCTTCCCACAAAGAGAACTCCAGGTCTGGATGGCTTTTTCACTGTGAATTCTATTAAGCACTTCAGGAAGAAATAATAATCTTAAGCAAACTTTTCTAGAAAATCGAAAAGGAGGAAACACTTACAACTCATTCTATAAGGTCAGCATTATCCTGATACCAAAACCAAACAAAGACATTATAAGAAAAGAAAACTACTCATCAGTATATTCATAAACATAGATAGAAATGTTCTGAACAAAATTTTATAAGTCAAATTCAACAATATATTAAAAAGTTAATACGTCATGAATAATTCTGGTTTATCCCGGCATTCAGGGCTGGTTTAATATTCTGAAGTCAGTCATTGTAACTTATGTTAACAAGCTAAAAATGGAAAAAACATACCATCATATCAGTAGATACAGAAAAAGCTTTTGACAAAATCCATTATCTAGCCCTGATTTTAATTAAAAAAAAAAAAAAAAAAAAAGGCCTTGCAGCAAAGTAGTAATACAAGGGAACTTTCTCAGAAAGCAGATCGGTGGTTTCCTGGGCATAGAATGATAGGGAAGGCAACAAGGGAGGAACTACAATGAAATACAAGGAAGCTTTTAGGGGTGATAGATATATTCATTTTCTTGTTTTATGTTGGTGAAACATGTCAAACTGATGAAATTATATGCTTTACATATATGCAGTTTGTTGTATATCAATTATATTTTTAAAAAGCTGTTTAAAACAAAAATTATGATGACTTGGTGAATGTTTTGATATGGGGTAGATAAAATAAATGGTGCAGTCAGATATGATACCAAGTTTTCTGTATTGGGTGATTAGACTGTGGTATGTGGAATATATAAGAAGTTGGTTTTGTGAGACAGATGATTAATTCAATGTTGGTTATGTTGAGTATAGGTAGTTCAACATGCAGTAAAAGTAAGTATCTATATAAAGACTTATACACAAATGTTCATTGAGCTTTATTTGTGAAAAACAAGGACTAGCTAAAACTCAAATGTCCATCAGGTGAATAGGTAAACTAACTTCTGGAAGAGATTGGGACTAGAGTTACAGATTTACAAATCAGCTTATACATGGTAGAGAAAAACATGACAGAAAGTGAGATTAGTAGGAAGTGTGAATACAATGAGAAAATAAATGGCTTGAAAATGGAGTCTTGGGGAATAACCTTTTAGGGTTATACTGGGGAAGTGGAGCCCACAAAGACAAATGAAAAAGAATGGTCAGAAAAGTATGGGTGGAAGGTAGAGGGGAGACCAGAACTTTGTATCACAGAAGCTGAGTAAGTAGAAAGTATCAGATACAAACAAGTCTAGGAAAAGAATCACTTATGGTATATATGTGACTTGACATTTGGGAAGTTATACTGATGAACTTATCAAGGATAGTATAGTGAAATAGTAAAAAATGAAAACTAGATGCAGTGGTTTGAGAAATGAGATGTGAGATAGTGGCAACAGAAATTGGATTAGAAGAGAAGCAGAGAGATAAGATGGTAGTGGTATAGAGAGGATGTCTTTAAGATTAGGAGGTTGAAGAGCATCTAAAAGCATTTAAACTACTGTATTACATTATAGCACAAACTCTTGGTGGGATATGGAGTAAAGATGTGATAAGATTGGGATAGGGATATCTGTAGAAGGCTTTCTGAGATGAGCATATTTTTTAATCTGAGTTTTGAATAGTGTGATGACATTGACTGATGGGACAGGGTGAGCATCCTAGGCATAGGGAATAGCATGTAAGAGACACAGTGGCACAGAAGTAGATGTCACAAAGATTCTCACATATTTTGATTGGATAACTTTATAAAGTCTTTCAACTCAGAGATTTTTACATTTAAGGTATGTTGCTGATCTCTTTTCTCTTAACAAAATTATTTTAGTAACTACTAAAGTACAATTTTCAAAAAGCTCAAACATGAGTCTTATACAAATATAAAATTTGACTGCTCAAAATTTTATGCAACTCATTAATGAGGGAACAAATAAGATATTTATACAGGGTCAAAGGAGAATTTGAGGAAAATAGATTTATGGAGTTGGTTTGTCGAAGAAATGTAGAAGTAAATTTGCTGATAGATTTTTAAAATTTGCTAATAGGAAAATATGACTTATAAAGCAATGTAGCTTCTAGAATTACCTTTTCTACTGGACAGAAATCATTTGTATTGCTTTGAATAAGAGTCTGTTTACATTGCTCTTAGATAAGAATCTTTAGCATTGTTTTCTACCAGCCAACCTCTATTTTTACAGAATTGTAAAGTATTTTAATAGTGAGTAGAAAATTAAACAGAGGTACATACGCCTAGAAAATCACATAACTCCTTAAGGGGGTAAATAAAAGGATACTCACTAACCCTTTCCTTTTGACTATTTCTAAGTTTTAGATAATTTTTCACAACATCAGTAATACAAGATGGGTTGTTAGTATAATGAAGGAAATACCAAGGAAAGATTTTAAGTTTCTCCTATATTAAGCACATGATAGAATTCCTATGGCATTTTTGTCTTTGTACATCATTTAAAAATTAACTGTGTACCTGTCTTGATTTCACTTTTATCATTGCCTTGAAGCTTTTAAATTATTTATTGTTTAGTATTTTGCACATTTATATTTCATCCTTGATTTGATTGCAGGCTTCTCTAAGGAGAAGGCCTTTGGCTACTTTGTATTCTCTATTGTACCTAGCACACATGGCACCTTGCACACAGTAGGAATTCAATAAATATTAAGTGACTGAATATGATATCTTCTTGGAACCAACATATATTTGAAAAAGTGGTTATATTCTTGGATCAGGACACAGTCCGGCATCAAGTTACTGAATCTTATATTTTAGATTTGTTGTGATACCTGTACATCAATTAGTAATGGTACTTTTTTTTTTATTTTGTTCTATTAGTGGTGATTTACTCAGAATAGGAAGAAAAGCCCTGTATTCAATTTTAGATGAAGTTATTTTCAAGCTTTTTTCAACTCCTAGTCCAGTTATAAGAAGTACTGCTACAAAACTCCTACTGTTGATGGCTGAATCCCATCAGGAAATTTTGATTTTACTGAGACAAAGTACCTGCTACAAAGGTAGTACATTCATTCTTTCTTTTCTTGGGATTCTCAAAAAGAAAATTTTTATTGATGGTTTATGAAAAACAAAATTCTTATATTTTAAAGAGTTGATAACTGACCTATGTAGATAAAACTCACAACAGATACCAATTCAGAAAAAAAAAAGTCTTTATATAATCAAGCTATCTTCATGTCACTACAGATAGCATGTGGAAGATACTTTTCTGATCAGGTTGCCATAAATATTTACTCCCTCTCTGACAAAAAGGTTTTGTGTGTTGAATATACCATATAGTATAGTAAAATAATGACCAAAAAGATCAGTGACCTTATCAAGACCAGCTTTAGTGGAGAAAATGGAGCTGTGCTTGAGAGGCCAGTGGCCCTTATGGTATTTTGAACTATCAATAATTACTTAACACTGCCTTTCCTCAAAAACAAACAAAAAAAATTGCCTTACCTCCAAAATCAAATACATATGTGAATTAAAAGTCAGAAATTTTGAGGATAAAAGGAGTAAGCGTATATACATTCTCATATAATAGCTTTCATTTAATTGAGCATTTACTGTGTGTCAGGCACATTCCATATACTTTATATGCATTAAAATGTTTAATCTTTACAACAATCCTATGGGATAGATATTCTTATCCTTATTTTATAGATATAGAAACAGAGACATGGTAATTTGCCCAAGATCACAAAGGTAGTATATATATTGTTTAATTGCCAAGCAAAGTTATATGTTATCTTTGTTTTATTTCTTTGCTGACCAGAGCCATGTATGTATTATAATCTATTTTTCTTATTCAGCGTGGTCAGGAAATGGGATTCTAGTTCATTAAATATACTTATTAACATAGGGTTATACTGTATGGGAATTTTTAAAGGTTAGAATATAATATGATGCATTTAATACCTAAACAACTAGAAAGGTCTTTATCATTCTTGATGATTTTGAAGACATTGTAATAATGTACCTTGAATTAGTCATTACTGAGGGTATTGTAGGAATAGAGAAGGAAAGTACCAGTAATAGAGCTCTTTAGTTGATATTGTGCCAGATAGACATTTTTCAATTCTGTAATTCAATTCCTAAAGAAATGTGAATGTCCAACAGAGTCGTTATAAAGGAATTTTACCTGAATCCTTCTCCCTTTCTTTGACTTATATCTCAATAGCAGAACTTATTCAGATTCCTGAAGATATTTTACAATTATTAATACTGCTGAGAACTTGGGTGTTGAAGAGAGTATAAGGCATTAAAAGATCCATATAGTGGTTTCCCCAATTATACACTACAAGGCAATTTTACCTTATGTATTTATTTTGAATACACACATTATAATACATCATTTCAGTGTACCCTGGAAACAGTACTTACTTTGTACCTTTCACTACTACTATGTATTATTTTGGCATGAAAATGTACTATCCTAGTGTTGTAGCACTTCACCTATAATGTTTTCCCAGGAACCTATTGATTTGCCCCAAATTATATATGTTACCATATGTTTATATTTAATAATCTTTTTCAACTAATAATGACTAATAATAATCTGCATAAGTGCTTCCACAGGGCAAGCATTTACTGAATATGTGTCTGTAGTAATTTATCTTTAAAATGTCTCCATTTAAGTATTTTTGTTCAAATAAAAAAAATTTATCTCTACTTTTTGATTTACCACAGTGATTCCATCCCACTCCTTTTTTTTTTTTTTTATTAAAGAGATTGTCTAGACAGATTTTTTTTTTTTTATCAGATACCACAATTGAGCACGTAAGAATTCTCAGGAGGGAGGAATATCTTAAAGATTTCAACCTGGAATTCTCTGAGAAAAGGAAAAAGAAAAATCATATGATTAATCTTGTTTTCATTTGTTTTTAAGCCAGACTTTTTAGCTTCAAATTAATACTGATTAGATAACAAAATCATATTTTATTATTATAATAATAGTTGTACCTTTTGCTATTCCATTTCAGGACTCAGACGTCTACTAAGTAAACAGGAAACTGGGACTGAATTCAGTCAAGAACTTAGACAGCTTGTTGGCCTTTTAAGCCCAATGGTCTATCAGGAAGTAGAAGAGCAGGTATTAAGTTACAAAAAAAAAAAATTGCATGATATTTGCTGACTATATTAAACCTTAGTTTTCCTTAAATGTTCCTCACTTTCTTTCTCTTAAGATTTCAAGCAAAATACCCCCAAAACAGAAATATCTTTAAATTTTTTACTCAGGAGGTTGAGGCAGGAGGATTGCTTGAGTCCAGGAATTGGAGACTGCCCTATGATCACACCCATGAGTAGCCACTGCACCCCAGCCTGGTCAAAATAGCAAAACCCCATCTTTAAAATATAATGTTACAAAATTGTATCTCTCCGCCATTCAATCTGCTGGAAAACATAATTTCAATCTCCCATTTACATCTGTTTATAAATACTGCCACATCAGTTTCATTCATCATTTCTCATGAAAGCCCCATCTCTGATGTTTATCTTCTTTTATCTATAAGCTATTTAAACTTTTAAAACTGTTTTTCCAAAAAAAATCTCTAATTGTAGCAAACTGTATTTATGGTTACCTATGGCTACCCTTCTTGTTCTTTGAGATACAACAATAATGCCTTTTCCTTTGTGTAAGAAATGGTATTAATAAAATTATTTAGAAATTTGAGGCAGCAAGTTATTGATTATTTCATCATACTTCCTCTAGCATACTCAAAATGATGGCTCTAAATAGCCCATTCAACAGGAAGAGGCATATTGCTTTCTGATTTCCAGATAAAGACTTAAATATGGAAAACATCTAAAATGACTAAAGATATTTTTTAATTTAAAAGGAAAAGGGGACATTGTATATCCAAAATCCAAAACCAAAAAGACAATAAATTTAAAAATACAAGCAGAAACCATGAAAATAAGTCCAGTAAGGCAGGAGAATGGGTTGGGGGAGGCTGGAAGGAAGAGTGCAGAAGAAGGGAATTCCTTTTTTCTGTATATATGAACCATCGTGAGTTTAGATTAATCTCAAAACTATGCATATGCTCAAATTCATATTGATTAGGTAACAAAATCATAAAACTATATTTTATTATTAATAGTTGTACCCTTTGCCATTCCATTTGAGGACTCAGAAGTCTATTAAGTAAACAGGAGACTGGGACAGAATTCAGTCAAGAACTCAGACAGCTCACTGACCTTTTAAGCCCAATGGTCTATCAGGAGAATAGCATATCAAAAGCTTACAGAACTAAACAGAGATTCGAGCAACCATCCACAATGGTCAACAGAGCTTATAGTTTGAACCTAACTAGGTTGATTGCCTATTAAGTAAAAACATTAACATGTTAGCTCAAAAAAGATTATGAAAGGTCAGGCGGACTATGAAATCTTTGAAAAGGAAATGGAAGTGAGATTATTCTGGGAGAATTTGGAGCTAACTAGACTATATCTTGAGTATGTTCTAGAAATTGCCTTACCAAGCCTAACATACCTCCTTTGGGAGGTAAGGTTTAATATTCTTACCCATCTTGTTAGAGCTAGAGATTAATATTTGCCCTAACCTGATACTTTAAGAGGTAAACTTTTTTTTTTTTTTAAAGACCTTCCTAGAGATATCTCTAAATTATTTTCGGCATTTCAGAAACTACATCAAGCAGCATGCTTGATTCAAGCCTATTGGAAGGGTTTTCAGACAAGAAAGAGATTAAAGAAGCTTCCATCTGCTGTGATTGCTTTGCAGAGGAGTTTCAGGTAAAAAAATTTGGTGAGGGGATTGATGATCATAGAATCTTACTAGAGTACAGTTGAATTGAAATTTAGGTGATTTTTTTTTAATTTCCTAGTATGTTTCTTGTTATCTTTTCATTTTTTTTCCATACGTTTCTGGGTACCAACACTCCAGTAACCAGATGCACTTTCAAAGCAAAGGATGTAAGACAGGAATCTGATGTGTCAAATATGCAATCCTATCCACTTAATAAGATATTTGGGGAGGGGCCAAGCCTACAAAGGGAGCCAATGATAGTTATATTATTAAACCCTCTAAACCAACAGTTATCATAATTTCGTGTGTATAATTATAACAATAACATGTATGCGTATAAGAGTTTAAGTCTGTTAACCTGATTTTCCTGAATAAATATGGCATGGATGGATATCTTCATTGAATTATGATATAGTTCGGCATTTATTTCAAGTAGACTGAAAAGGAAATACTGAAGACATAGCCCACTTTCTGCAATGACTTAACCAATCCAGATCCTCCAAGGTCACAGAACAAGAAAAAATAACTTAGCTTCTAGGTAATTTATGGTAAAGAAGATCTGTTTCAGAGGTGACTTTTTCATGCAGCCTAACTTAAAGCCAAGCTTTAGTTTGCTAAAATGAAACTGGCATTTTACAGAAGTTAATTCTTTAAAGAAAACTGAAACTATTCTTTTAATAACTGCAGATGCATTTCTCAGTTATAAAAACATTTAAAAATAGCTCTGGGGTTCAAAATACTATGTAGTCACAGAGTTGAAGACATTGAAATCACTCTAGCTAACTGTGTCTCTTAGTGGGTATCCTATTAATTGATGAACGTTTTCTTCAGGGAAGAATTAAAGATGGATTTTAAATATTATTGGGCATGAATATTGTTGGTAGCAAAGAAAAGAATTAATTTTTAAATATATATCAAATGCCTAGTATATGATATATGTACTAGGCATTTAACAGATTCGAGTTTGTATCTCACTTGAGCAGCTTACTGGTTGAGTGAACTTGGACAATCCCCCACCTCTCTCAGCCTCAAACTTCCAATCTATAAAATGAGAATAATAGTTTATACACTTGTATGATCAAGATAATGTAAAATTTGAGATAATACAAAGTTTTTAGCATATTATCTGGCACTTAAAAAATGATAGAAGGAAAAATGCATATGGCACATTTTCTGTCCTTGAAAATTTACAAATCTAGGTAAACAAATAGATGCATTAAATAGGTAGTACTAATGAGAAGCAAGTATTATCCATCTATTATTACTCAAAGTTTATTGCCTATCTTACAAGCTGTTTTTTTTTTAAAAGCATTTCTGTGGTTAGATAAATTTGGGAAATATTGAGTACTTTTTGAGTCACAGTGTATATTTTTCTACCCAAAGCATCTGAGGTGCTCTTGGTATTGCCTCTGTGGTGAATTCAGATAGAGTAGGTATTACTTATGGATTCCACCTGCTATCATCCTTAGTTACCTGTCATCTTAAATTTAAGGGTACCCTTATACATGGATTCAGAGCATTAATGTTTAGTCCCACAAGAGTTCCCAAATTTGCTCATATACTCTCTCTTTCAATATTAAAATCTCTATTTAAAAGTAGCCCAGGATTACAGATTTTTTTCTACTTAGAAGTGTATCTATGGAATCTAATATTCCATTATTTTAAAATAGAAATTCCATTGCTTTCTTTATGTAACCAGAAGAGTTATAAATACTTCCATTAAAAAGATAAGCTGTGAAGCAAAAATTATTTAAGTCTCACATTTTGTGTTTGTTGCCTTTCCAGTATTTTTGCATTTGAGGTTCCAGAATATACTGAAATGCGGTTCTAACCTGTTGGATTCTATTTAATTTTTTAATTTTCAGTTTTCTCCAGTTCAGCACCTTCGCTCTTCTATTAGTTGTAACAGTTCATGCAAATGTCTCTTGCTTCCTTTGTAGCTTGGTTTTTTTTCAAAGGTTATTTCTGTCTTTTTGTGCTCAGGACTTATCTCAGTAATTTCCCCTTCCCATGGTTTTGGGAGAGAGACTGCCCACTGGTCACACTTATGGGTCCAGGTTGATTAGTGTTCTTTAGATTCAGCAAGAGGCATTCTTTTATAGTCACGCCCTTGCTAATGCACTTTCATAGTGGTTTCTTTTTTATTTAGTCATTTCTCGTATTCAGAAACTTTGTCTCTTAAGTACTCTTATTCAGCAAGGTTTTCTGAAGCGGCTAACAGCTGCTCTAGTTATCTTAGAGAAACCTCACAATTTACCTACCTCTATCATAGTGCTGATTTTTAAGTGTTTTAATTACATTTGTTGATTTCATCTTGAAACTGAGCTTCTTAAATGCAGATAGCATCTTTTTTCTCTCTCTCCCTCTGAGGCACAGTGTCTTGGCAGCAGAAAATTTGGTCAACTCCCACTTTAATGGTAAAAATTCAGATTGATTAAATGTAAATCATGGAATTTACTTATTTCAGAATATGACATCTGATCAGTCATTTCATCTTCAGAAGTGTAGTACAGATGCCAGGTGGTCCAGTGCCTACTAATTCTTACAAAGAAACCAGTTGGAAGAATAATTGTTTGATTTTTGAGTGATTAGAGAAACTCTGAACAAAATAACTCGATGTTATTTAATAATAAATGGGGGAATTACATTCAAAATCACTTCAGTTCCTAATAAATGTTTTCAGATATGAAAGTAAAACATATGAATCCAATAAGCACACCTGTTTACAATTTAGTCCCTATTTAAATCACCAAATCTCACTTTTTTTTTTTTTTTTTTTTTTGAGACGGAGTCTTGCTCTGTGGCCCAGGCGGGAGTGCAGTGGCGCAATCTCGGCTCACTGCAAGCTCCGCCTCCCGGGTTCACACCATTCTCCTGCCTCAGCCTCCCGAGTAGCTGGGACTACAGGCGCCCGCCATCACGCCCGGCTAATTTTTTTGTTATTTTTTAGTAGAGACGGGGTTTCACCGTGTTAGCCAGGATGGTCTCGATCTCCTGACCTCGTGATCCACCCGCCTCGGCCTCCCAAAGTGCTGGGATTACAAGCGTGAGCCACCGCGCCCGGCCCAAATCTCACTTTTGTCCTGTCTTTCTGGTTTGTACTTTACTTCCACCTTCATGCTCCATAGTCTTTTCATTTTTGCCATATTTGATAGCCTACATGCCTAAATTGTTTCCCAAACCCAGTTTTCTGACAGATTAAATATTCTAGCAGATGCAATTTTAATGATTACTATGTTTTTCATACTAATAGTGTAAAATGGTATTTAAAATATTGATAATGCAGTATTAGACATTATAATCTATAGCCAATTAGAAGTTAGAAACAGAGGTAGTTTTTTGTCGTTGTTGTTGTTTTGAGGCGGAGTCTCACTCTGTCACTCAGGCTAGAGTGCAGTGGCACGATCTTGGCTCACTGCAACCTCCACCTCCCAGGTTCAAGCTCCTGCCTCAGCCTCCCAAGTAGCTGGGACTACAAGTGCACACCATCACACCCAGCTAATTTTTGTATTTTTAGTAGAAATGGGGTTTCGCTATGTTGGCCAGGCTGGTCTCAAACTCCTGACCTCAGGTGATCCACCCACCTTGGCCTCCCAAAGTGCTGGGATTACAGGCGTGAACCACCGCGCCCGGCCACAGAGGTAGTTTTTTAAAAATCAGTTTAAAAGGAGGCTCTGTTTAGGGCCTGCTCTCTTTTACCCTCTATGAATGGGTAAGAGATAAAACATTATTATCTGCATGCTGTATAACCCAGAAGTTTTGAGGTGATGGAGTTCTGTAGAACAGGCAAGTTGCTATCAGCTATTCTTTGGGAAGGGAGAGGCCCTTACCTACTTCATTTCCAGCTTTCACAAAGAGCAAGAGACACTTAGAACTATTCAACTAGCCCTAGATCTTCTCTGGAATCTTTTGACACACATACACTTTTGAGGTCTTCTCTACCCTTGATAATAGGGATAAGAAAGAAGTTTCAAAACAAATAAATTCTCTACTCTGCCCTAAGTAGAAAGCTAGAGAAAATTTAAGTTGTAATTGATGGAAGAATTTATGAGAAACAACCACAGGCACACAAAATTTTATCAAAATCAAAATAAACTATTTTGAGTTGAAAATTCAGTTGAAAAATCATAATAATCCTAACTATACTATAATGAAGTCTGACTATTAAGAGTACAAAGCTATAGCCAAGGTACCACATTTGTTTACAGTTTAATTCTAAGAATACAGTTTAAAAAAAAGATCTAAGAGAAAATGTTCTTGAGGGAGACACATGTCAAATTAAGTCTATAGCGGTAAACTAAGTAGTTTATTCTGCCTTTCTTCTTATCCTCGTTTTCTTTTTCTGTGGGTGTCTGAAAGCATTTTGAGTATATTTACTGTAAACTGACACTTGTAGTCTCCTTACATAGTGATATTGGAAGCAACAAAAACTAGATGGGAATGGCTAAGGAGAAATTTTGGTGAATAAAAGCAGATAATACAGAAATTATAATTATATAAAATGTTTGTGGTCACATGAAAATTTTCATAACCAGTTATGAAAGTAATGTTCAGTTGTCAATAATTGAGAAATAGGCATAAGAAGAAAATAAAGATCAACTGTAATTACATCATGCAGTAAAAATCACTTGAAATTTTAATGTTTTTTATTTTTTTTTTGTGTAAGTAAATGTAAGTTTTTTGACACAATTTTGATGTCATTCTTCTATATCCTGATTTTCCTTTTACCTGACATTAGATCATCAGTATATTCTCATGTCACTAAATATTCTTCGAACATTTTATGTTTTCATAGTTCATAGAATCCCATCCCATCAGGTGAATGAACCAGTATCTGTTTATCCAACTCGCTGTTGTGAGACAAAGTTTGTTTTCAACTTGTTACTGTTGTAATACTGTGGAGAACATTTTTGAACATAAATTTTTACATATATATCTGATTATTTCCTTAAGAAAATTATTTGTAATAGAATTAATTGGTCATCACTTTTAAGGCTTTTTATTTATATATTTCAAATATTTTTCCAGACTTTTAATGCATATATTCAAATATTTCTACAGAAAGATTGCACAACAGCAGCAGATGACAAGCTATTTTATCATACCTTATTAACACTAGAAATTATCTTAAAATTTTTTCTGTTTACATTTATTTGATTACTAGTGAGGTTATGCATTTTTTCATATGATTTATGAAAATTATGTATAACACACTGTTTCCATCACAGATCCAAACGATCAAAGATGTTGCTGGAGATAAATAGGCAGAAGGAAGAAGAGGACCTCAAATTACAATTGCAACTTCAAAGACAGAGAGCCATGAGACTTTCCCGAGAATTGCAGCTGAGTATGCTCGAAATAGTTCATCCAGGTGAGTGGCAGTATCAACTTTATCAATATAAGAATATTTAGGTTATCTTTTAACAAACCAACTTTTCTAGCTACGTGATGATTTTTTTTTAAATTTGGACTTTTGTCCTTTTTCTCTGTTTTTCAGATAAACTTTATTAGATCTTCTGAGTTCAAAAACGGTTACTGTTTTTTCAATTCAGACCTATTAGTTGACGATGAACAATCTCCCCACCAGTTTTTTTTCTTATCCTTCAGATAATTTAGTGAAACATAAAAATGTATGCATAAAGATAGCTGTTAGAGACACAAAGATACTTCTTGAACTGAAACAAGGAGTTGGAATATTATTACATTCTGCCATCAGAGTTTAACTCATTCCTTAGTACAAATGTTGTGACATCTTCTTGCCGCCTTTGACAGACTAAGCTGAAATTAATAAGAAGATGTGGTCTGAGAGGTCTTAGTGGTTTCAATATTATCTTCAAATTATTTTACCTGTCTTCTTGTTATTCAATCCAGGGTCCTTCACTAGCCCTTTATTTCACTTCATCTCCATTAAATATAGATGTTTTCTAGGGTTCCATCCTCACCTTATTCCTGTCATTTTTCTCTTCCTGGGGTATCCATCCATAACTGCAGCTCAACTCTCAGCTGAGTGCTGAGCAGTCTCAAATCTGGTCTCCATCTTCACCTACTCTCCTAAGCTCTTAGAGCAAAATTGCCCAAGATAAATTTTTACAAAAATGAAAGGTTGTATATCTGTACCATCCAGTAGGGTAGCCAGTGGCTAGAGATGGCTATTGAGTATTTGAAATATGGCTAGTGCACTGAAGGACCTGAATTTTAATTTTACTTTATTTTAACCCAAGTAGCCACTTGTGGATAGTTTCTACTCTATTGAATAACACACCTCTGTAGCCAACTGCCTATTGGATCCAGCTTTACCTGGATATCCACAGGCATCCCAAACACCAAAGTCATTATCTTACCCCTCAGATTTCCTTTTCCTTTATTCCCCATCTCAGGTAATGGCACCAACAACTTACTCAGTTTCCCATTTGAGACATCCTAGAGTCCTTTCCCTCTTTTACCTCCGTATCCAGTTGATCATTAAATTATATCAGTTTCTTATACTTCCCCAAATACGCCCCCCTTTTTATTAACAATTCTACTGCCTTATTCTGTCACATATATACTGTGAACCCTGGGCTGTATGCTGAGCAACTCCAAGAAAGCAAAAAGAAAGTCATCTGTATAACTGACTGAGTGACTTAAGAGAAATTTGGAAGCATGTAGAGTAGAGAACACATACACACATTTTGCCCTTTCCCTCTGGTGGTACTGAATGACTTCTTAATCATGTACTTAGGAATTTTTTTTTTTTTTTTTAGTGTTCTTTGTATTGGATTTTCAGCCATTTTCTTATTACTCTACCACAAAAATATTATATGAGTTCTTTCTGTGAAGAAGCTGCATAATCTGGGAAAGCTTTGTTTCTAAAATCTTAGAACCATGGTAAAATAGTAGAATTGGGAAAATTAGTGAACAATATTGACAAAAATAAAAAGAATGCAAGATTATTATTATCATTGTCCTGATTCCAGAACTTAAGAAAGCATGGCAGTGAGTATGTTGTAATAGTGTCTATCATCTTTTTAGGTCAGGTGGAGAAACACTATCGGGAAATGGAAGAGAAATCAGCACTGATTATCCAGAAACATTGGAGAGGGTACAGGGAAAGGAAAAATTTTCACCAACAGAGGCAGTCTCTCATAGAGTATAAAGCAGCTGTCACACTTCAAAGAGCAGTGAGTCTAATGTAGTGAAAAGAGCTCTGAATCAAGAGGCAAAAACATGAGTTCAAAACTGACTTTGCTAATTACCTGTTGTAAAGCCTTGGTCAAGACACTTAGTTTTCTTGAGCCTTAGTTTTTTCTTTTGTAAAAGAAAAACCCCTTACCTCTGGCCGAGCTGATTTAGACACTCAGTCCTTAGTACTGCCTTAGAACCTTGTACATCATTTACTATACTGCAATGTTGTTTTGTTAATTATTTCCCTTCTTACTTGGGCTGTGAGTTCTTCAAGAATAAGGAGCTAAGTCTTATTGTTGTCAGCTCATCACATGTGCTTGATGTATGAATAGATGTTTACCCTTACCCTTTTCACTCAGTTGTTATGTGGATCAGATACCCTAATTTATGGGAATGTATTTTGTAAATTACAAAGTTCTGTGCAAGTGCAGCATGTGATATTTGATTTTTTTAATGCACAGATGAGATATTAGGTATATTTAGATCATTATAACATTTTAATTGTAGAATTGTATTTTTTTTTTTTTTTTGAGACGGATTCTTGCTCTGTTGCAAGGCTGAAGTGCAATGGCACGATCTTGGCTCACTACAACCTCCGCCTCCCAGGTTCAAGCAATTCTCCTGCCTCAGCCTCCCGAGTAGCTGGGACTACAGGCATGCACCACCACACCCATCTAATGTTTGTATTTTTAATAGAGACGGGGTTTCACCATATTGGCCAGGATGGTCTCGATCTCTAGACCTCGTGATCTGCCCACCTCGGCCTCCGAAAGTGCTGGGATTACAGGCGTGAGCCACCGCTCCCGGCCTCTTATTCTTAAATAGCAATCTTTCTGTGATCTCTCTAGAGCATAGTACTATTTTGTTGCCTTGGAAAAGCATAGTACGAGGTGGTTTTTTAAATTTAATGACCAGTTTTCCTAACATCCCGTTGTTCTCTTATACATGGTTAACTTTCATATTAGGATTTCAGGTCCTATAGCATTTAGCTTAACAATCCTTACTGAATTTTTAGGTCAATTTCAGTTTTCTACTGTGACAGATTTTGAACAGTCTCTGTGATTAACTTTTTACAAAGTTTTTTTTTTTTAATCATCCAAAAAACATTGTAGAATAAATACTAGAGAAACAGGAAGAGATGCCTGTCTCCTACTCCTTCTTCAGGCTCTTCTGGGGATCTCAGATTGTGTCTGCAACAAACAATCCTGCACCATCACTGTATCACACGTACTCCTGATTTTTACTTTCTGCTAAACAAAGCCATCTAAGGGGTTAACCAGTTGATATTAGGGTTGGAGACACTTCCTTTGGAGGAAGCTTTGGCTTCTTTCTAATACTTTTACCTCATAAATACCTCCTTTTTAAAGTCTTCCCTGTCATAGAAATAGCTGGGTCCTTATTAGGTTGACTTACTACCTTGCCTGATTTAGATGACCCCAATACTTTGTAAAAGTATCCTGTACTGTAAAGTGAAATATCCTGGTTTGCCTACCATTTCTTAGAGAAAAAAGTAGGGGTCATCATAGGAACATATCTGAAGGCTACGAAGGCAAAGTTGTTTTGGCTTTTATACTTTCCATTGGCACGAAAGGAAGATTAGTCACATTTGCCTCATATCTCCTCTAGCTAAGAAAAGGAATGAGTCTCTGTTTAAGAGCAAAAAGGGATGGGTCAAGGTCATGTTTATAGTCTTTGCATCTCATTAATAAAAATAAGATGAAGTCAAAGCAAAGTTAGCCAAAATGGAAAAGGAAATAAGAGGATTACTTTTTTTTTTTTTTAAGAGACATGGTCTCACTCTGTCACCCAGGCTGGAGTACAGTGGTGTGTTCATAGTTCATCACAGCCTTGAACTCCTGGGCTAAAGTGATCCTCCTGCCTCAGCCTCCCTAAGTGCTGAGATTATAGGCATGAACCACCATGCCTGGCCAAGAATTACTTTCAAAGAAGGAAAAGAGAAAGAAAAATGGGAAAGTACACTGAGAAAATAAATAGAAAAATAGAGAAAATTAAAACAAGGCAATAGTCAATAAAGGGTACATTTTGCCATATTTTTAAAGCATCCTTTTCTTTTCTTTTCTTTTCTTTTCTTTTCTTTTCTTTTCTTTTGAGACAGAATCTCTCTCTGTCTCCCAGGCTGGAGTGCAGTGGTGCAATCATACCCCACTGGAGCCTTTATCTGCGAGGCTCAAGAGATCCTCCCACCTCAGCCTCCACAGTAGCTGGGACTACAGGCTTGCACCACCAGGCCCAGCTAATTTTTTTTTTTTTTCAGTAGAGACTAAGTCTCACTGTGTTCTCCAGGGTGGTCTCCAACTCCTGAGCTCAAGTGATCCTCCCACCTCACCCTCCCAAAGTGCTGGAATTACAGATGTGAGCCACTGCGCCTAGCCTAAAAGTATCCTTTTCTAAGACACACTAGAGATCTGCACTGTTCAATAAAATAATCGTTAAGCATACGTAGCTGGCTATGGAGAACTTGACATGTAGCTAGTCCAAATTGAAATGTGTTGTAAGTGTAAAATACCCACCAGATTTTGAAAATGTAGCATGAAAAAGAAGTGTAAAGTATCTCAGTAATACTTTTTTATATTGATTACATGATGAAATACTAATATTTTGTGTATATTGTTGTATGTTTTATATAACTGAGTAAATATTGTTTCGCCCATTTTTTATTTTCTTAATGTGACTACTAGAAAATTTAAAATTACATATATGACTCACCTTACATTTCTGTTGGCACTGCAACTGATCTTGCTAAGAAAAAAATGGGAAATAATTCATTAGCCTCATTGAAAGTAATATACCAGCCTGGGCAATGTCGCAAAACCTCATCTCTACTAAAAATACAAAAATTAGCCAGGCGTGGTAGCATGTACTGGTAGTCCCAGCTACTCTGAAAACTGAAGTGGGGGAAAATCACCTGAGCCTGGGAAGTTGAGGCTGCAGTGAGCTGTGATCACACCACTGCACTCTAGCCTGGGTAATAGGAATAAGACCCTGCCTCAAAAAAAAAAAAAAGTAATATAAAGGAGTAGGAATATCCTTTCAATGAGTGTGTCCCTCAGGAAGAACTGGTTATTAGTGTCCTTGGCAGGAAAAGAAAGGCCAGAACAGTTATCCACCTTCTGTTTCTCTCTTACTTGATGCAAAAACAGAGGCATTGTTTCTCCAGGAGCTAAAAATTGGGGAAATTTGCTAAAAGAGAAAAATCAAGGAAAGGGGAGAATAGAAAGAAAGAAGAGAGTCTCAACAGAAGGATGCAAGCACAGTTGAAAACTCAAGTACCATACTGAAAACAAGGCCGGGCACGGTGACTCATGCTTGTAAATCCCAGCACTTTGGGAGGCTGAGGCGGGAGGATCACTTGAGCTCAGGAGTTTGAGACCAGCTTAGGACACATAATAAGACTCTTTCTCTATAAAAAATTAGCTGGGCTTGGTGGCACATACCTGTAGTCCCGGCTACTCGGGAGGCTGAAGTGGGAAGATCACTTGAGCCCAGGAGGTTGAGGCTGCAGTGAGCCATAATCAAGCCACTGCACTCCAGCCAGGGTGACAGAGTGAGACCCTGTCTTAGAAAAAATACCAAAAAGTAAGAGTACTAGGGAAATTTTCTAAACCGCTTCTTAGTGCCCACTCTTAAATATCAGCTGAAAGATAAGTATCACTGAATATCTAAGGAAAGCCAAAGACAAAACAAATGGAATAAAACTATTTGATAGAATACAAACATTGCAGGTATAAGGAAAAAATTTTTTTAATCTGTTATTAATATCCTCAGAGAGATAAGGAAAGGTAATATATGAAACAAAACCAAGATACCGTATAAAATGGAGCACACAGAATAAAATTTGACAGGGAAAACTGAAAGACTAATAAAAGGACTGTGGGGGAAAAGTTAAAGAAATCTCACAGAAAGCAAGGAAAAAAGATTTTGCCAGTGGCACACACCTGTAATCCCAGCTACTCAGAAGGCTAAGGCAGCAGGATGGCATTAGCTCAGGAGTTCTAGGCCAGCCTGGTCAACATATGAAATATCATTAGAAAAAGAAAAAAAGGTAGAATCTTTAATTAAAAAAAAAAAAGATGGATAGAAAAGACTACCAGTCTAGGAGGTCAAACAGCCAAACATTTGAAATCAAGAACAAGAAAAAACAGAAGATGGAAAATCAAATAACTTAAGATTTCCAAGAAGTGAATGTCATGAATTTTAGATTAAGGGGACCAATTAAGTGTCCAATACAGTGACAGAAACACTTCTACATTTGTTTCATAATACTGTAAGATATACTAGGAACAAAAGGACTTCTTGACAGGAACATTGGAAGCTAAAAAGTATTGAAGTAAGATTGTCACATATTTGAAGGAAAATGATTTCCAACTAGAATTCTATACCCAACCAAATTATTAATTAAAGATAAGGACAGACCAAAGACATTTTTAGATAAGAGGGAATAACCTGAGAAGGAAGGCAACATGGAATCCAAGAAACACAAGGGAAAGATGAAAAGTAGTCACCGAGATGATGGTGAATGGAGACCACAGGATGACAGCTATGCCCAAGGTATAGAGAGCAGTCAATCCAAATTACAGCAGGTCAGGAAGCTCGAGAAAATGTGTCCAAGAAAATGAATTTGATAGAATGGCTGCTGTATTTTAATGTGTAGAAAATTAGGGCAGAGTTTGTAAAATATAATCGGTAGTATGGAAAACAAAGCATGGGAGAAAAGAGAATTAATAATTCCAGAGAAAATAAAAATGTGCAAGGAAGGAAAAGTAATTATAGTGTACTATATTGTTCAAAAGTGAATAGCCTTTATGTGGTCATAATTTTGTAAACATTGAACATTAATTTAACTAAAATTATGATGTAATAATATAGGATGGATGGGGAGTAGAAACAGTGAAAGATAGCTAAATTCATACCTTTCATACAAGAAAATCAATAGATGATACCTATATCTGAAAAAAAAATCACAGAAAAATAGATGGAGCTAAATATCAAAAGAATAACCTGAATTAAATTGTTGCCCTTGAATCAGGGGACAGGGTAAGTGGGTAACTCTAGTAAGAATTCTAGTAATTCTTATGAAACTGACAAATTAAACAATCGCATTCTAGTAATTCTTACAAAACTGACACATTAAACAATAGAGTTACATCAGCAAACTTTTCAGGGAAGGGCTATATAATAAAATATTTTAGGCTTTGCAGGTCATGTAGTGTGTCACATGTATTCAGTTATAGCACAAAAGCAGCCGATGAGCATGGCTGTCTTCCAATAAAATGTTATTTGTAGAGGTGGGACGCGATGGCTCACGTCTGTAATCCCAGCTCTTTGGGAGGCCGAGGCGGGCAGATCACAAGGTCAAGAGATCACAGCCTGGCTAACATGGTGAAATCCCATCTCTACTAAAAAATACAAAAATTAGCTGGGCGTGGTGGTGCATGCCTGTAATCCCAGCTACTCAGGGGGCTGAGGCAGGGGAATTGCTTGAACCTGGCGGGGTGGAGGTTGCAGTGAGCTGGGATTGTGCCACTGCACTCCAGCCTGGTGACAGAGCGAGACTCCATCTCAAAAAAAAAAAAATGTTATTTGTAAACATTAGATTTTGAATCTCATATAATTTTACATGCCACTAAATATTCTTTTATAATTTTACGTGCCACTAAATATTCTTTTCCCTTTAAATTAACAATGTAAAATGAAAAACAAAACAAAACAAAAAAAACAAAAACAAAATCACACACACATTTTTAGCTCTCAAGCCCTATGAAAACAGGCAGCAGGCTGGATTTGGCCTGTGGGCCATGATTTGCTGACCCCTGCTTTAAACAATGTGAACATGTAACTTTGATGAAAATAAAAACTACGAAGACATGAGCAGAGTGAAAACAATTGGAAAGAATAATTGCAAATTTGTCCCATATAATGCCTATTACAAAATTTCTTTTTACCAGAGTCCATTCTGAAGGACATGAGAAGGAATTCAGACAGAAATATACTGTCTCCTTGGTGTTTACAATCATCTAGGCTGTGTAGAATTAAGAACCCTTTTTTCTATAGACATAGAACCTGTCCTCTAGAGATCAAGTGCCTTGCCCAGAATCATAGTTTATAAGGGACTAGAATTGAGACTAGAATCTATTGCTTTTTTTTCCTCTTCATTGCTTACTGCACAAATAATACGTGACTATATCCTTGTAAAAAGCACTACAGAAGACTGTATATTTTAAAAGTCACTGTTCTCCTGCATTTTGTCACAGTCCCATTCCCCTCCTTATACACACTCAGAGTTAATCATTATTGCAATGTGATCACTACCATATGTTGTAGTGAGAAAATAGTTCTATTAGTTAGGGGAGAAAAATCACAAACCTTCAATTTTTTTTCTTCCAGGCGCTTAAATTCCTAGCGAAGTGCCGTAAGAAAAAGAAACTATTTGCTCCTTGGCGAGGACTCCAAGAACTCACTGATGCACGCCGAGTTGAACTGAAGAAACGAGTGGATGACTATGTCAGAAGACATTTGGTATGAAGCTTCTGTACCATATCAGTATTACATTATTCCAATGCATGATATTGATAACTGTACACACACACACATATATTGTGTGTGTGTGTGTGTGTGTGTGTGTGTGTACATTTATTGCTGGTATAAGGTAATGCATTGGCTTTACCATAGAAGTAATGGTATATCTTTTTCTAGTTACATAGCCATAGAGGTATAGTCAGTAGTGAAGGAGACTCTGCTTTAAATCAGTTTTTTCCCATACTATGTCAATAAGACTTGTTCATTGCTTCTTTTGCAATAGTACTGTAAAACTTGGACTATTTTGAACCTTCCAGAAAGAGTATATGTAACTGTCAATCAATGATTATTCATTCTTACATTTGTTGGACTACTAATGTACCTCCAGAAGCCAATAAGATATAGCATTTGACTATTTGCCTCTTATGATCTTACCACAATAATACTGCTAGCACCTTTATCCCAATAGAAATGTCCATATCTTTGACTTTCTATGACCACAGGATGGCAGGTCACCTGTTATTCTCTTCTCCCACCTGAATTCTTGACCATCTACTCCTATGTGTCTTCAAAGGTCATTTCCCTTTCTGCCTTGGGAATAACTCACCACTCCTGTCATTAATTTTAATCACCTGCACCTTTGCTGATTACCTCTACTTTCTTTTCTCTTACTGCTTCTCCCGTGCTTTCACACTTATGTAATTTTATGGAGAAAGTTAGCAGTTTATACATTTCAATCTATCAGAATTATTCCCTCATTTGAACCAAGCACTCATAGTGTATCTTGGTACTTTTCACGAGTTTTGTTGTGATTGTGGTGGTGGTGTTTGTGCCTGAGTTCATTCTCTCTCTCTCTCTCACACACACACACACACACATACACACACACAGATACACACACAGACTTCTAAAATTTGAAGGTTCTGGATAACTGATGTTAGAGGCTTGATGTGATATTTAGGGAGTCCTATCATTCACCCTTTCATTCCTCCAGAGCATCCAAAATGAAAGGACTTTTTGTAACAAACAAACAAAAACTACTGTACAAATGGAAATGAAGTACAAATATATTAGTAGCTGAGCATGTATCTGGTAACCACTGGAACACAGCAATGGTAAAACCTGAATTGGATAGCAAAGCTTAGTCTAGGAAGTGTAAATAAGCCCTCTTACTTTCTGCTTCTGCTAATCTGGATTTAGGGACCTAAAACCTAATGGAGTCTGTGGAGAAAGAGAGGAGGAAAAGACTACCCTTCTATATCAGGCCCTCTGTGATTACCATAAAGAGGTAGACAATGGAAAAAGTTCTGACATTAGTTTCTGGCCAAGATGGAGTAACAGGGACTAGATTTACTTCCTGCCTGAAACAACCAGAAAAAGAAACAAGCAGATAAAATGCATGAAATCGTTTTCAAGACCCTGGACATCAGACAACAAAGAACAATAATCTCTGAGAGGGAACGAAGCAAGCCCTATAATTACCCCAGCTTACTGTCTTGAAAGAGTTTCTAGGCCATAGCTCAAGGAAGAGAACAGAGAAGGGCTCTTTAGAATCCTTGAGTTAAGGAGATGGCACTGAGAGTCAGGTGACACCAAGGGAACTAGACTTCATAGAACAGAGTACCTGAGTAAAGAGAGCTGCAAAGAGAGAGAACCCCAGATATCTACAGAATCTACCCCTTGAGTATTCTCCAGAATACTAATCAGCATGTACATGTGAGGAAATTATCCAAAGCCAAATTATCGAGTCATCTGAAAAGGTAAGACGGAAGTGTGTCTGGAACTCACATAGGTCCAGGAATAGTATCTGTTCCCATCAAATATGCTGGAGAAACTCATAATTCACAGGGTATTGTGAAGAGTACTCAGGAAGACCTTCCCTTAATAGTAGATTATGATTAGCCTAGACGGCTCCATTCTGCCAAACAAATTATAAAATCAAGAGTCAAAAAAAGATTAAAATGTTTTCATGTAATTTAACAGCATCCCAAAAAAAGACTCAAAATTTTAAGAAATATCAAAATATCCAGCACCCAACAAGGTAAAAGTCACAATGTCTAGCAGCTAATCAAATATTAAAGGCATGCATGGAAGTAGGAAAACAGGACCCATAATGAGGAGGATATTCAGTCAAACCAACCCAGAAATTACATAGATGTTAAAATTGGCAGAGAAGGGCATTAAAACAGTCATTATAACTGTATTTTATATGTTCAAAAAGTCAAGTAGAAAGATGAAAAATGTAAAAAAAAATACCTGAATCAAACTCCTAGAGATAAAAACTTCAAAGTATGGTGTGAAAAATATACTTGATCAAAATAATAGCAGATTAGACTTTGCTGGATGGAAGATTAATATAGGTGAAGCCATACTAGTAGATACTGTACAAAATGAGTCACAGAGAGGGGAAAAAAGAGAAAAATATTTGAAAAGACCATTACTGAGCTGTGGGACTGTAAGTGGCCCAGTAAATGAAAACTTGGAATCCCTGAAGGAGATGTAGAGAAAAATAATGGCTGAAAACTTTCCAAACTAAAAATGATAAGCCCATACCCAAACCAGTTAAGGTACATGGAAAAAACTGTGCCAAGGAATATCATAATCAAAATTGTCAAACCAGTGATACAGTGAAAATCTTAAAAACAAAAAAAAATTTTTATATATATACTTTTTATTATACTTTAAGTTCTAGGGTACATGTGCACAAGGTGCATGTTTGTTACATATGTATACATGTGCCATGTTGGTGTGTAAAAAAATTTTTAAATGTTACGTAAAGACAAAGATTACATTGCTCAGTAGGAACAGTGCAAGCAAGAAGATACCTTTTTTTTTTTTTTTTTGAGACAGAGTTTCGCTGTTGTCACCCAGGCTGGAGTGCAGTGGCGCAATCTCTGCAACTGCCGCCTCCCGGGTTCAAGTGATTCTCCTGCCTCAGCCTCCCAGGTAGCTAGGATTACAGGCGCCTGCCATCATGCTCAGCTAATTTTTGTACTTTTGGTAGAGATGGGGTTTCACCATGTTTACCAGGCTGGTCTCGAACTCCTGACCCCAGGTGATCCACCCATCTCAGCCTCCCAAAGTGCTGGGATTATAGGCATGAGCCACCACCCCCGGCGAAAGATATCTTGCTTTAAAGTACTGAAAGGAAAAAAAGTTGTCAACCTAGAATTCTGTACCTGGCAAAAAAATATTGTTAAAAAAAAAAAGACTTTTTCAGACATACAAAAGCTGAAAGACTTGATCACCAGTACACTTGCACTACCAAAAATGTTAAATCCTTAAAGTTGTAAAGGATTTAACATTGCAGAAATGTTAAATTCTTTTTATTTGTGTAGATTGAGGGAGTAAAAATGCACATTTACATGCCTATATTGCAAGCTCCTGCCCAGCAAAATAAACAGTCAACAGTAAACAGCCTATAGAATGGGAAAAAATAGTTGCAAGCTATACATCTAACAAAGGGCTAATATCTAGAATCTACAAGGAACTCAACTCAAGAAGAAAAAGACAACCCCATTAAAAAGTGGGCAAAGCCAGATGCTGTGGCTCATGCCTGTAATCTTAGCACTTTGGAATGCCAAGGCCAGGAGGATTGCTTGAGCCCAGGAATTCGAGACCAGCTTAGGCAACATGGTGAGACCTGGTCTCTACAAAAAATTTAAAAATTAGCCAGGCATGTTGATGCCTGTCTGTGGTCCCAGCTACTTGGGAGACTGAGGTGGGGCGATCACTTGAGCTCAGGAGGTTGAGGCTGCAGTGAGGCATGTTCATGCTACTGCACTCCAGCCTGTGTGGCCGAGTGAGACCCTGTCTCAAAAAAAAAAAAAAAGTGGGCAAGAAACATGAACAGACGTATATACAAGTGGTCAACAAACAATGAAAAATGCTCAATATCACTAATCATCAGAGAAATGTAACTTAAAATCATAATAAATAATCATATTATACCAGTTAAAATGGCTATTACTACAAAGTCAAAAACAACAGATGTTAGCAAGGATGTGGAGAAAAGGGAACACTTACACACTGTTGGTGTGAATGTAAATCAGAAATGTTAAGTTCTTTAAGGTGTAAAAGACTTAACATTTCTGTTTAAAATGATGCCAGGAAAAGATACCAGAGAGAAATCTGGCTCTACATAAAGAAATTAAGAGCACTGGAAATGGTAATTACAGCCATGTGTCACATAATGAATTTTCAGTCAGTGTTGGACCATATATACAACAGTGGTCACATAATATTGTAATGGTATATTTTTACTGGACATTTTCTACATTTATATATGTTTACATATACAAAAACTTACCATTGCATTAAAATTGCTTACTGTATTCAATACAATAACATGCTGTACAGATTTGTAGCCTAAGAGCAATAGGGTATACCACATAGCCTACATATGTAGTAGTCTATACCATTTAAGTTTCTGTAGGTACACTCAATGACATGTGCACAGTGCCAGAATCACCTAACAGCACATGTATAGCAAACTAATTATTGACAGAGATATACAGTTAATGCAGAAAAACTGGAGCAATTGGCTATTCACATGTCAAACAATTGAACTTGAAGCCATACTTCACTTCATATGCAAAATGTAACTCAAAGTAGATCATAGGCCTAAATGCAAAACCTAAAACTATAAAACTTCTAAAAGGAAACAATGGAGAAATATTGTGACCTTTCTTGAATACAATACCAGAAGCATGATTCAAAAAGGAAAATTTGATATATTGGCTTTATTGAAATTTAAAACTTCTCTTCATAAGACACCATTAACAGAATTAAAGAAACAAGGCACAGATTGGGAGAATATCATTGCCAAGCATATATTTGATAAAGGTCCTATATCCATAATATAGAAAGAACTCTCAAAACTAAACAGTAAGAAAACATATGAACTAGTTGTTTTGTTTTTTAAATGGACAAAAGCTTTGAACAGATACTTCACCAAAAGATAGATGACAAATAAACACATGAAAAATGCATCATTAATCACTAAGGAAAATGCACATTAAAACCACAATAAGGGCCCAGCACAGTGGCTCATACCTGTAATCCTAACACTTTGGGAGGCCAAGGTGGGAGGATTGCTTCAGCCCAACAGTTTGAGACCAGCCTGGGTAACATATTGAGACCCTCTCTCTAATTTTTTTAATAAAAATTTAAAATTTTTCAAAAAATAACCGACAGTAAGATACTTCATACCTGTTGGAATTTTAAAAATGGAACATGCCAAAGGTTAGCAAGCATGTGGCAGAGTCACCACTTAGGGGAATGTAAAAGAGTACAACTACTTTGGAAGACAGTTCAACAGTTTCTTTAAAAATTAAACATACATCTATCATATGATTCAGCCATTCTACTCCTAGATATTTACCCCAGAGAAAAAGAAATATATGTCCATATAGACACTTGTACATGAATGCTCATGGCCAAAAACTAGAACCATGGAGTACCATTCAGCATGTATAAAGGAATAAATTGATACTCTCAACAACATGGATGAATCTCTGGCCGGGCATGGTGACTCACGCCCATAATTCCAGCACTTTGAGAGGCCAAGGCAGGTGGATCGCTTGAGCCCAGGAGTTCGAGGCTGCAGTGAGCAGTGATGGCACCACTGCACTCTATCCTGGGTGAGAGAGTGAGACCCTGTCTTCAAAAAAAATTTTTAAAGAAAAAGAAAAAAAAACGTGGATGAATCTCAAAATAATTATGCTAAATGAAAGAAGCCAGACAGAGTAGAATACATTCTTTATGATTCCCTTTATGTAAATTCTAAAAATATAAACCAATCTATAGTAACATTAAATAGATAAGTAGTTGCTTGGGATAAGTAGTTGGTGGATGGGTAGGATGAGGATAAGGGTTTACAAAAGGAAACAAGGAAACGTAGTGATGAACTAGGTATGTGTATGTCAAAGCTTAGCAAATTGTACCCTTTCAATATTTGTTGTTTAGTGTATGTTATTTTTACGTCAATAAAGCTATATTTTTTAAAAGGTTGTTTTAACCTAAATGCTTAAAAAAAAATTTAGGGGTCCTGAGATTTTAAAAATAATCAGCCTGGCCACCAATAAAACATGGCCAATGAATCTCTTCTTTTTAATTATTATTATACTTTAAGTTCTGGGATACATGTGCAGAACATGCAGGTTTGTTACATAGGTATACATGTGCCATGGGTGGTTTGGGACCCATCAACCTGTCATCTACATTAGGTTTTTCTCCTAATGCTATCCCTCCCTTAGTTCCCTACCCCACGATAGGCCCCAGTGTGTGATGTTCCCCTCCCTGCGTCCACGTGTTCTCATTGTTCAACTTCCACTTATGGTTGAGAACATGCAGTGTTTGGTTTTCTGTTCTTGTATTAGTTTGCTGAGAATGATGGTTTCCAGCTTCATCCATGTCTCTGCAAAGGACATAAACTCATCCTTTTTTATGGCTGCATAGTATTCCATGGTGTATATGGCCAGTGAATCTCTTAAGTGCTGATCAATCATATTAGCAACTCCTCCCTTAGCCAAACACCAGAACCGAGTTGGAGAGAGGGGCAGAACCACAACTGAAAGATTTTTCCTGTGAGCAGAGGTAGAATGAAGACAGACAGAAGCATGCCTCCTCTCCAACAAACAGATAATCAGTTCCTAAGCTCTGTAGAGAGGACTATATTGCTTTTAACAGTTTTAATCATTTACAAATTTAATCACCTTTATAAAAATTACATACCCAAGCCCCACACACCCCAAGAAATTCTGATACAGTAAGTTTTGTGTGGCCTCATGTATCTGTATTTTTAAAATTTATTTATTTTCAGGGTGGTAAAATAGATAAAATATAAAAATTACCATTTTAACTATGTTTAAATGTAGTTTGGTAGCATTAAGTACATTCATATTGTTTGTGCAAGCTTCACCACCATCCCATCTTCAGAACTTTTTTCATCTTGCAGAATGGAAACTCTGCATCCTTTAAACACTAACTCACCATTCCCTCACTACCCAGCTTCTGGCAACCACCATTCTACTTTCTGTCTCCATGAATTTGCCTACTCTAAGTACCTCATGAGTAGAATCATACTTCATTGTTTCAGTTAGTATAATGTCTTCAAGGTTCATGTTTTAGCATATGTCGGAATTTTCTACTTTTAAAGGCTGAATAATATTCCATTATATATACTACATTTTGTTTATCCAAGGAACACTTGGGTTCCGTCCACCCTTTGGCTATTGTGAATAATGCTACTGTGACCATGTGTGTACAAATATCTGTGTGTGTACTTGCTTTCAATTCTTTTGGGTGAGTATCCGAAATGGAAATGCTAGATTGTGTGCTAATTCTTTTTAAAAATTTTTTTGAGGAACTGCCATACTGTTTTCCATAGTGGCTGTACCATTTTACATTTCTACCAGTCACACACAGGGTTCCAGTTTCTGTACATCCTTGTCAACATTAGTTATTTTTGTTGTAGTCATTGTTTTTGATAGCAGCTAATAGATATGAAGTTGTATCTTATGGTTTGAACTTGCACTTTCCTAATTAGTGATTTTGAGCATCTTTTCATGTGTTTATTGGCCGTTTCTTTATCTTTTTTGCAGAAATGTCTGTTCAAGTCATTTGTTTATTTTTTTTTCCACAGGGTTATATTTTGTTCATTTTTTAATCAGGTTGTTTTTTGTAGAGTTTTGGGAGTTCTTTATATATTATGGAGATTAATCCCTTAGATGTATGATTTGCAAACATTTTATGCCATTCTGTGGACTGCCAGTTAACTTTCTTGATAGTGATCTTTGGTGCACCAAGGTTTTTAATTTTGATGAAGTTCATTTTGTCTGGTTTTTGTTGTTGTTTTTTTTTTCCTGTGCTTTGGTGTCGTATGAAGAAATCATCACCAAAACCAATGTCATGATGCTTTTCCTGTGTTTTCTTCTAGGAGTTTTACAGTTTTAGCTCTTATGTTTAGGTCTTTGATCTCTCTTTTTCTAATACACTATATGTAGTTCTGATGCATGCTCCTGTTTTTCTTTTTTTAAAGTGCTTCTTTAGCCATACTCTAGTGCAGCTGTTTAAGATCCTGTGGCTGAGAAGTAAGGTTTTAGTGGAACAGGGTCATATCCAGGATAGGAACAGGAATATTTGAGAAAGCTGTGGTGTCAGGTTCTTTATCACCTCCAAAGTTAAGATTATTTCATCCTTGCCCAAACTAATCAGTTAAGTTCCCCTTAAATTAGCTGACTAGCCAAAAGAACATGGTCCTTTGGATGATTTTGTCCCTTGTTCTGTGGATCCAGAAGCAGTTACAACATATGGCTTGGATAAGTTTGGGAGTGAGAATGGGATAAGAAGTAAAACAAAGAAACAAAGGGATTGGCGTTGTTACACCTGTTATAGGCCAGTGTCTTTTTTTTTTTTTTTTTTTTTTTAAGGCAGAGTCTTGCTCTGTTGCCTAGGCTGGAGAGCAATGGCGCAATCTCGGCTCATTGCAAACTCTGCCTCCCAGGTTCAAGTAATTCTCCCGCCTCAGCCTCCCGAGTAGCTGGGATTACAGGCACCCACCATCATGCCTGGCTAATTTTTGTAGAGATGGGTTTTCACCGTGTTGGCCAGGCTGGTCTTGAACTCCTGACCTCAGGTGATCCACCCACCTTGGCCTCCCAGAGTGCTGGGATTACAGGCGTGAGCCACCACACCCGGCCCCAGGCCAGTGTCTTTACGAAACCATTTGTAATTTTTCACTGTGATCTCTCAAGCTTATCTCTTCTCCCATAATTCCACAGTGTCTGAGAAAGTAAAGTATAGGCACATACAAAAAAGAAAGACAAAAAACTTCTCCACCATTATTTTTATCTAAAACTTTTAAGAGACTAATTAATACTTGCATAAGAGTACAAGATAGACATCAATCATAAGATTCAATTGATAAAATGAGAGACAGCTAAGCAGTCTAAAACCTCTGCTAAGTGGTTGGGTACTTTGATACCTATGTCCTCTCTGTGACAGGTTTTTCTGTCCTGTGTTTCCAGGGCTCTCCAATGTCAGATGTGGTCAGTAGGGAGCTCCATGCCCAAGCTCAAGAACGACTGCAACACTACTTTATGGGCAGGGCCCTAGAAGAGCGAGCCCAGCAGCACAGAGAAGCTCTGATAGCACAGATCAGCACCAACGTTGAACAGCTAATGAGTATGTGCTCATTTTACTTTCGTTCTCTAAAAGGAACAACCTATGCGAGGTTTGTGACATCCAAAACCTTTAGAAGGAAACCATTACTAAGCATCTTTAGCTCATCCCCTAACCTCAGGAAATTTCTACATAGATCAGACCAGCACACAATGTTTTCAAATGATGCGGATTTTATAACCACCTTCTTACCTGTTTCCCCAAGCCTTGCCATCATTCATATGTGTCACCCCAAAGTTATTAATTTCAGATGCTGAGCCCTACTAGCCATCTTTTACTAAGTAATCTGAAAAGCTTTTGGTCATATTTTGTAAGTAGATGATGACAATAGTTACAGTGCCATTCACTTGTAGAGCATTTTATAAATTTTTTTTTATTATTATTTTGAGACGGAGTCTTGCTCTGTTGCCAGGCTGGAGTGCAGTGGTGTGATCTTGGCTCACTGCAACCTCCGCCTCCCACGTTCAAGCGATTCTCCTGCCTCAGCCTCCCCGAGTAGCTGGGACTACAGGTGCGCACCACCACGCCCAGCTAATTTTTGTAGTTTTAGTAGAGACGGAGTTTCACCATGTTGGCCAGGATGGTCTCGATCTCTTGACCTTGTGACCTGCCTACCTCGGCCTCCCAAAGTGCTGGGATTATAGGCGTGAGCCACCGTGCCTAGCCTATAATTTTTAATGAAGCACTTTACAAAAATGAATTCATCATAACCACTGATCCATTTAATGAGAGATCCCATCCATGAAGCCCCTGTGTTTCAGTCAGCATCTTGGATTTCTTTAGTATATGTAAACAGAAAGGACCAGTGTTTTCTATTTAATGGCCACTACTTGGTAATTTTATATTCTTAAATTGGATAAATGGCTGAAACTGAGCCTCTCATCTATAGGATGAGGTTCTATTAAAGTTTCTATTCTTTAAATAAACCATCTTGGCTGGGTGAGGTGGCTCATGCCTCTAATCCCAGCACTTTGGGAGGCCGAAGTGGGCGGATCACGAGGTCAGGAGTTCGAGACCAGCATGACCAACATGGTGAAACCCCATCTCTACTGAAAATACAAAAATTAGCTGGGCATGGTGGCGGGTGCCTGTAATCCCAGCTACTCAGGAGGCTGAGGCAGGAGAATTGCTTGAACCCGGGAGGCGGAGGTTGTAGTAAGCAGAGATCGCGCTACTGCACTCCAGCCTAGGTGACAGAGTGAGACTTTGTCTCAAAAAATAATAATATAAATAAATAAGCCATCTTACAAAAATCTACATCTTTTTAAATTCCTTTAAACACAGAAATGGCCGGGCACGGTGGCTCACGCCTGTAATCCCAACATTTTGGGAGGCCGAGGTAGGTGGATCATCTGAGGTCAGGAGTTCGAGACCAGCCTGACCAACATGGTGAAACGCCCGTCTCTACTAAAAATACAAAATTAGCTGGGCATGGTGGCGCACGCCTGTAATCCCAGCTACTCAGGAGGCTGAGGTAGGAGAATTGCTTGAACCCAGGAGGCGGAGGTTGCAGTGAGCCGAGATCGTGCCATGGCATTCCAGCCTGGGCAACAAGAGCAAAACTCTGTCTCAAAAAAAAACAGAAATGGGCTGAATATGTTGACACATGGCTGTAATCCCAACACTTAGGGAAGCTGAGGCAGAAGGATTGCTTGAGTCCAGGAGTTTGAGACCAGCCTGGGCAGCATAGTGAGATCTCTACAAAAAAAGAAAAAACATTAGCTGGGTGTGGTGGCATAGTCCCAGGTACTTAGGAAGCTGAGGTGGGAGAATCACTTGAGCCCAGGAGGTTGAGGCTGCAGTGAGCCGTGATCTTGCTACTGCACTCCAGCTTAGGCAATAGAGCAAGACCCTTTCTCAAAAGTAGTACATTCAGAGTTGGAATGCTGTTTCTGCCTGCAGAGTTACAGCTCTGTAGCTTCCAAGTTCCTACCTGCTTGGCATAGGACTCTTCTGCTCATCTGTTTATTTTCTGTCCACTACAGAGGCACCAAGTCTGAAGGAGGCAGAAGGGAAAGAACCTGAGCTCTTCCTAAGTAGATCCAGGCCTGTGGCAGCCAAGGCCAAGCAGGCCCATCTCACAACCCTGAAGCACATACAAGCACCCTGGTGGAAGAAGCTTGGAGAAGAATCTGGAGATGAGATTGATGTTCCAAAGGATGAGCTTAGTATAGAATTAGAAAATTTATTCATTGGTGGAACCAAACCACCTTAGTGAGTAACCCTAAGAATTGACACAAATCTCATATTTTAGGAGATTATATTGGTTCTGCCTCTGGCATGCTGGTAGACTAGGGCCATCCTAACTTATTATTTTCCAGAGGTTCTCCTCCAGACAAGACCTGCAGTAAGCAAAGAGTTATATTCTACCTCTCTCTCAATTTTCTTTTTCTTTTCTCTGTATCCTCATCGTTAGCCACACACAGATTTGTGTGGCTTTTATTGTAGAACTAAACTTAGCATAGTGTTCTGTTGTTTACATGAAGTGTGTTTTTCTTTGGTTTCTTCTGTTTTCCAACTAAATATTTTTTTCTAAATAAATATTTTCAACAATTGATTTGAAAAATTTGTCAGGATTATTTCAACTTTTCACATTTGTTATCTGAAATTCCTATTTCCTGTTAACATAGGAGGTGTGTGCAGACTTTATTAATGTGAGGAAAAGAAATGCTCAATTGAAGGACATTTCCCTGTTTTCTATAAAGCAATGGTTGAACTCATTTTCTATTTTGTTATTTCTAAAAGGAACTGCATACCAAAAAAATGCATTCTTTCTATTAAACTGTGAGAACTACATAATGTACTGTTTCCCTTTTTGTCTTTTCTCCTAGGAATCTCAAAGCTAAATATAATGTTTAATTTTTGTTACAATCCTAGGTACCTTTATGATTATTTGGTTCCAACCTAATACTTTTCAGTTTCCCTGTTTACTTTAAATATGTTTTAATACCATAACATTGAAGCCACTTCAATTTGTGTTTGTAACAATATGGAATTTAAGTTAAAATCAATTAACAAATCATGACTCCATATCATAAAGAATCTGGAAGATGCTCTTTGTAAAATGAGTGAAAATACCAGTATTTCTGGATGTAAAGACCAAATTGTATAATATTGCGCAATCTCTAATGTTAACTTTAGTAAAATTCTAATCAAAATTCCTATATTTGTACTTATAATTGGAAAAGAAATGTAGAAAAATTATGTAAGAGTGTTGCTCCCAATTTAGCAAAGAAAATGCCAGATAATCTAGAACAATAATTTTTCTTGAGCCCATTAGATAGCTGAGGACTCAAGCCAACCATGTAAACTGGGATAGGAGTCTGTATCTGTGAAATGAAGTATTTCATCTATAGTAGAGCACAAGAGAGAAGTGGCTAGGTAAGAAGAAATCAAACAAAATTTTAGCAAATTCTTAAAGGCCAGGTGTGGGCTAGCACGTCTATTTAGAATATCTAAGAGCCACAGACATAAGAAGTTGGGCCTCTACCAAATGCTCACAAGAAAGATTGAGAGTTAAGGCCAGGCACAGTGCCTCACTCCTATAATCCCAGCACTTTGGGAGGCCGAGGCAGGTGGATTGCTTGAGCCCAGGAGTTCAAGGCCAGCCTGGTCAACATGGTGAGACCCTGTCTCTACTAAAAATACAAAAATTAGCTGGATTTGGTGGCGTGCGCCTGTAGTCCCAGCTACTCAGGAGGCTGAGGCAGGAAGATTGCTCGAGTCCAGGAGGCAGAGGTTGCAGTGAGCTGAGATTGTGCCACTGTACTGCAGCCAGGGCAACAGAGTGAGATCCTGTCAAAAAAAAAAAAAAGGTTGGGAGCAAGGCAAGAGGCCTGAAGAAGACCTTTGGGGTACAGGCAAACATGAAGTGATAGGCTGCTACTGGGTGACATAGGCAAAGTCCCCACTTCCCCTTTTAAAAGTCTTAAGCTGCTAGAGCGAGGGCAGTGAATCTCTCTTACCTTTAAGGCTCAGGCAAGATTCCAGGAAGTACTCCAGGACATTGGTCTGGGCAAAAATTTCTTGAGTATGACCTCAAAAGCACAGGCAATCAAAGCAAAAATAGTTTTACTTTTTTTTTTCTTTTTTTTTTTGAGACAGTTTCACTCTTGTTGCCCAGGCTGGAGTGCAATGGCCTGATCTTGGCTCACCACAACCTCCGCCTCCCGGGTTTGAGCAATTCTCCTGCCTCAGCCTCTCGAGTAGCTGGGATTACAGGCATGTGCCACCATGCCTGGCTAATTTTTTGTATTTTTAGTAGAGATGGGGTTTCTCCGTGTTGGTCAGACTGGTCTTGAACTCCCGACCTTAGGTGATCCACCCGCCTCGGCCTCCTAAAGCGCTGGGATTACAGGTGTGAGCCACCGCACCTGGTCAGTTTTACTTTTTTTACTCAAGATGGTGGATTAGAAACTTTCAGTATGCCTCAGCCATTTGGAAATAGCAAAATAGTGCATAAACTCAGTGCTGGGTGCGGTGGCTCACGCCTGTAATCCCAGCACTTTGGGAGGCCAAGGCAGGCAGATGACTTGAGGTCAGGAGTTTGAGACCAGCCTGGCCAACATGGTGAAACCCTGTTTCCATTAAAAATACAAAAATTAGCCAGGCGTGGTAGCGCATGCCTGTAGTCCCAGCTACTGGGGAGGCTGAGGCAGGAGAATTGCCTGAACCTGGTAGGCGAAGGTTGCAATGAGCAGAGATTGGGCCACTGCACACCAGCCTGGGCGACAGAGCAAGACTCCGTCTCAGAAGAAACAATAATAATAATAATAATAATAATAAACTCTGGGAAGAAAATAGGAATTCATCAGAATAGTGAAGGACACCCCAGACCCTGAGGAGGAGAAGATTAAGCAGCCCCCATGATGGCATTCAGCTGATAAAGTGAGTGAAGCCCCAGTTCATGAAAGAGGCAGCCAATCCCAATCTTCCTGTGTTTCTTACCTTCCTGCTAGTGATCTGTGCAACCCAGGTCAAGGGAAAGCACCCTGTTTCCTCCAAGCCCAGGAGCGAGCTTGGGGAGAGGCTGAGAGACAGAGAGAGGGAAAGACACTGGAAAAAGCTGCAGACATTTTCCCAGACCTAGGACTGAAAGGAGGACGCCATTTTTAATCTGGGCTCATACAAAGTCATTGGCGACCTGGCAACAGCAGCCACTGCAGACATTTTAGTCTCAGGCTAGAGGTTGCTCTGGAGTAGGGGAAAGACCCCCACAGCTAGAACTGTGCTTGCTCTGGAGTGGGGGAAGAAACCCCACAGCCAGAATTGAGCAGTGAGTGTGGGAGCACCCCAGCAGTAGGTACTGAAATTAGGTTCTCTTCCATCTCAGGAGTGGAGTGGGAGGAGAATTGCTGAAGCCAAGGCTTCTCCTGGGTAGGATGACTTGCAGCCAGGGATAGCTTTGTGACCTGGAACCAATCTATGTGTGTCATTACTGCGTACCTTAGCATGCTCCCTTGGTCAGTTTGGGAGAGAGTGCCCCACATGCTCCTAGGGGAGAGAGGGAGTTGTACCCCTACTCACCTGGACATCCAACTCTTGGCATGCACCACCCTTCAGGGTGGAGAAAATGCAGCCCACCAAAGCCTCCCTTGGATTAAAGGAAATGAAAGTGCGGTGCCAGCTACTGAAGGGGGCAACACCAAAGCTCCTGGAGACTTGGAGACGGGGTTATCTCTTGCACCCTGCCCCCATCACCGGTGCACTGCTACAGATGTGGCAGCAACACTTTCTATTGTGGCCCCAGAAGCATGGGCTGAAAGAGGCACTTCTCAGGCTTCTCCAGGGGCTCCACTCCTACCAAAGACCAGTTACACTGGGGAAAGACGTTTTTCACCCTTTTCCGTTCCCTCTGTCCCACCAAGGGTGAGCATGCAGAGTAAGAACCTCTTGGTGGCTTTTACTCTTCAAGCACCATCTATTCGTCTGCAGCTTGAATTATACCACCAAACAAAAATACATTGCTACATGGAGCAACATTTGAGAAAGTCACTGTACAAATCTTTCTGCAACCAAGGAACCTATACAGAGCCCTGGCCCTCTGAAAGCATCCAGAAATGAAGCCTGTCATATACAACATACACTACAGTCATACCCTCAAGAGAAAAAAAGAATAAAAAATAAAAAAGCCTCACCTCATCAAAAAGCTTCAGCTTCACTCACTTCATCAGCTGAATGCCATCAGAGTGGCTGCTTAACCACTTTCTCCCCTTATGCACTATTTTGCTATTTCCAAGTGGCTGAGGCACCCTAAAAGCCTCTAATCCACCATCTTGAGTAAAAAAAGTAAAACTCTATTTGCTTTGGTTGCCTGTGCTTTTCAGGTCTTACTCAACAAAAGAAAAATAAAATCCTTCTCAGACAAGTAATTGCTAAGTGAATTTATCACCACCCTATAACAGATGCTTAAGGAAGTTCTAAACATGAAAATGAAAGAATGATACTACCATAAGAGCACACATAGGCACATAGCCCATGGATCCTGACCCATGTACAAAGCAACTACATAAGCAAAACTACAAATCAAGTAGCTAACAACAGTATGACAAACAAAATCTCACATATTAATATTAACTCTGAATGTAAACAAATTAAATGCTCCACTTAAAAGACATAGAGTGGGAAATTGAATTTAGAAAAACGCCCATCTTTCTGCTGCCTTCAAGAAAATCATGTCACATGTATTGATACCCACAGGGTCAAAGTAAAGGGAGGGAAAAAGATCTATCACGCAAATGAAAAACCAAAAGGAGCAGGGGTTGCTATTCTTGTATCAGATAAAACAGACTTTAAATGTGACCCACCACATAAACAGAATTAAAAACAAAAACCGTATGATTATTTCAATCGATGCAGAAAATGCATTTGATAAAATCCAACATCTCTTCATGATAAACACACTCAGCAAACTAGACATAGAAGGGACACACCTCAAAATAATAAGAGCCATCTACTAAAAACCCATAACCAACATCATACTGAAGGGGCAAAAGCTGGAAGTATTTTCCCTAAGAACCAGAACAAGACAAAGATGTTCACTCTCACCACCTGTATTCGACATAGAGCTGGAAGTCCTAGCCAGAGCAATCAGGCAAGAGAAAGAAAAGGCATCCTGATAGGAAGAGAGGAAGTCAAATTATCTCTCTTTGCTAATGATATGATTCTATACCTAGAAAACTCTATAAAGACTCTACCAAAAGACCCCTAGACCTGATGAACGACTTCAGTAGAGTTTCAGGACACAAAATCAACATACAAAAATCAGTAGCATTTCTATACACTGATAACTCTCAAGCTGAGAGCCAAATCAAGAACACAATCTCATTTACAATATCTACAAAAATAAAATAAAATTTCTAGGAATACATCTGACCAAGGAGGTGAAATATTTCTATAAGGAGAACTACAAAACACTGCTTACAGACAACACAAACAAATGGGAAAACATTCCATGCTCATGGTTTGGAAGAATCGATTTCATTAACATTTTCATAATGCTGAATGAAACCAATCCACAGATTCAATGCTATTTCTAACAAATAACCAAGGCCATTTTTCACAGAACTAGAAAAAAACTATTATAAAATTCATATGGAACCAAAAAAGAGCCCGAATAGCCAAAGCAATTTTGAGCACCAAGAACAAAGTCAGAGGTATCACGTTACCTAACTTCAAATGATACTACAAAGCTAGAGTAATCAAAACAATGGTATTGGTACAAAAACAGACACAGAGACCAATGGAACACAATAGAGAATGGAAAAAAACCTTAGACAAGTTTATATTTTAACTAAGTTTATTTGAGCGAAGAAAAAAAAAACAGAGCAAAACAAAACAAAGGAAAGCAAAATAAAACAAGAATGATTTGTGAATCTGGCAGCCCTTCGAGCCAGAGTGGATTGAGAGAATGCCCATCAATAACATTATCTGACATGAGTTATAGGAAATGAAAGTGCAGTGCAGAGACAACTTAATTGATTACAACTTAACTGGTTAATTGGTTACAGAGCTTCCTGCAATCAACTAAAGCTCAGCTGCTATAGTTAAACTCCATATTGGTTTGGCGTGTTAGACTTAGTGTAGGATCCTAGTCCAAATCAGTGGTCTCTCATAAATTTTATTTAACAGAAGACATGATGACTAAATGTAATGTGCTATCCTGGATGAGATTCTACAACAGAAAAAAAAAGACGGTAGGTAAAAACTAAGGAAATCTGAATAACGTATGGACGTTGGTTAATTTTAAAAGTTACATAAACTTATGGTTAAACACATAATATTTAAAACAAAGTAATATGTTTACTGCATCTGTATGGGGGAAATTGTGTGTGTGTGTGTGTGTGTGTGTGTGTGTGTGTGTGTTCCTGCACATCTCTCCACATTCAATGAAGGCATATTGATAGCTTGAAATTAGACATGGTGAGATGGTGGGAATGGTAATATCACAGAAATAAGTAAACACTACAAGTCCAAAATTTTCCCCTGCAGTAACATTCCTCCTGGTTGCTAAATGCTTACCAGCATATCACTAGCTATAACCCACCTAAATAAAAGTTCTTTGGGTTCCTCATTAATAGTTAAGTGCTTGAGAGCTGCCAATCAAAGATAATCATTTCAGCATTTGTCTTTTATAGCTGGTTCCCTCCCTAGCCTATTGAGAATGTAATAATATGCTATTTATAGATCCTTCATCAAATCATCCTACCTGACCCTTCCCAGAACCTAAAGATAATAATAACAATACTACTACTAATAAATAATTTTTAACATTTGTTGTGTGATATGTACCAGATTCTGTGCTAAGAATTTTACGGTCATTATTTTACTTAATCCTCACAACAACCCTTTAAAATAGGAACATTGATAATTTCCATTTTACAGATGTAAAAAATAAGATGAGAAACAAAAAATGGTCCAAGGTTAAGCTCATTTTATATAACTCTAAAATGAACTGCTTATTCATTTCATTTAATCATTCATTTACTCACCCACTCTTTTCGTACTTGGGTTATGTGTAGACATTTAATTCTTTGTATGCAAATGGTCCATCCACTTTATGGAGGCCCTCTTGAGGGCCAGAATGGTGCCCTATAACTTTTTCTAGTCCTCTTATTATGTACTCTGAGATGCTCAATTAGCTAAGTGACTGAGCTCTCAGTATTTGACCAAGAATCTATTATATCAGAGATATTAAACTCTAAAATACATCTATTCATTCAATGAACATCTATAAGCATTTATAAGGTAAAAGACACTGTAATAGATGCAGAAAACAGGTAACAGTCTCTGCTAGTGGAGGTTTCATCTCAGTAGAAGAGATAAACATTTAAAAAATAAATGTGTGTGTGATGACTATTATTTTGCAGGTAGGGATTTTTGTGTGAGAGTCATTAGCTTAGTCCTGGAGATGTTCAGAGGAAACACTTCAAAGAATGAACTGAAGGATGAACTGACAGTTGAAGGAGTAGAATGGGAATGTTCCAGGCAGAGGGAATGAAAAAAGTATTTTATCTGTTAAACCAGTTTATAATTTAGGAGGCACTCAGTAACTATCTGTTAAGAGTGGATTCATCTAGCACACATGCAAAAATGTACTTGCCCTGTCATTCAGATATCCAAACAACTTTAAGTACTCTGAATTTTCATATAATTTACTCACAATAATAAAAAATAAGCAGAATAGAAATACGAATCAAAATAAGTTAAATGAATTAATATGGAATGAATAAATTCGTTTCACAGAATGCCCATATATGACATAGAGAAGACAAGAGAGTTGAGGCAAGGTCCTCGATGGCCATCTCTAGAATATGCACCCCTCAGTGCCACACAGGCATAAAGAGGAAGTCACATATCTTAATGGAAAAGAATTTTCCAGGGTTAGGAGAAAACACCTGTTTCCTACAAAAGTTTTATAAGACATCTCATTACTAAATCTACGAATTATGCAGCCTTCATTTGTATTAATCAGCCTGTATTTCTTGTGCCTGTCAGCTGAATTAAAATCTGTGTGAAGGAGAGGACTGAGAAGGTTGGTTATCTGGAGGGTTGGGAGGAATAGGGCAGGAGGCAGAGGTTCAGGCTGAATTCCCTTCTGGGGTCAAAAGCGGGTCTGTAAACTGCTGGCTATACAAAACCTGTTGACAACTTGGTTTTGACTCTGGGTTGAATACATTTTCCTAAACAATGTGCTTAGGACCCTAAAGTAGTAAATCTAGAAAATATCCTAAATGTTAAAGATATCCTGATAAAGATCAAGGGGAGTGTAGTGAACAGGACACATCCAGGACAAGGTTAGAGACATTTAGGGAATCCGTAGACTTTCTCACAATATCTGCTCTACATGCAAATCTTCACATTTACTAGTTGTATCAGCAATAGTGGGGAGTGTTTTTAAATCCTGGTGATGTTCTTTGTTAGGGTAAACCTTAGTGGAACACTCCATGGAAGTGCTTTTAAGCATATCTGAGATGTCAGTTTGATATGTAATTTGAGTTACAGTGGCCTCTTTGTGCTGGTATATTAACCCATTAAATAGATCTGTGTCCTGAGGAAACTCTATAATACTTGAGAGCTCCCCAAAGAGGGCCCTGCCACCTATCTCCTAAGATACATGATAATAAATTCCTCACTTTGATGGGCTGGAGAAATCCCCCTCACAAAGCCTGCTTTCAGGACTGTGATTCTTAGATCCTGGATCAAGAATAAGCCACACCAGTGTCTGGCACAAGGTCTGTGCTTAGTTAAGTACTTGTTGAATGAATGCTGAGTAACAGCTTTCTGGTCACACCTCCTAGGAATTTTCTTTGATTTTAGATTTTAGATTCCTTATGACCCTTGCTCTAGGTGCTCCAGGATGAGAAAGTCACCATTGCTCCTCATATGAGTTCTTCATTTATTATAAATGCTCAGTAATGATTCATAGAGTAATAGTGCCTGAGTTCTTATGGAATGAATGCTGCCGCTGCTTCTCCATAGTTCCATTCCCTTTGAAAAGTGGAAATGGCATATGGATCCAAGCATAGAGACTGAGCCCACCTATCTTGGCCTTCTCTGACACATTGCTCATCATGGATGGATTTCAGAGTTTCATTCCTGGCTCCATGAGCTCCATAATGACCCAGAGTCTGCTGATTCTGTTGGGGAAGACTCTTGGAGTTAGCAGATGCCTTGATTTGAGAGCCTAGCCAACTCTAGGCCCTTCAGTCAAATAGTTGTGACATCTCTAGCTCCTGTAGACATGGAGTTTTAACAGGGATTTCTTCACCTCTCAGAAAAGGAGTTCCCAGCCAGAAACCATGCTTGGGAGGCAATCCTTGCCATTCTTCATGCAAGGATGGCTGGCTCCTTTAGCTCTCTGGCTCCCCGATATGCCAGCATTCCTGCTCAGCCCTCCCTACCTTTGGGCAAACTATAGTGATGCTCGAAGATGCTCAGTGAGAGCTGAAAGACAAGCATTGAGGTCTTAACACCAAGGCAGGAGCAGGAGTCTCTGATGCTTCTGAGAAACCTGGAACCATGACATCTATTCATTCTACATCTTCAGCCTTCCTAAGGCTCAATCTGCCATGCTCACTCCTCATTCCAAAATTAATCAAGCAGGAGGCAAAGAAGCACCTTGCCTGCAGCTCCATAGACAGAACAGACCCCCAAATCTCAATCACCTGCACCTCAGAAATGGACTACATACAGGGACCTGCAGAAACCAAAGGTCTGGGCAGCAAAATACACATCAAGGGCTTCTGTACATTCAAAGTTTTGAGAAGTTCAAGAGGATGAAACAAAAATCATCAGGCCTTGCCTCAGTTTCCCTAAAGCTAGCCCAGTTCTCTGTAAACCTAGTGCCTAATTAGGAGGGCCAACATTCCAGAAAGGAAAGTCAGGAGAACAAGAACCCAAATTCCCCTAGAAAGCCTCTTCTGGCATCTGTTTCTAGGAGCCAATTGGTTTGAGGGATGGTTATCAACTATGACATGGAGACAAATGGTCTGAAATCTATCTCATGTCATATTGGCCTCCTTTGAATACCAGAACAGAGCCCACACAATTCACAGAGCAGCAGTGCCTCTGTCCTGAGCACTGATGGGTTCCCAGTTCATATCTGCTGCAGCTGCATTTTGCAGATAGACCTTAGTCAAGAAGAGGGTACCAGTGTGTGACCAGGTATCTCCACATTTTCCAGAGGAGATACCCATGATTCACAAAACTTTTCTTTTGAAGTGCTACCATCATGCTGCCTAACTTCATGCTTAAAGCACCTTACTTTTCAAACTTCAGAGCCTGTCTCCAAAAAAATAAAGGATGGAATCATTGGTTTGGCTCTGGACCTGATTAGGAAGAAATAGAGAACTGATGCAGCCAGTAGTGCCAGATTCTGTGGGAGAATGCTCTGCTAAATGGTTCCATCACCTACTTTTGGAAGCCCTTTTGTTGGCTGTAGATTTTGCCTATTGTGTGACATGAATTTTTCTTATCCCTGATAAGTGCCTTAAAATAAACTTGAGCTTCCTCAATTTAGAGCAAGTCTCTCAAGGGACTTCTCGGCTGAGGCTATGTCTGAATTCAGTAAACCTCCCAAGTAGGCCTCAACTTGCTTAGAACCATGATACTGAAGCTGAATCATTTCTAACTAGCTTCGATTAGAGGTGGTTGAGGAAGTTTCTATTCTGGAAATATGCTGCCTTAAGACAAGCCCAAACCATCAAAATGGAAAATTTTGAAAATTATGAAAAGAGGGACAAGTAGCCTAGTTCCTTTCATAAACCATTCCACTACATTTGATGCCCTTCCTGCCACATCTCCCCTGCCCCACCCGGCTCCCATATGCCCATATGTTCACCCTCTTCCAAACCTTTAATCCAAAGCAATTTCTAAGAGGCAATTCTTTTAAGCACATAACACTCTGACTAATCCTTCAGTCAGTAATGCCTTGAGCTTCTGTACAACATATTTTTTTCTTTTGAACTTACCTGTATACTGCTTAGAAGTTATTTTAAGGCATTGTGTATTTGTGTATATATGTATATATATATACACAGAGATAATTCTCTGAGGAACTGGTTGTAACCTTGCTTCCAGTAGCTATAGTCCTAAAGCTGCCAGGACCCTCTAACTCCCAAAATGCTAAGCTTGCTGCCCTGGACAATAGTAATTCCTGTTTGGAGAGTTCCCATTGCAAATGAGAAAGAGGAAAGGAAGAAAAGATCACAGCAGACTCAAATGTCTGGAGAGGTAAGGTCAGCCTGTGGGCAGTGAGCAGAACACCAGGCAGTGCAGAGTAGTGTTTACATGTCAGAATCTGTGAATATGAATCATGGCTCCACCATTTTACTGAGGATAAAGAGCCTAATCTACATGTAAGGGATTGATGCCTAGCAGCATGAAGTTAACATAACATAAGTTATCTATAAGTCTTTTAGTTTCTGGGAGAGCAGCCAAATTGTGTTGTCTAGTATGATGTCTGATACGAATTTGGGCATTTGAGTTGAATCAGGGGAAGTGTTATGGGGCTGGAGTGGCCCATGATCCAACTTTCAGGTGCCTACCTGGGTGCAGGAACAAAGATGTGCTGCTCTGGCTGGAGATAGCCAGCATGAGTGAGGTGCTGCTTAGTAAGTAAATCTCTGTAGCCCTCACTGAATAGAGCTGCATTGTCTCTGGTGAGGCAGGTGAACTCTGTTCTAAGTCAGTCATGATGACCCCACAGATAACTATTTGGCCATCACAAGAATAAAACTGCTGAATTCTACTGCAGGAAACTGAAATAAATCAAGATGAGTTCAGGGACACAGGAAAGGTTAAGGAACTACAGAGATAACATAAGGGGGCACCTAGATGGTCTCAGGGCATGTATAGCAATTTGGGTTCTATTCTCAAGAGATTGCAGTTGATTATCTCACCACAGGTCCTTTCCTCCCACCCTGAATTCCCCTGCCTTTAGTTCTGAGCTCCAGGGACCTCTAGCTAATCCATTATCTCCTTCTCTTTTTCCCCTAAATTGCCTTGTAATTATGCTCTTTTATGATTCAACTTTCCTCTCCAAAACTCCCCTGGTCCCAAGGGCGGTGGTTCCAATGACTCCTAGAAACAGATGCCACTGGTTAGTGCCTTACAATAAACTTGAACTCCTTCAATTTTGAACAAGTCTCTCAAGGGACAGATGTCCTGCTATCTTTTAGGCATCCTGGACCCTGGTTGTGACCACTAATCCAGCCCTGGTGTTTTTTTGTCCCTAGTGGTGTTCTGGCACTTCAGAGAGACGTCAGATTCAGCCCTACTGACATGGCTTGGCACCCATGGAAGCCTGCCAGAAAGGAAAAATGCAGCTGAAGATTGCTGCATCCATGCCTCAGCACAGGGGTCCCCAACTCCCGGACCATCGACCGGTACCAGTCCGTGGCCTGTTAGGAACCAGGCCACACAGCAGGAGGTGTGCAGTGGGCGATGGTGCATTTCTGCCTGAGCTCCGCCTCCTGTCAGATCAGCTGCCCCGTTAGATTCTCAAAGGAGCGCGAACCCTACTGTGAACTGCTCACACGAAGACTCTAGGTTGCACGCTTCCTATGAGACTCTAACTAATGCCAGATAATCTGAGGTGGAAGAGTTTCATCCTGAAACCACCCTCTACCCCGCCACCTGCCCCTTCCGTCTTCCATGAAACCAGTCCCTGGTGCCAAAAAGGATGGGGACCACTGCCCCAGCATATTCAGAAGCCCAGGTCAAAGGAGATCCAGGAATTTGCTCTTCCAGTCATCACCTCCTTGTCCCCTTCCAGAATGTGCATTTCTTCTGTATTGCTGATAGCAATAATCTCTGGCCCCTCCTACTGCTTCCTGCCCAGCACCAGCCCCTACTCTTGTGGATAATCTACAGTACAAGCATGGGGGTGGGGCTTAAATTCTAGTAGTCCTGCCAGCTTTTTGGTTTCCTGGCATATGAAGGCCAAGGAATTCAGAAAAATTATCTTTCTCAGGCTTGGACTATGTGGTGTTTGGTACACTCTGGATCCTTCTGGGAATTTTGCTCATGTAGGGAAATACAACAGATAAGGACCCAGGGCAGGGCAAGTATACAGAGATATTTTCATACAAAATCCAAATCTCATAATTAAGGTTCATCTTCACCCCAAGAGAATCCTGATTAATGTGGATTTTTTATTTAATGACTGTATGTAAAACTAATTCTAGAGACCAGCTATGTGAGAGACACACACATCATCAGGGAGCAGTGTCAGCTGTTGATGCGGTCCGCTGGGCATCTCAGTCCTGAACAGCTGCAGTTGATATTCAGCAACATTCTGTTGTGCATTGAAGCCCTGGAGAGCCTGCAGAAGATGTTCCAAGCCCTGGCTCATGTCTGGCTTTGGAAGGGCTAGGGCTCTAACTGCGCTATTAGTTTCAGTGGCCCTGCCATGGAGCCATCACTTGATTGCCCACCCTGGTTTTACCTCTTTCTCATTATAGGCCCCACGAAGCTGCCCTGAAAATAGATACTTTTGTAAACAATATCTTTGGCTAGAGTAAATATGGAGAAAGAAAAGTGTAATGACAAAGGTAATCAGTTAAACTACAAAAAGACCTTTTTTTTCTTTTTTCTCTTTTCTTTTTTTTAGACCTGAATTAGCTAGGAAACATTCCATCTGTTCCTATGCTCTGTATAGATTGTATAGCATAGGAAATATCTGTTCCTTGAAAGCTTGTCTTAGTTTGGGATGCTATAAAAATATCATAGACTGGGTGGCTTATAAACAACAGAAATTTATTTCCCATAATTTTGGAGTTTGAGAAGTCTAAGATTAAGGCACTGGTAGATTCGGTGTTGCGTGAGGGCTCACTTCATGGCTCACAGACGCCATCTTCTCATTCATCCTCACGTGGCAGAAGAGGCAAGGGAGCTAAGTGCAGTAGCTCATGCCTCTAATCCTAGCACTTTGGGAGGCCGAGGCAGGTGTATTGCTTGAGCCCAAGAGTTAAAGACCAGCCTGGGCAACACGGCAAAATCCAATCTCTACAAAAAAAAAAAAAAAAAAAAAAAAAAAAAACCCACAAAAATTAGCTGGGCATGGTGGCGTACACTTGTAGTCTCAACTACTCAGGAAGCTGAGATGAGATGATCACCTAAGCCCTGGAAGTTGAGGTTGCAGTGAGCCAAAATTATGCCACCGCACTGCAGCCCAAGAGTGAGACCCTGTCTCAAAAAAAAAAAAAAAAAAAAAAAAACAAGGGAGGACTCTGGGGTCTCTTTTATAAGGGCGCTAATCTCATTCATGAGGTCTCTACCTTCATGACCTAATTATCTCCCAAAGGCCCTACCCCCTCATACTATAAAATTGACAGGACATCAGCATATGAATTTTGCCGGGAACACAAATATTCAGTCTATAAAAAAGCCCCAAAAGCAATTGCCTGAAAAACTGTCTGGATTGTATACTTTTCTTCTGAGATTAACAACTTTTAAATGTTTTTTTTTTTCTAGAAGTTGTCAGATTCCTCTACTTTTTCTTGGGTCAAATTTGGAAATATATGTATACACATACATTCCTTTATTTTTTTGGCACAGTTTTAGATTTACAGACACATTGAGCAGACATACAGAGTTTTATATATTCATCTCATCCTCCCCCCACTTCCCACCTCTCAGCAGTTTCCCCTATTATTACCATGTTTATTACATTTGATGAACCAATATTGAGACATTATCATTAACTAAAGTCCACAGTTTACATTAAAATTTACTCTTTATGTTATACAGTTCTATGGAGTTTGACAAATGCACAATACCACATATCCACCACTGCAGTGTCATACAAAATAGTTTCTCTCCCTTAAAATATTCTCTCTATTCCATATATTAATCCTTCTTTGCCCCTTCCCAACCCCATCCATGACAGCCACTGATTTTCTTTTACTGTTTCTATAGTTTTGCCTCTTTCAAAATGTCAAATTGCTGGACCACACAGTATATAGCCTTTTCAGACTGATTTCTTTCACTTAACAATATGCATTTAACGTTCCTCCATGTCTTTTCATGGCTTGATTGCTCAATTCATTTTATCACTGAATAATGTTCAATTGTATGAAATACCACAGTATATCTGTTTATCTACTGAAGGACATCTTTGCTTTCAAGTTTTGGGAATTACGAATAAAGCTGCTATAAACATTCATGTGCAAGTGTTTTTGTGGACATACATTTTCACTGATTTTGATATATCTAGGAGCATGATTGCTGGATGGTATGGTCAATCTATGTTTAGCTTTGTAAGAAACTGCTTAACTGTCTTCCAAAGTGGTTGTATCATTTTACATTCCCATCAGTAATAGATGTGAGTTCCTGTTGTTCTACATGCTTGCCAGCAGTTGATGATGTCCAGGTTTTGGATTTTTGTGATTCAAATAGGTGTGTGGTGGTATCTTATTGTTCCTTTAATTTGCAATTCCCTAGTAACATATGATGTTGACTTCCTTTCCTTTCCTTTTCTTTCCCCTCCCTCCCTCCCTTCTTCCTTCCTTCATTTATCTTTCTTCCTCTTTCTTTCTTTCTTCCCCTCCCTCCCTCTCTCTTTCTCTTTCTTTCTCTCTCTTTCTTTCCTTCCTTCCTTCCTTCCTTCCTTCCTTCCTTCCTTCCTTCCTTCCTTCTTTCTTTCTTTCTTTCTTTCTTTCTTTCTTTCTTTCTTTCTTTCTCTTTCTTTCCTCTCTCTCTCTCTCTCTTTCTCTCTTTCTTTCTGACACGGAGTCTCCCTGTGTCCCCCAGGCTGGAGTGCAGTGGCGCAATCTCAGCTCATTGCAACCTCCACCTCCCGGGTTCAAGCGATGCTCCTGCCTCAGCCTCCTGAGTAGCTGGGATTACTGGCGCGCGCCACCACGCCTGGTTAATTTTTGTATTTTTTTAAGTAGACACGGGGGTTTCATCATGTTGGTTAGGCTGGTCTTAAACTTCTGACCTTGTGATCTGCCTGCCTCGGCCTCCTAAAGTGCTGGGATTACAGGCATGAGCTATCGTGCCCGGCTGCATTTTTTTGTGTGCTTATTTGCCATCTGTGTATCTTCTTTGGTGAGGTGTCTGTTCAGATCTTTTGCCCACTTGTGAATTTTTTTAATTAAAATTTTTGCATTATAAGAGTTCCTTGTGTATTTTAGGTAACAGTCCTTTATCAAATAGGTATTCTACAAATATTTTCTCCCAGTCTGTGCCTTGTTTTTTTAATCTTCTTAACGGTGCCTTTTGCAGAGCAGAAGTTTTTCATTTTAATCAAGTCCAACTTATTGTGTTCTCCCCCCCGCATTGGCTCATGCTTTTGGTGTTGTATCTGAAAAGTCATCACCAAACTCAAAGTCACCTAGAGTCTCAAATTATCCTATAGATGTTTTATATTTTTACATTTTATATTTACATCTTAAGATCCACTTTGAGTTAATTTGTATAAAAGGTATAAGGTGTGTGTCATTTTTTGCATGTGGATTTCCAGTTGTTCTAGCACCATGTATTGAAAAGACTCTTTTCTCCATTGAATTGCCTTTGCTCCATTCTCAAAGATCAGTTGTCTACATTTATGTGGATCTATTTTGGGGCTGTCCATTCTGTTCCATTGGTCTATTTGTCTATTCTTTAGCCAATACCATGCTGTCTTGTTTACTGTAGCTGTGTAGTAAGTCTTGAAGTTGGGTAACGTCAGTCCTCCAACTTTGTTCTTCTTGAATAGTCTGTGGATTATTCTGGGTCTTTTACTTTTTCATATAAAATTCAGAATTAATTTGTTGATATCCACAAAATAATGTGCTAAGATTTTGATTGAGATCTTATTGAATCTACAGATAAAGTTGGGAAGAATTGACATCGTAACAATACTGATGCTTTCTGGGAATATGGAATATTTCTCAATTTATTTAGATTTTAATTTTTTTAATCAGAGGTTTGCTAGTTTCCTTCACATAGAGCCTGTACATATTTTGTTAGATTTATGCCTAAGTATTTATTTCGTCTTTTTTTTTTGAGGCTAATGTAAATGGTATTGTGTTTTTAATTTCAAATTCCAATTGTTCTTTGCTGAGGAAAGCAATTGACCTTTTACCCTGTAGCCTCGTTAAAATTGCTTATTAATTCCAGGAGGTTTTTGTTTATTCTTAGATATTTTTTACATAAAAAATCATGCCATCTACAAAGACAGTTTTATTTATTACTTGCTAGTATGAATATCTTTTATTTCCCTTTATTGTCTTACATTAGGCAGGAGGTTTAGTATAATGTCACCTAGGAGTAGTGACAGGGGACATCCTTACCTTGTTCCTGATCTTAGAGGGAAAGCATCCAGTTTCTCACCATTAAGAATCTGCAATATTTTTCTATCAAGTTGAGTAAATATCCTTCGATTCCTAGTTTTCTGAGTTTTTTTTTTTAATCATGAATGGGTGTTGATTTTTCTTCTTCCCCCACCTTCCCTCTTCTTCTTTCCCCACCTTCTTTCCTCAGCTTCTTTTCCCTATCCCCACCTTCCCTCTCTTCTTCCCCCACCTTCCCTCTTCTTCTTCCCCTGCCATCCCTCTTCTTCTTTCCCCTTTCCCTACCATCCCTCTTCTTTCCCCTTTCCCCACCATCCCTCTTTTTCTTTCCCCACCTTCCGTCTTCCTTTCCCCTTTCTTTCCTCTCCTTCCTTCTTCTTTTTCCCCCCTCATCTCCCTTCCTCTTTCCCCACCATCCCTCTTCTTCTTTCCCCACCTTCCCTCTTCTTGTGAAAATATTTTTCTTCATTGGTTGATGTGATCATGTGATTGTATATTTTTGCATATAATTGATATGTCTCAAAGTTATATTTTTCAAGACAATTTCTTATTTCTCCAAGATTTTAAGATTTATTCATATAGAATTCTATGTTGGATATTTTATTTAACAAATATTTATTGAGTATATACTATGCTGAAGATACGTTAGGTATGGAAGATACATTAATAAATAAGGCTGCATGAAAGTTTTGGAATAAGTTTGCATTTGGTATAGAGGAAGGTAAGATGATGATGAGGAAAGAACTGAAAAAGGGGAGAGGGAATTGGGCAACAGTAAATCACAGAGAATGTGACATTTCTTGTCTTTCAACTTTTCCTCCCTGTACTTTCAATTAGGGAAATGATCACTCTCTAAGGGACACCTGAATGACTCCACACTTCTGTGATTTCTGCAGTCTCTAACTGCTCTGGAGCTTAGAGTCATATCCAAACCCCTTAGCATAAAATGGCACAATTTTATGACCTACTCTTTGCCTAACCATTCAGTCATATCACTTATGTCAAATTGCCCAAATGGTCCATGCACATGCTGCTCCATCTACCTCCACTATTCTGTACCCTCTTTTTTGCTGGGGCAACCCCTAATTATCTTTTATTATCTTGATCACCCTCTCAGAGCCTAAATTGCTTCCATTAAGTTGCATTCTAAATTATTTCCAGTCCTTCAGTGAACTTAGAAATAATATGTTTTGCTCTTTAACTTCTCCACCTCATTTTCTTCCTTCACACCCCTAGTGTTCACTATAATTCTCACCATACTGTGCTCACCCAATAATAGAAGGTAGAGCTATAAGAAGACCTACTAGACAGAAAAAATTCTAATCTCGTCTCCCATAAGAAACTTTCATTCTGTTAAAACTGAAAGGTAAATTCTAAGGTCGAATGTGGAAATAAGTATGTAGAAAGGTAAATTTTGTGTAAGGGAGTACAATAGGACTCTCAGTGATGGCTTCTATTTTCTCTAAGATAGAAGCAAGTTCATCTGCTAGGAGTGTGAAGTGTAGACACGGGGTTGGGACTTAAAGAGGATGTTAAAGGTTTGAATAATTGTGGCAAATAGGAGAGGAAGCTGAAGACAAGAAGGATTTGGGAGTGTGCTGAAGATGGAGTTCAGCTGGAAACTGAATGTGCAGTGGTCAGGACATTGATGTCACTGATGACATTGTCCTGATGTCTCCTGCAGCATTTTGCTCCCCAAAGGTAGAAGTAGAGACCAATGGTTGGACTGATGCAGGTTTAGGACTTTGCTGGGTGGATACAATCAGGGATATAAGAATATGATGTATTCATTAAGTACTGCAGCATTCAAATTCTGTCTCTGCCCCTCACCATGTGACCTTGTGCAAATTATTTAACCTTCTGAAGTCTTATTGTCTCACATTTAAGATAAGGATAATCATATATACTTTATTAATTTAACAGATATTGAGTGCCCTCCTCTATACTTTTCTGGGACCTGGAGATAAAGCTGAGATCAAAATTACTACCTTCCTGGAGCTTATAATCTAATGAGAAGAGAGATACCAGATAAATGAAATATATAGTACTTTAGATGGCAAAATGCTTAGGGGAAAAAGAAGCAAAGAAGAAGTATATAGTGCATGCAGGAAATTGCAATTTTATTTATGTTTGTATTGATACATATTTGTACATATTTATGGGGTGTGGTAGTTTGATATATGCATACAATGTGTAATGATCAAATCAGGGTGTTTAGGATATCTATCACCTCAAACATTTATCATTTTTGTGTTTGGAACATTTCTAATCTCCTAGTTATTTTGAAATATATAACATATTGTTAACTATAGTCACCCTACTGTGCTATCAAACACTTGAACTTATTCCTTCTATCTACGTTTGTACCCATTAACCAATCTCTTCCCTCCCTCCCCCAACTCCACCTTCCCAGCCTCTGGTACTTATCTCTACTCCATGAGATCAACTTTTTAAGCTCCCACATGAGTGAGACCATGGGATATTTGTCTTTCTGTGCCAGACTTATTTCACTTAGAATAATGACCTCCAGTTCCGTAAGATGGGCAGCCAGGAAAGGCCTTACTTAGCTGATGTTTGAATTGTGAAGTTATGTAATCATTAAGATGAGTATACATACAATGGGCCAGCTGAGTGCACAGCAAGATTCAATAAATTCAAACTAACATTACTCTTATTGCCAAGAGAGTGCCTGAAATGACAGCTCATTGGAAACTGGCTACTTTCCTTCCCTTTCCTTAGGGGTTTAAGGAAAGCATGAGTGATTTCAGTCTTTTGCTGGAGCTCCTCACTGACACTCATTGCAGAGCCTGAGCCCTCAACTCTCAATCTTTGCTTAGGTCCTGGCTTAGGCTCCACTTTGTAAGAGGCACCTTCCTAGTATTCACTACTCTCTCTCTCACAATCATGTCCTTACAGACATTGCTGATCCTCTTTCATACTGACACCGGGTTCTAGTCCGAGTTCCATCACTAAGTCGCTGTTTGACTTTGGGCAAGTTACTTCTGTGGTTAATTATTTTTCATCAACAAAATCAAAAGGTGAAACTAGACGAACAACTAAGAGGCTCCAGTATTTTTTCAATCTAAGAGTCCCATATCCCCCACTCCCTTCTCACAGCTCATTCAACAATCCTAATGGCAGCGGGTGCCCGCAGTCTCAAGTCTCTGCCGAAGCCCAAGCCGCTGTCTCGGTCAGTCACAACCGACGAAGAGGAGGAATTGGAGGAAGCCAGCATAACCACTTCACACTGAGAACATCTGACCTTTCCCAGAACGCCCGCCCACTCGACACTTCCTGTCCCTCCCCAGATCTTGTTCCGGGGCACCTACTCGCGTCTAATCACTCCCCTCATTCACTCTTTAGGGTCCATTGGCTGTTTCTTTGAGGAAGCGGAGCATCTTCTGTCGTTGATTGGTTTCCGTCATTGTTGATAGGTTGGTAACAAACAAGGTGTGCCTGGTCTCCCTGGTAACGTCCTGCCGATAGTCCTGATTGGTCGGTGTCTTAATCCCATCTTCCGTCCCAACTGCTAGTGGCTGAGTCCCTGGCGGGGCGCGGCGGTGGAAGGTGTCGCGTACGGGCTTCCCGAGCTGACGTGGCTTGAATTGGGAGGGGGGCAGCTGGAGCCTCAGGCGGCAGCGCTTCTAGGTGAGTAGGGGACGCTACCCAACTCTTCCCTCTGCGAGTCCAATAACGGTCACCCCCGCCAGAGGGGCCGCGGGAGCTGCCCAAGCAGCTACACCGGAGTCCCCTCCTCGCCCCGCCTCTCCCGGATTCAGTCCTGGATCCGGCCCTTCACCCGCCTCCTTCACCTACCAGGCCTAGTTCTAGTAGCCCACAAGCCTCGGCCTCTCCGGTGGGCCTTCGGGGTCACCCTGCGCAGACTTGGACCACTTGCTCACGGTCTGTCCCCTCCCCGGTACGTTTCTCCTCTGGGAGCGACGGGGAAAAGCGCCTAGGTCAGTCCTGTCCGCACGGCCTTGTTCCTGGAGCGGCCTGCCTAAGTCGGCCTCCGTACGCAGCCGCTGACGTCGGAAAGAACCTGCTGGGCCCCTGTGCTCAGGCCCTAAACAAACTTGGTGTCCCGAAGGGGAGGCGCGACCAAAAGAAATCAAAGGTCTTTAGGGCGGAGATCACAGAATCATTGGAGATATTAATGCAAACGGAGGCCTGTCCAATAATCCTGCTAATGCTAATGGGTTACTGGAAAGATGAGAAGAGAGGAAAGATCCCAACGATCCCGTCAACACGAAAATCCCAGGAATCAGAGGTGGGCAGGCTGTTAGAGAAAAAGGAACCTCTAAGAGAGTTCTCGAGGAAAAATAACTTGGTTTGATGGTGTGGAGTATGTTTAATCTGCACAACCGGAATGTGAAAGGGAGGGTGAGTCCTTTGAGGAATGAGGAATATATTTGTCTGACTTATTTAAAGAGCTCCAGTTGGTCTATGGGGAGCGGACAGTTTGAGAGTGGGACAGGGATATTTACAATCATGGGTAAGTACTTTCACTTTTGGAGATAGTTGGAAGCTGTCTGAGCATTTAAAGGACCTTTTTACAGTTCTGTGCAAGATGCAAGCAAGTGGAGGGCTCTTTACATAAGGGCCAGAGGCCTTTCCAAAAGCGTGAATTGATAAGATTTAGATGGTCAGAATGGTTATGAAGGGGCAAACTCAGGAAATATCCTATTGGAAAAATGGCAGGATTTGGTTTTGGAATAGATGCAGGAAAAAGTTGAAGAGTACTCAAAAGTTGCAGGCATTGTACATTAACTGCTTCATAGCTTTTACTTCTCATCCCTTGACCACAGAATGACCATTTAATGTTTTTCTTTTCACTGCATCAATATTTTTTACTACCTCAGCAGCTTCCAAACCTTTTAATTGCACTCCCTATCAGTAAAACATTTTTGAGCATGCATCTCCCCAAATGTTGTGTGTTTAATTATTTATAGTGTATGACTACCACTGTAAATATGTTGTGTATAATATGAAATATGCAAAAGTATAAACGTAAAAGAATGAAGTTTTTAAAAAGCCTTGTCCACACCTTGGGACCTCCCAACCCAATTTGACAATCACGTAAAGATACTTCCTTGTTTTTCAAGAAGGTCGTTGGCATTTCTGGCATCCAGACTCTGGGATGCAGCCTTTCTTAAACATGATCTTTAGAAGATTTTTTTCAACCTTCTGCTTGAGTTTTATAGGCCCCCTTTCTTTTTCTCCCTTTGATTAATGGATTAATTAAAGGGATGTTGACTTTATCCTTGTTTATAAAATAAATCATTCATTAATTTCTCTAGGTTAATTACTATTAGGAATACCACTGATCATTACATACCAGTCTGTGGTTAGAAACCATTATGTAAAAGGAGACTAAGCTCTATATTGCTGTATTTTTAATTAAGCTATTTTAAAATCAGCTATATGCTTTTGATAAAAGGAAATTTAATACAGAAGGATACAATGTAAAAAAAGTCTTTTTCTTTTCTATCTACTGATCTACCCATCTCCATTCCCCACTTCCCAGAAGTAAGCACTGTAAATAATTTCTTGGTTATATTTAAGAAACTTTCTGATCATAATAAAGCACATGATAATATATACCCCCTTCTGTCTTTCCCACAAGTGGAATCCTAATACACATGCTTTTGCCATTTAGTACTGTATATTAGGCACTTTCAATATCCATGGGTATAAAACTACCTCATCCTTTCCATGGCTACACAGCAGTCCTTTGTAAAAATATAAAAATAGTATTTAGCCTGTCCCCATTGATGGACATTTAGATTTTCAGTCATTAGCCATCAAAACACTGCTGTAGTGTTTTGTTATATAACATCCATGTGTATATATGTATATATATACATATATATACGTATATATGTATATATATACGTATATAGACATATACGTATATATACGTATATACACATATATATACATATATACGTATATACACATATATACATATATACATATATACACATATATATACATATATACATATATACATATATATATACACACATGGATTTTTGTTTTGTTATGTAACATCCATACATAACATGTTTTGTTATGTAACATCCATATATATATATATATATATATATATATATATATATATATATAACATCCATGTATATATATCTTAGGGCCCTTGTGTGAACCTGTCTGTGGTATAAACAATATGGAATTATTTGGGGCCATACTAATATGAATCATTTTAGTTTACTTACTGCTTTAAAAAAAAGTACTTACCTAACTATTAACATAGTGCCTTTATCCCTTCATTCTGTTTTCAACCCGAGTAAAGAATATTGGATAATGAGATTATTCAGAAAATAAAATATTTTCTGTGTATCTTCACCCACCAAGAAGCTTTGTCGAACTATGTGACTGGGGAAATTACTTAACATCCCTCTGCCTTAGTTTACTCACCTTAAAACTGGGAATATTGACGGTACTCCCTCTTGCGGTTGTTTTAAGAATAAAGTGAGTTAGGCCGGGCGCAGTGGCTCATGCCTGTAATCCCAGCACTTTGGGAGGCCAAGGCGAGTGGATCACTTGGAGTCAGGAGTTTGAGACCAGCCTGGCCAACATGGTGAAACCCCTGTCTCTACTAAAAATACCAAAAATTAGCCAGTCGTGGCAGCGGGTACCAGTAATCCCAGCTACTGGGGAGGCTCAGGCAGGAGAATCGCTTGAACCCAGGAGGCAGAGATTGTAGTGAGATCGCGCCACTGCACTCCATCCTGGGCGACAATAGTGAAACTCCGTCTCAAAATAAATAACATTAAATAAATAAATAAATAAATAAATAAATAAAGTGAGTTAAATAACGAAAAGTAAGTTATGTGTAAAGATATTGGAGCAGTGTTTGGCAGGTCACGCTGTGTATGTATGTTATAGCTACCACTTACAAATTCATTTAATTAAAATAGTGGCTTCTGCATCATGAAAAATAGTTGTTCATTTTCTAATTGTAAAATTATGTCATAATATCGAATGTGTTATTTCCAGCTATACAGCACTACCCATTAGCCCCTCAACTTGGTTGAAAATCACTTTGAGATTTAAGGAATTAAGGACAGCTACTGAGGCTTAACTAAATAAGCATGAAATAAGTTTGAGGAGTCACCTCAACTGAAACCTAACCACCTTCTCTGTGTTTCTGTGGGAAAATGTGATTTAAATTCCAAAGTAGATGGCATATATGCATATATACACAGGCATGCACTCACTGTCTTCAGTTATTTTGCTTATTTTCCTGTGCATATTGTTCTGTTTTCGGTGGCTAGGGACATGCTTTATAATTCTTTTTATATTTTTATAGTTCCTAGCATAATGCTGAACACCAGGTGGTTGTTATAAGAATAATCATTGATAACAGTGAAGACTTGGAGAAAATAAAACTTACTTAATTCTGAGTGCCACTTCAACACATAAGTGTTAAGGTCCTGTGGCAGGGTTTGTGAAAGCTGTGACCAGCATAGACTGAGGAATTGTTTTATTTGCCTTAGTGTTTTATGGAATCCCTGGCCTTGGCATGAAGCTCTGTGTTTTATTCTTTTCCTTAGTTGCTATTCATTATTTTGGTGCCTTATAAAATAACAGCAAGAACATTGTCCAACAGTCATACATATTCCTTACATGAATTTATGACTATGAATATGACTATTCCCCTTTATTAATCTTTACATATATGTATACATATACATACACGTATACATATGTATATATATACATACACGTATACATATGTATATATACATACACGTGTACATATGTATATATACATACACGTGTACATATGTATATATACATACACGTGTACATATGTATATATACATACACGTGTACATATGTATATATACATACACGTGTACATATGTATATATACATACACGTGTACATATGTATATATACATACACGTGTACATATGTATATATACATACACGTGTACATATGTATATATACATACACGTATACATATGTATATATACATATACATACATAGATTTATGACTATGACTATGAATATTTTCCCCTTTATTAATTTTTATCTATACATTTGCCCATTTCTGTCCTCAGTGAGCCTAATAGAGGGGAGTACCCATCTTTCTTCATTTAGCTTAAGCATGGCTACTTACTGGCTTTCTTGCCCTGTAGTTCCCAACCTTTGAGCTACCAAAAGCCTACAACTGTGGGTGAGATGCCCTTCCATTTACATTTCCAGATTATTCCTTTAATGTCAACAGCTGTAGAGTAGGGGGCATTAGAATGGTCCTTGTTAGTCTTCATTTTAAGATGAGGAAACTGACGCTTTAAGGTGACTTACTCACTATGATGCAGCTTCTTATTGAGCCAGGACGGAAAACTCAGTTCCTTGGCTTCCAGTTTGGTGCTCTTCCCACTATGTCACCTGCTTTCCTGTGGATCTCTGAGACTGTTGAATCAATCTATGAGAGACTCCTTTTGTCCTGCCTGAACAGTACATCTCTAGCACTCTCTCAGATTTTTATCTCATTTAAATATTAGTCTTTCCTTTCTTAAAATGTACATATTTTTAAATGGTTATGTGAGAAAAGTAATCTATTTTTCCTTTAAATAGCTTTTTGTTTTATTCTATCAATCTTTTTAATTTTTTTTTTTTTTTTTTTGAGACAAGGTCTTGTTCTGTTGCCCAGGCTGGAGTGCAGTGGTGTGATCATAGCTGACTGCACTCTCAAACTCCTGGGCTCAAGTGATCCTCCTGCCTCAGCCTCCCGAATATCTGGGACTGCAGGCATATGCCAGTATGCCCAGCTAATTAAATTTTTTTTTTTTTTTTTTTTTTTGTAGAGACAGTCTCACTATGTTGCTCAGGCTGGTCTTGAACTCTTGAGCTCAAGCCATCCTCTCACCTCAGCCTTCTAAGGTGCTGGGATTACAGGCGTGAGCCACCCTGCCTGACTGCTATTGTATTATATATTTAACTGAGGGACCTTGAAATGTCTTAATTTCTGAGTGTCAGTTTCCCTCTATAAAATGGGGATGATGATAATACTTATCTTACAGATTTTGTTAAGATTAAAGAGTATATAAAGTGGTACAGTCACTTTGCATTTAAATTAAATGTTTCTCAATTGTTGCCATTAATATTATCATTATTATCCTGTGTTCATGTGTATGTGTTCCTCATTTGCTATGATATTCAATGATATTCAGTAGGATGCTGATGGGCACGCTCCTTTCTAGGGAGGGTCAATCAGAAACTCATGTGGTAGTGGTATGGGTTTCCATAATGGATTTCATAATAATTAATGATATTTGAATTACTAGAATAAATCCACTTGGTGATAATATTTTTCAGTATCTAGTCAGATTTAGTTTGCTAATATTTTATTTAATATTCTAATTAAAATTTATTAGAATGTTGTCATCAGTATTCATAGGGAGATGGTTTGTAATTTTTCATTTTCTTTTTCTATGTTTTGGAGCAATATAAACAGCAACTTCTGTAGCACTTAGATTATCTCATTTTTGACAATTTGGTAAAGTTTTCTAATAGCAACTATTTCTGGTGTTTTAGCATTGGTGACTTATTTTATAATTTTTCCATGGAAATATGTGTATTTATAATTTGTATTCCTAGAGGTATTAATTTTGATTAACTGTATTTTTTTTATTATACTTTAAGTTCTAGGGTACATGTGCACAACGTGCAGGTTTGTTACATAGGTATATATGTGCCATGTTGGTTTCCTGCACCCATCAACTCGTCATTTACATTAGGTATTTCTCCTAATGCTATCCCTTCCCCAGCCCCCAACCTCCAACAGGTCCCAGTGTGTTATGTTCCCTGCCCTGTGTCCAAGTGTTCTCATTGTTCAATTCCCACCTATGAGTGAGAACATGCGGTGTTTGATTTCTGTCCTTGTGATAGTTTGGCGAGAATGATGGTTTCCAGCTTCATCCATGTCCCTGCCAAGGACATTAACTCATCCTTTTTTATGGCTGCATAGTATTCCATGGTGTATATGTGCCACATTTTCTTAATCCAGTCTGTCATTGATGGACATTTGGATTGGTTCCAAGTCTTTGCTATTGTGAATAGTGCTGCAGTAAACATACATGTGTATATGTCTTTATAGTAGCATGATTTATAATCCTTTGGGTATATACCCAGTAATGGGATCACTGGGTCAAATGGTATTTCTAGTTCTGATCCTTGAGGAATTGCCACACTGTCTTCCACAATGGTTGAACTAATTTACACTACCACCAATAGTGTAAAAGCATTCCTATTTTTCCACAACCTCTCCAGCACCTGTTGTTTCCTGACTTTTTAATGATTGCCATTCTAACTGGTGTGAGATGGTATCTCATTGTAGTTTGGATTTGCATTTCTCTGATGACCAGTGATGGTGAGCATTTTTCCATGTGTCTGTTGGCTTCATAAATGTCTTCTTTTGAGAAGTGTCTGTTCATATCCTTTGCCCACTTTTTGATGGTGTTATTTTTTTTCTTGTAAATTTGTTTAAGTTCTTTGTAGGTTCTGGATGTTAGCCCTTTGTCAGATGGGTAGTTTGCAAAAATTTTATCCCATTCTGTAGGTTGCCTGTTCACTCTGATGGTAGTTTCTTTTGCTGTGCAGAAGCTCTTTAGTTTAATTAGATCCCATTTGTCTATTTTGGCTTTTTTTGCCATTGCTTTTGGTGTTTTAGTCATGAAGTCTTTGCCCATGCCTATGTCCTGAATGGTATTGCCTAGGTTTTCTTCTAGGGTTTTTTATGGTTTTAGGTCTAACATTTAAGTCTTTAATCCATCTTGAATTAATTTTTGTATAAGGTGCAAGGAAGGGATCCAGTTTCACCTTTCTACGTATGGCTAGCCAGTTTTCCCAGCACCATTTATTAAATAGGGAATCCTTTCCCCATTTCTTGTTTTTGTCAGGTTTGTCAAAGATTAGATGGTTGTAGATGTGTGGTGTTATTTCTGAGGGCTCTGTTCTGTTCCATTGGTCTATGTATGTGTTTTGGTACCAGTACCATGCTGTTTTGCTTACTGTCGCCTTGTAGTATAGTTTGAAGTCAGGTAGCGTGATGCCTCCAGCTTTGTTCTTTTTGCTTAAGATTGTCTTGGCTATGCAGGCTCTTTTTTGGTTCCATATGAACTTTAAAGTAGTTTTTTCCAATTTTGTGAAGAAAGTCATTGGTAGCTTGATGGGGATGGCATTGAATCTATAAATTACCTTGGACAGTATGGCCCAGTGTGCTGTAATTCTTATTCATACATATTCAAATTATCCTTTTAGCCAATGGGAACCTGTGTCCTTTGAAAGCTTCCTATCTTGTATGACAAGATGTTTCAGGATCATTTTGTACATTTCCACTTTAGAAATGGAATTAGCCATTTCTCTAAGAAAACCTTCTTTTAAAAACTTTTTTAAAAATGGGAAAGAGTATTTCAAGACCCCAATCTAGGCACTAGAGATATTCATTGCTTCTCAGTTTGTCATTACTTTTAAGCCTTTTTGGTGGACAGAGCTAGGAAAATATGTGAACAAATATAAAATACTGAATTGTCATTTCACACTGAGTGTTCCTATTCAGATTCAAAGATTAGTTTGTATTTCGGGGTTCTTAATTTCTTCTGTATTACATCTGTATCTTCTTTTCATAACTGAAAATACAGAATTAGTGTATCCATAATTATCATTTGCTTTAATTCTACATTTCACATATAGTAATCTAGGAGTGATGATACGAATATCACCACCACAACCACTTTAGACGAGATCGGGTGTGTTCAGGATGGTATGGCCGTAGACAACAACCACTTTTAATTATTGAAAACTGTTTAAAAATATTTTTTATTTTTTGCATATGCTATTCACATTCTTCCCGATTTTTTTTCATGGTTGTCCTATATATTGTCAGAGCATATAATCATTACATACTATGCTGTCTCTCCTCCAGTCTTTACTTAGTCTTAATTCTGTTAGTAACCGTATATTTAATGCTCACCACTAGTTCTTATAATGATGTTTCTTTAGTCATTTGGATTGCCTCAAGTTTTGCCTCTAGTAAATTCTTTAGGAAAGGCTTAAGGGAATATTCATATTTCATGAATTTTCTTGCTCGTTCATAACATTTTGTCTGTGTTTTTTATATCTAAAGTTTGTGTTTGCCAGAAATAGAATCCTTGGCTCACTTTTTCTTTTCTTGAATATCTTAAATTTGTAACTCATTTTTTTTTTCTGGCAAAAACATTGCTGTTGAAAAATCTAGTGCTTTTTTTTCTTTATCTTACTGGTCATATGATCTTTTAGCCTAAAGCCTAAAGGATTTTTTTAAGTCCAGTAATTTTACTAGAGTGTTTTGTTGGTCATTCTGAGTTGACATTCTGAGGTACATTGTGGGCTCTTTCAAGATGTAGTTTCAAATCTTTTTAAAAAAAATTTTCAAATAAATATTCTTGGATTATGGTTTTTCATATTTGTGCTGTTTCTTTGCTTTGCTTTTCTTCTTCAGGGAATCCTGTTATTCACATTACTTATCTTCAATATTTATCTGTTTCTCGCAAATCCTATGTAACTCTTAATTTCTTACATTTTTTAAAAATAAACAAATTATTAGGAATTATTTCAGATCACTACAGAAAGTTTACTACAGAAAATTTGCAAAGATAGTGCAGAAGTCTGGTGTATCCTTTGCTTAGTATTCCCTAAGATTAACATGTGACATTAGCAGTGTACAAAATTAAGAAACCAACATTGGTACATTAATATTAACTGAACTCCAGACGTTGTTCACATTTCACCAGTTTCTCCATTAATGTCCATTTTCTGTTCCAGGATTCAATTCAGGATATCATGTTGCATTTAGTTCATTTCTTTTTCATTTGTTTTTTAAATATGAAGACAATTGTAGAGTCACATGCAGTTGTAGGAAATAATCAGAGCTCTTTTATACACTTTGTTGTTTCTTCCAGTGGTAACATTTTGCAAAACTAATACATAATATCACAATTAGGATATTGAGATAGATATATTCCCCAGTTTTACTTGTATATTCATTTGTATATGTATGTATGTGTATCATTAAGTTTTGCAGTGTTATATCACCTGTGTAGGTTCCTGTATCCACTGCCACAGTCAAGATATTGAACAGCTGCAACACCACAAGGATCCCTTGTGTTGCCTTGTTATGACCACAGTCACTTCCCACCCCAACCCCTCTCTAACCACTGGTAATCACTCATCTTTCCTCCATTTCTAAAATTTTGTCATTTCAAAAATGTTATAGAAGTATGGAATTGTATAATATGTAACCTTTTGGGACTGGCTTTTTTTCATTCAATGTAATTTTCTGGAGATCCATCTAAGTTGTTGGGTCCATCAGTAGTTCGTTGCTTTTTATTTCTGAGAAGTATGTGATGGGATGTATGTACCAGTTTGTTTAACCATTTGCCTGTATATATCAGTTTGCTTAACCGTCTATTAATAGAAATAAAGCTGCTATGAATGTTTATATACAGCAGGTTCTCTTGTGAACTTAAGTTTTCTTTTCTCTAAGATAAATGCTGGGGAGTGGAATTGAGGGTCATAAGGTAGTTGCATATCTAGTTTTTTAGGTCATTTCTTTTTGATTTTTAAAATTATCCTTCATTTCAACTTTGCTTTTTTTTAATGACATGGTTTGTTATATTTACTCATTTTCTTGTTCCTTCTAGTTTCATCTTCATTTCCAAAATGATTTTTTAAATTTTTCAGTCACTTCTTGTTTTCACTTTATTTCTGGGTTTTTCTATTTCTGATGTTTATTTTTTCACATCTTATGTCATTTTTAATGCCTTTTAGTTCCTTCAGTAGATTTAAGTGGTTATAGTTTTGAACTGTTTTTTTGAGCATGGCTCTCTGACGTGCTTCCATTTTCTGTCGGGATGTTATCATGATCGTTTTCCTCCTTTTTTTTCTTCTAGTAATGTATCTGAATTGTGAGACTTTTCAGTTGCTCTTTTTTTCTTTTTTGTGACAGGGTCTTACTCTATCACCCAGGCTGGAGTGTAGGGGTGTGATTATGGCTCACTGCAGCCTCCACCTCTTGGGCTCAAGCAGTCTTCCCACGTCAGCCACCTGAATAGCTGGACCTACATGCATGTGCCACCATGCCTGGCTGACTTTTTAAAAAAATTTTGTAGAGATGGGATCTTGCTATGTTGCTCAGGCTAGTCTTGAACTCCTAGGCTCAAGTGATCCTCCCACCTCAGCCTCCCAAAGTGCTAGGATTACAGGATGAGCTAGCACGCCTGGCCTCAGTAGTTCATTTTTAATATGAATTTAGTGTTGCTGAACTTTTAGAAAGAGATTTTATACAGCTTTTCTAACTTGATAAGGTTTCCTCTTGTGCTATTTTCAGACATTGTTCAACTATATGGCAGCTGGATTTCTCGGATTTCCTGCCTTTCTTTCCTTGCCACTTTCACCTGCTCTTTATCTGGACCTCCTCTTTCCTTAGTCACTTAATTTTAATTCTCCTCTCAGCAGATTCTCCTCAGTGTGGGACCCTATCCTGGAAGAGAGCCCCAACTCTTCAGTTCTGAGAATTAATAAAGGTCCAGACTGCCTCAGCTCTTTCAGCCCTCGTAGGCCCCTGGCAGGTACCTGTTATTGGAATGGGAAGACCCCTCCTTGTATCAACTACTGTTCTGTAATTGGCTTGGCGCATTTGCCAGTGAATGCCCACTGGCTCTTTTGAGGTCCTCTTGGTGTTGTACTCCTCTGGCTTCCCTCAATTTCCTCCCAGTTGAACACCAGTGACACCCAGATCTTTTGACTATTGGCGGTTTGTCTATATCCACGTTTATTTTGGGGTTTGTAGGAAACTTTGTTAAGTAGTTTTTTGGTAAAGGCTGTCCATGGATCTTTTGTTACCTAGTTGCTTTGTCTGTTTTTATGTGGGAATAAAGGAAGATACAAAATCCATGGGGCCCCTTGCTACTCCCATCTTCTCAGAATCCCATCAGTTGGTTATTTTGTTTTCTTTGTTCCAAAGTGGTCTGAAAAATCTGAAGATAAAGTGATTCTGTTTGATAAGTTAGGTTCCATTATGATTTTCTTTGATTAGCAGAAATCTATATGTTTAAGAAACTCTTTAGTGATGGTATTCATTTCCTTCATTAAAAGTTAACCAAAGAAAATATGATCTCTAAAGTTGAAAAGAAAGTTTAGAATCTGTATACTGCTGAATTGTGATTTTTTAATCCTGACTATAGCTGTGGTTCTCATATCTTGAATAAATAGTTATATATGGCCCTATGTACTCATGTATGACACTGTGTTGCCCTTCCAGTATTTAGATATGAAGTTATATATGATCCTGCGCTGCCTTCCTAGGGAACAGTTCACTTTTTCTATTTCTGTCTCACGTATCTTTTCCAAGTGATGTGCTACTTAGATTACCCAAGACAATCTATTAAAAAAACAGGTATCTCTCATCACTTCTTTCTTAAGAACCATGGCTGCCCTAAACACTATTATTATCCCCAGTAGAAGAAAACTGTAGCAGAGCCTAGTTTCATTTAAGTGTTTATTTTGTACAATAGTTTTTATATTTCTTCTTGCTGAGGTTTTTTTTTTTTTTTGAGACGCGGTCTTGCTCTGTTGCCCAGGCTGGAGTGCAGTGGTGCGAATCTTGGCTCACTGCAACCTCCACCTCTCAGGTTCAAGTGATTCGTCTGCCTCAGCCTCCTGAGTAGCTGGGATTACAGGCACGTGCCACCACACCCGGCTAATTTTTGTATTTTTAGTAGAGACGGGATTTCACCATGTTGGTCAGACTGGTCTCAAACTCCTGACCTCGTGATCCACCCGCCTCAGCCTCCCAAAGTGCTGGGATTACAGGCATGAGCCACCACGCCCGGCCCCTGCTGAGGGTTTTAAAAGCCAAATAACATTTTATCACAAAATGTAAAATTAGGCATAATCACGTAAACTAATGCTATGCATAGTCCAGTTCTATTTTGATTTTTCCTATCAAAGCATTAATATGCTTCTCATTTTCATGGACTTTATGGACTAGCAGTTGACACTGATCTGAATATGTAGCCTACACAGTGGTTATAAAAGTAAATTGATTTTGGAATAACCTTAGATTTACATACAACTTGGGAAGATTAGACAGACAGTTATTGTATACACAAAGCATCCTCTAATGTTAGCATTTTACACAACCATGGTAGCTTTTTCAAAACAGAGAACATAGGTGCAATGCCATAAACTAAACTATAGGTAGACTTCATTCAGATTTCACCATTTTTTCCAGTAATGTCCTTATTGTGTTTCAGAACCTAATCCAGGATACTGCCTTGCGTTTATTTATTTATTTATTTAGAGGCAGGGTCTCACTCTGGCACCCAGGCTGGAGTGCAGTGGTGCGATCTCAGCTCACTGCAACCTCTGTCTCCCAGGTTCAAGTGATTCTCCCATCTCAGACTACCCAATAGCTGGGACTACAGGTGCATGCCACCACACCCGGCTAATTTTTGTATTTTTTAGTAGAGACGGAGTTTCACCATGTTGGCCAGGCTGGTCTCGAACTACTGACCTCAAGTGATCTGCCTGCCTCGGCCTCCCAAAGTGCCAGGATTACAGGCGTGAGACACTGTGCCCGGCCTACTTTGCATTTAATCAGCATGTCTCCTTGTCTTCTCTAATCTGTGACTGTTTCTTAGTTTTTTGTTGTTTTTCATTACTTTGACAGTTTTGAAGAGTATTGGTCAGGTATTTTTAGAATGTCCCTGAATCTAGGTTTTCCCAGTGTTTTCTCATGATTAGACTGGGCTTACGGGTTTTGCAGAAGAATACCCCAGAGGTAAAGTACCCTTCTCATCACATTATATCAGGGGTTACATGATATTACGATGACTTATCACTGGTGATGTTAATCTTGATCACTTGGTTGAGGTGGTGGTTGCCAAGTCTCACCACTCTGATGTTGCTGTTTTTCTTTTTTCATATTCTATTCTTTGGAAGTGAGTCACTAGGTCCAGCCTATACTGAAGGAGAGGGAATTAAGCTCCATTTTTAGAGGGGGACGTATCTACATAAATTATTTGGAATTCTTTTGTAAGGAAGATTTGTCTCTACCATTAATTTATTTAATGATTTATTTATATCAGTATTGACTGATGGGTATTTAATTTTTTATTTGGGTTATAATCCATATAATCCAATATTATTGTTATTTATTCTGTGACTCAAATTATTCTAGCCTTGATCATTGGGAGCTCCTTCAGATTGGCTCCTGGTCACATACCCCATTTTTTTTCTTTTTCTTTTTTGAACACTTCCTTACTTTCTGGCTCTCTGCCCCAACCCTAGATAGGCAGCCATTTCTCCAAGGAGCCCTAGTTCCTTTTATTGGAGATTGGCAATTTAGAAATCGAGATCTGGATGCGCTCATTGCTACTGAGGTGTTACTGTTTCTAGGACTTTTCAGTGGACACGGCTAGAATATATATTTCTCTGTAATAACTGATTATTTATAATGCATACATATCTATACTTATTTCTGCATTTATCTATTTACATATATATTAAAATAAACATGAGTTCATACTGATATCTCTGACTCTAATCCAGTACCATGGGGTTTATCCTAGCTTTCTTGCCTTATTTGTAACTTCTTTCACTGACAGTAAAAAACCTGAATCTCATTATCTACAATTTACTTACTCATTTAACCCTAGTGTACAATGAAGTAGTTTCAGAATTGCTAACCCATACCACTGTGAGAAAGAAATTTACCAAGCAGAGTACAGTGTTTATGTCAGTTCTTTTTGTCTTTATCCTTATAGTACCCAGTCAAAACACCATTTTTGTTTCTTAGGTTAGCCCCATCTCCTTCAGTGAGGTTATATCATATATTTATAATATAGTTAGATCTATTTGTCACAGTCTGCATTCCATTTTTGGAACTCCTGACATCCTGGCTGAGGTTTTAAAAAAATTGTATACAATTATGTTTGCTCTTTGGAATGTACAGTTCAGTGAGTTTTGACAAATGCATATGGTTATGAATTTACTACTTCAAGATCATACAGAACAGTTCCTTCACCTTAAAAATTCCCTTGTGTTGCTCTTTTATATTCAGCCACATCTCCTTCCCTCAAGCCCTGACAACTATATTTGTGTGGGTTAATTTCTGGACTTGTTCAAAATGTTATATAAATAGAATAATATGATGTATATCTTTTAATGTTTAGCTTATTCCATGTAGCAAAAGGCATTTTAGGTTTAAGTATTGTGTTGTGTGAATCAATTGTTCATTCTTTTGCTGAGTAGTATTCCATTGTTTGGATGTGCTACAGTTTGTTATTCATTCACTTGTTGAGGGATATCTTGGCTATTTTCAGAATCTGTGATTATGAGTAAACCTACTATAAACTTGGTTAGATGCCTAGGAGTGGGATTGGTAAATGTACGTTTAACTTTTAAAGAAACTGTCAAACAGTTTTCCGAAGTAGCTGTGCCATTTTGTATTCTAATCTGCAGGCATTGAAAGTTCCTGTTGCTCTATATCCCTGCCAGCATTAAAAAATACATATTTTAGCAATTCTAATAGGTAGATAGTGGTATTTCATTTTGCTTTTAATGAGTATTTTCCTAATGCCAGATTAACTTAAGCATCTTTTCATATATTTATTTACCATCCATCTATCTTCTTTGGTGAAGTATCTATTCACATCTCTTGCACATTTCTTTATCAGGTGTGTTACTTTATTGATGTTGAGTTTTAAGATATTTTTATTGTTTTAGATTCTGGATACAAGTTATTTACTGGATATGCTATTTGTAAATATTTTCTCCTAATCTATGACTTGTTTTTTTTTTTTTTTTTTTCCCGAGACAGAGTCTTGCTCTGTTGCCTAGACTGGAGTGCAGTGGCATGATCTCAGCTCACTGCAATCCATGCCTTCCAGGTTCAACCGATTCTTGTGCCTCAGCCTCCTGAGTAGCTGGGACTACAGGCATGCGCCATCATGCCCAGCTTATTTTTGTATTTTTAGTAGAGGTGGGGTTTTGCCATGTTGGCCAGGCTGGTGTTGAACTCCTGGCCTCAACTGATCTGCTTGCCTCAGCCTCCCAAAGTGCTGGGATTACAGGTGTGAGCCACCACGCCTGGCTTCAGTGACTTGTCTTTTCATTTTCTTAACCTTGTCTTCACAGAGCAAAAGTTGTATGTTTTGATAAATTTTTAATCAATATTTTTTATAATATATTGTGCTTTTTTGGTGTCTAAAAGCTCATTGCCAAATTCAGCGTCACAAAAATGTTCTCCTATGTTTATTTCTAAAACCTTTACAATTTAAGTTTAGGTCTCTGATCCATTTTGAGATATGCTTTGTATAAGGTGTGAGTTGTATGTCAAGGTTCACTCTTTTTCAGATGTCCAATTGTTCCACAACCATTTATTGAAAAGATTGTCCTTTCTCAACTTAATTGCATTTGTACCTTTGTTAAAAATCAGTTGACTCGATTTGTATGTGTCTATTTCTAGGCTCTCCATTTTGTTCCATTTATCTGTGTGTCTATGCTTTCACCAGTGCTGCCCTGTCTTGTAATTGTAGTGAGTAATTTCCACACTCCTTGCCTTTTCATATGTTTTAGAGTCAGCTTTTTGATGTTTACTAAAAGCTTGCTGGGATTAAGTTTGGAATTGCACTAATTTTATAGGTCAAAATGGGGAGAATTGATACTTTAACATTATAGAGTTCAAATACATGTATATGTTTTATTTCTACATTTATTTAGATTTTTTATGTCTTCCTCGGGTTTTCAATAGTTTTCAGCATTCAGCAAATTCTGCATATATTTTGTTAGCTGTTTACCCAAGTCCTGCTCTGTTTATTCAGTGCTGTTGTAAATGGTATTCTTATTGGTTTCAAATTCCTCTTGTTCATTGTAATGGGAATGCAGTTGACTTTTTTTTTTTTTTTTTTTTTTTGAGACGGAGCAATCTAGGCTCACTGCAAGCTCCACCTCCTGGGTTCACGCCATTCTCCTGCCTCAGCCTCCAGAGTAGCTGGGACTACAGGCACCCACAACCACACCCGGCTAATTTTTTGTATTTTTAGTAGAGTTGGAGTTTCACAGTGTTAGCCAAGATGGTGTCGATCTCCTGACCTCGTGATCCGCCCGCCCTGGCCTCCCAAAGTGCTGGGATTACAGGCGTGAGCTACCGCACCTGGCCTGCAGTTGACTTTTATATAGTGACTTTGTATCCTGCAACCTTGCTGAATTCACTTATTCTAGGAGTTGTTTTTTAAGGAAAGTCTACATGGACAATCATTTTGCTAGTTGAGACAGTTTTATTTCTTCCTTTCCAATTTGTATTTCTTTTCTTTTTCTTGCTTGTTGCATTGGCTGGGACTTCCAGTATAGTGTTAGATAGAAGTAGTAAGAGACATCTTTGCCTTGTTTCTCATATGGTGAGAACATTCAGTTTCTCACCATTAATTATGATGTTGGCTGTAAGTTTTTTAAAGATGCCCTTTATTAGGTTGAGGAAATTCACTTCTTAGTTTGCTGAGAATGAATTATTCTTATTGTGAATTCATAATCATGAATAGATATTGAAATGTGTCAAATGCTTTTTCTCAATCTATTGACATTATGTGGTTTTCCTTATTTAGTCTGTTAATATGGTGAATTACATTGATTTTCATATTTTGAATTAGCATTACATTTCTTGAACCCCACTTGGTTGTGATGTATTATCTTTTTATATATTACTGGATTTAATTAGCTAATATTTTATGGACTATTTGAATATTTTGTTGACTGTGACCATGAGGAACATTGGTCTTTAGTTTTCTTGTAATATCTTTGTCTGCTTTTAGTATTAGGGCAATGCTAGTCTGGTAAAATAAGTTAGAAGGTGTTCCTTCCTTTTCTATCTTCTGGCATAGATTATATAAAATTGGTATTATTCCTTAAATGTTTCTTGTTACCTACTAATGAAGCCACCTTGATCTGGAGTTTTCTTTTTTTAGAAGGTTTTTAATGTATGAATTCAATTTCATATTTATATGTGTGTATATATATGTGTGTGTGTGTCTGTACACACACATGCACCCACACATATCTACTCATTTATATTCAGGTTCTCTATTTCTTCTTGAGCTTTTGGTAGCTTGAATCTTTCAGTGAACTGACCCATTTTATCTACATGGATGAACTTAAAAGTATAGGGCTATTTGTAGTGTTTATTATCTTTTAATGTATGTTAGATCATTAATGATGTTTCCTCTTTCATTTATGATGCCAGTAATTTGTGTCTTCTCTGTTTTTTTCTTGGTCATCTTGACTAGAGTTTTATCAATTTTATTGATCTTTTCAGATAATCAACTTTTGGTTTTATTGATATTCTCTATTTTTCTATTTTTATTAATTTCTACTCTGATTTTTATTTTTATTTTTCTGCTTACACTGGCTGTAATTTGTTCTTCTTTTTCTAATTTTCTATAGAAGAATCATAGGTTACTGATTTCTGTCCTTCCTCCTTTTCTAATATATGCATTTAATGCTGTACATTTTGAACAAAGTTTATATTTAAATTTTAGCAAAGCCACATGGTTTATCAAGAAAGCTTTCTGAAAGAATGGGGTTCATGGGGCACATAAAAAGAAAAATGTTGCAGTATCATGGAGTTTATTTGAACAAGTGGGAGAGAATAACAGTCTGACAGAGGAAGAAAGAATAAGACATTCATGTTTGGGCATGTGCCTGTAGTCTCAGCTACTCGAAAGGCTGAGGTGGCAGGATCGCTTGAGCCCAGAAAGCAGAGGTTGCAGTGGGCTGAGATTGCGTCCCTGTACTCCAGCCTGCGTGACAGAGCAAGACCCTGTCTCAAAAAAAAAAAAAGAAAAAGAAAAAAGAAATTCATGTTTGTAAGTGAAACTACTATGAAAGAAGGGCATTAAAGATAAAAACTACCTTTAAGGTGTATTTAACAATTATAGATTGGTATTTAACATTGTATTAATGTTTAACGATTAGGTACTTACATTTTATTTTAGAAATGGTGTTAGTGATGGTGATAACCTCTGTACAATTGCCACTGAAAAGAACAGCGTGTGACTACACTGGAAGTACTCAAATGCCTTTTTGAAGACATCATTGTGCTGCAGACTGTGTCTAATACAAATCACCTGTACAGTATTCTTTTTTCATTCACGGATGATATGGTTATCAATATAGGAGAAGCCTATGTTCATTTTGCTGATTCTTAGGTTTTTTCCCCCCTTCTTTTCCTACAGAAATGCTGAGCCGATTATCAGGATTAGCAAATGTTGTTTTGCATGAATTATCAGGAGATGATGACACTGATCAGAATATGAGGGCTCCCCTAGACCCTGTGAGTAGTTCTGTTCTGATTTAAACTGGTAAGACATATGTTCTGTGTTCTTCTAAGGAAAATAATTTAAGATAGAAGGGTGTGCGAAGCCTCCCTGGTACTAGGTGAAGCGAGGATTAAGAAAAATATTGAAATTTTATAAGTGATCCTTCTCTTGTAAGTTTTTAGCTTAAAAGCCACAGTGATGGGAAACAAGTCCTGGATACAATTTGAAAGGGCTTTCTCATTTGTCTCCCTGGGCCTTGTTTGGTGCCAGAGTGTTTTAAGTCCTTTGTTCTCATCCTTGGCTATTCCTTTTCCACAGGAAAGGTCTAAGTGACAAATGAGGAAACTGGAACACCTTTTGGGTTTCAGAATATCTGTTTGCTTTGTAATTTCATTTACCACTTCTCCTATAGTTTGTATTGTATTTTCTTTTTTTTTTAAGATGATACAAATTGGCAGTATGTATTATATTTTCTGAAGTCCACATAAGGAATTAATAAAACTTCTTAGTTTTCTGAAAAGACAAGAAGTAATGCGTAGTGGTTAAGAGAGTTTTACTTAACTACTCTTAATTTTAACTTTTGGCCTTTTACCCTTACTGGTTTATGATTTTTGCTTTCCTTTATTTTTCTCTTTGGTAAAATTAGGATAATAATACCTTAAATGGGATAATGTTTGTAAAATGCTTAACATTTATAAAATACTTAATATATTGTAATGGCTATGATAATGATTATTATTGGATCAGAGTTAGATTCTTAAGTTAACAAGAATATGAATTGGGCAAAACATAAAAAGTTGGAATGAAGAAACTCCTGTTGGGAAGCTAATACCTTTTCCTGGTGCACTGGCAACTTTTTTCCTAAATATTAGGAATTACACCAAGAATCTGACATGGAATTTAATAATACTACACAAGAAGATGTTCAGGAGCGCCTGGCTTATGCAGAGCAATTGGTGGTGGAGCTAAAAGATATTATTAGACAGAAGGATGTTCAACTGCAGCAGAAAGATGAAGCTCTACAGGTACTATTGTTTTTATCCTTTCTTGTGGAGCATTTGATAAAGGACAGATGATACACTACTCACTTTAATTTTTGTCTCCACTTAGATTATTAGGGAATCTGATTATCTCCCTAGTACTGTAACCTTATGCCTACTGAAAATAACTTTTGGGTCGGTGTGGTAGCTCACACCTGTAATCCCAGCATTTTGGGAGGCTGAGATGGGAGGATTTCTTGAGGCCAGGAGTTCGAGATCAGCCTGGGCAACATAGTGAGACCCTGTCTCCACAAAAAAAAATTTAAAAAAAATTAGCTGGGCATGGTATTGGGCACCTGTAGTCCCAGCTACTCTGGAGGCTGAGATAGGATCGCTTGAGCCTGGGAGTTAGAGGCTGCAGTGAGTTGTGATTGTGCCACTGCACTCCAGCCCTGGTAACAGAGAGATACCCTGTCTCTGAAAGTAATAATAATAAAAATAACTTTTAGTATGTGCTAGATAAGAGGGGAATAAACATTTATGTATTTACCATCATTGTTTTTGGGCAGGAAGAGAGAAAAGCTGCTGATAACAAAATTAAAAAACTAAAACTTCATGCGAAGGCCAAATTAACTTCTTTGAATAAATACATAGAAGAAATGAAAGCACAAGGAGGGACTGTTCTGCCTACAGAACCTCAGTCAGAGGAGCAACTTTCCAAGGTATGGTGACTGGGTGTAGTGTATATTTCCTAAGTTGAAAAAACCTACCAATACAGCAGATCTTCACCAATCACAAACATTTAGGATGCTAAAATGATACAGCACTAAATAATGTTTTGTTTTTTTTTTTCTTATAGAGCTTGTAGTTCAGCTGGACTGTAGGCCACACACAGGGAGAATGAAAGATGTACAGAAAACATGGATATGAAATGCCAGTTGTGACCTGGACTTTCAGGGATTAAAAAAGGCTTACAGGAAGAAATAAGTACTGAAGTGAGGCATTTAGAGAGGAGGGAAACATACCTTTTGGAGGAGTTTCATCATTGATTAGAAGATTAAACTAGATTATCTCTAAGGTTTCTTCCAGCTCTGAAACTTTTTAATTCAATGACTTAACACAGAATATTCTGTGTCCTCATATATAGTCACATAGTGGTGGATTAAAGCTTCATGCATGTGGGCTGAATCAGCTGAATTACCTGGGACTCTCTAAAAGGGAGGCTCACTAGGTTTATGACTGCAGCCAACAAAGCAGTTTAAGGTTGGAGATACAGAGGAGGAATAAGGAAAGTACTGCCCTGTGAGGAATATTGTCCCAGTACTCAAATTTTCATTATCTTTCCTGTATGGTTAAACTCCACATATTCACATTCAGTCAGCTATTTAGAGAACAAGAAACTTCAGTTTTGTGGAGAGTTTGATACAGATTATATGGAGGCAGGCATATCACATGCATACTGTAGTTATAGAGTGAGCCTAGACTTCACCGTGTGTAAGAAATCTTTTTATTTTTTTAGTTTCATTTTGTTTTGCTTTGACCTGCTAGTATCCTTAGTTCTTGGGAAATGAGATTTTAATCAGTTTTCTAGGCACAACCTTTGGGATCGCTAGTTAGTGACCCAGTTCCTGCTTAGTCTTTCCTCTCAGGGCCTAATGATCAGAGAACATTACTTTCCCTGAATTGATAATCTTATTTAACTTCTTGAAGCCTATTTTAAAAGCTTTTCTCAATCTTCTCAAATAATTTCACCTTGATCCTTCTTTTCCTTTTGGTTTTTCCTCTGTCAGTTCTCTTCCCCTCACTGTGGTAGCACCAACCTCTCTCCTCATATTGCTTTGTTCCCTCCAGCTTCTCCTCAGCTATGATGTCAGATTTTTAAATTATCCATTTTATACTCTGCTTTTTAATTTCATTTTTAGCTCTGAGACCTTAAAGCAGTAATGTCTTAGAGTTCATTTTCTTTCTCTGTTAAAGAAATGATTTCTAAGTTTCAGCAATCAGTCATAGCAACCCTTTAACTATTATATACTCAATACAGAGCTAGGTATTCTGTGGAAAGTATAGTTGAAGAAATGACAACAGTCCTCAGGTGCTTGACTGACTTATGTGAAAGTATAAAAGTATTCTTTGTAATTCCAGTAAGCAGAAATAGCTTTGTTTAGGGGGTTGGGAGGGACTAAATTTACAAAGAGGCAGAATCTCAGTCTAAGGGAGAGCTTTTGGAAAAAAAAATAGATTATTGAAAAAATTGGATTTCCCCTCACTGGCTCTTTTCTGATGTGTTGCTTCTCACTTAGCAACAGCTATAGTTTCCTGAGCTCTCTCCTTGATTCTTCAAGGCAACAAGACTTCGGGTTTTCTATTAAGGTTTAGTCCTGCATGGCACTGACTGGTTTTGCCCTCAGAATAAAAGCTGTCAAAATGGGAAACTCGGTACCATTTCTTCCAATTATCACATCCCCTCCAGTATCTTCCTGCTTTTGGTTGCTCTCCAGTATTTTCAGATAGCTGTTTTCTATATTGTCCACAGTTTTGGGTTCACATGCTTGGTGTGAGGGAAAAAAAAAAAAAAAAAAAAAAAAAAAATATATATATATATATATATATATATATGTGTGTGTGTGTATGTATTTCACAGTTTATAGCTATTATGTGAGGGAGGGTAGGTCTAACAGGAACTGCTTGGCCATACAAAAACTGGACAACCCTAAGATTTCTTATTTGTTAGATCAGCTGGTTTTTCTTGCTCCCATCAGTTTAATAAAATTATAACTAAATGGTTGTAAATGAAAAATTAGAAGAAAATATCAAATATATATTAATTGTAATTCTTTTAAATAATGACTTTATCTCCTGCATTTTCAGCATGACAAGAGTTCTACAGAGGAAGAGATGGAAATAGAAAAGATAAAACATAAGCTCCAGGAGAAGGAGGAACTAATCAGCACTTTGCAAGCCCAGCTTACTCAGGCACAGGCAGAACAACCTGCACAGGTAGGGGTGGAAGTTACTTCATAATCATTAGGTTAATGAATCACTAAAACCAATGGATTATTATGTGACAAATACATTTTTCTAGATGCACAATGGGCATTTATCTATGTATATATCAGTCTCCTTCTTTTCTTCATTTCTTCTTGTCTGGTAATTTTATTAGAATATGCATTGGTGTTTGTCATTTTTAGTTGTTATTCATAGATACCCAGTATACTCTTTCAATATATGGTTTCACATATTTTAAGTTTGTTTTTTTGTTTGTTGTTTTATTTCACTTTAGGCCTTCTATTTTTTGTTTGTTTTTGTGTTTTTTCTGTTTTTTTATCTTCTATACTGCAATGATTTTTTCTTTTCTATTGGATTTTTCATGAGTTCAGTCACCTCATTTCTGATTTTTCTAAATCTGATTTATGTTTTTCTCTCATCTCTGTATAATTTTTTTTTCTTTTCTTTTCTTTTTTTTTTTTTTTTTTTTTGAGACAGGGTGTCACTCTGTTGGCCAGGCTGGAGTGGAGCAGTACAGTCTCAGCTCTCTGTAACCTCTGCTTGCCAGGTTCAAGCAATTCTCCTGCCTCAGCCTCCTGAGTAGCTGGGATTACAGGCATGCACCACCATGCCTGGCTAATTTTTTGTATTTTTAGTAGAAATGGGGTTTCACCATGTTAGCTAGGCTGGTCTGGAACTCCTGACCTCAAGTGATCCACCTGCCTGGGCCTCCCAAAGTGCTGGTATTACAGGTGTGAGCCACCATGCCTGGCCTGTATAATTTTCTTAATTTTTAAAAACTTTTTGAAATAGATTGCAATTTTGATTTTTTTTTTTTTAGTGTGGCTCTGGTATGCTTTTATCACCTATAATCATATCATTCTGCTCCTTAGTTTTGTTTTTAATTTATAATAACAGAAATTTAATTTAATTTAAATAAATTTATTTCTTACATTTATGGAGGCTGAGAAGTCTAAAGTTGAGGGACTGCATCTGGTGAGGGTCTTCTTGCTGATAGGGCTCTCAGTGGTGTCGCAAGGCAGCGCAAGTCATCACATAGTGAGGGGGCTGAGTGTGCTAATTTGCCAGCTCAGGTCTCTCTTCTTCTTATAAAGCTACCAGTTCCCCTTCTATGACAACCCATTAATCCATTAATCTGTGAATGTGTTAATCCATTGCTGAGTTCAGAGACCTCCTGAACCAGTCCTTTCTTAAAGGCCTCTTGTCACACTGGGGATTCAGTTTCAACGTGAGTTTTGGAGGGGACATTCACATCATAGCCTTCCACCCTTGGCTCTCCAAAACTCATATTCTTCTCACATACAAATACATTAATTGCATCCCCACAGCCCCAAAGTCTTAGCTCATTCCTGCACCAATTTCTGTGAGCCTGTGAAATAAAAACACATTATCTTCCTCCAAGATACAATGGTAGGACAAGCATAGGGTTCACATTCTCATTCTAAAAGGGAGAACTAGGCAAGAAGAAAGAGAGTAACAGACCCCAAGCAAGTTTGAAAACCAAGAGAGTAGACATTGGGCCTTAAAATTCCAGAATAATCTTCTTTTACTCCATTTTCAGCATCCTCTGCCGGTACAGGGGTTGGGTCCCCAAGACCTCAGGCAGTTCTGTCCCTATGGCTTTGCTGGGCTTAGTCCAGCCAGCATTCCCAGGCTGACTTTGCATTGCACACTGGTAGCTCTATAGTTCTGGTATGGCAGTGGTAGTCCCACACCGTGATTCCACTAGGCATTACTCTAGTGGGGACTCTGCAGGGCAATTCCAACCCCTCATTTCCCCTTGGCATTGCTCTAGTGGGGCTCTCTGTGGTGGTTCTGCCTCAAGACAAGCCTCTGCCTGAGCCCCCTGGCTATTGATGACATCCTTCGACATGTAAGTGGAGACTACCAAGCCTCCACAGCTCTTGCTTTCTGTGAGCCTGCAGAATTAGCACCATGTGGATGTTACCAAGTTTTACAACTCGTACCTTTTGAGCTGTGACATGAGCCATACCTGCGGCTGCTTTGCACTAACCAGAACAGCTGGGCTGCAAGGAGCAGTATCCTGAAGTGGCACAGAGCAGTGGTATCTCAGGGCCTATTCACAGAAACCATTCTGTCCTCTTAGGGCTTTGGGCCTGTGATGGGGGCTGTTGGGGCAGCCTTAAAGATTTCTAAAATGCATTCTGAAATGCCTTTAGGGCTTTTTCCCATTGTCTTAACTGTTAGAAACTGGCTCCCTTTTAGCCGTGTTAATTTCTTTAGCAAGTGGTGGCTGTGCCTTCTTGGATTCCCATCCTGAAATCTTCTCCATTCTTTACCACATGGCCAGGTTGCAAATTTTCCAATTTTTTTTTTTTTTGCTCTGTTTTCTTTTTCTCTGTTCACTGTAAGCAGATAGAAGTAACCACATAGCAGCTCAAGCAGTTTGCTGCTTAAAATTTTCTCCTGCCATATACCCTAGTTCATCACTCTCAAGCTCAGCCTTCTACAAAGTTCTTGGCCATACAAAAACTGGACAAGTTCAGCCAAGTTCATTGCTAATTTATAGCAAGGCTGGGCTTTACTCTAGTTTCTGATACTTTGTTCCTCATTTCTGTCTGAAGCCTCACCAGAATGGGCTTTACTATTTATGTTTCTATCAGCATTGTGGTCACAACCGCTTAACCAATCTCCAAGGAGTGCTAAGCTTTCTGTAGTTGTCTTATCTTCTAAGCCCTCATCAGAATCTAGGCATTTTTTTTTTGAGCTAGTTCCTCAGAATTTTTCCAGCCTCTGCCCATTACCCAGTTCCAAAACTGCTTCCACATTTTCAAATAATCATTATCAACGATGACCCCACTTGTCAATACCAATTTTCCTTTTTAGTCCGTTTTCTCTTGCGTGTAACAGAATACCTGAAACTGGGTAATTTATAAGAAGTTATGGAGGCTGAGAAGACCAAGGGTGAGAGGCTGCATCTGGTGAGGGTCCTCTTGCTAGTGGGGGCTACTCTGTTTTTTTAATAGTAACTTAAATGGGATATGACCTTCATCCTTTTCTGTTCCTTATTTTTGTGTCAAATTTATTCTCCTAAACCTCTATTTGGAAGGAGGCTTGATTCAGGAAAGCTTTTCTTAACAGACTTCCTTTTTCTATTGTTTTTGTGTTGTGTTCAAAGATATGGGAGCCGGATTTCTGAGATTTCCTGGCTTTCTTCCTTCTGCCCTTCACTTGGTTTATGCCAGCACTGTCCAATAGTAATAGGTTTATTTGTAATAATTAAAGACTGGAAACAACTCACATGCCCATCAATAGGGAAATATTTAAACTGTGGTATATCCACACACTGGAATACTACTTAGAAGTGAAAAGGAACCAACTATACAACAATAGAAGGCCTTCATTTTAAATTTTGAAATGTGTCTATATTTATTTTTGAACTTGGAAAATAATTCAATTATAATAAATGTTTATATTGCAATTTAATTATTAGTTATGATTAAATTGGTATCAACTGTTACTAATGCTGTCTGCATTAAGTATACAAATAAACATATTACAGTGTTATATAGGGGTCTAGAAAAATGTTAAACTGAATCAACCCATTGATACCAACTGCATATACACTTGTTGCTTGTGCAGCACCTCAACAGTAACTTACATGATGCAACAGATAAGATGAAATATAGTCATGCCAAAACAAAGTTGTACTTAATGGAAAAATAATCTATATTTCAGTTTTCAAATTAAAATTAAATAATGTTAAAAATTAAAAATATTTCTTTTCTATCAGACCCATTTTAAGCCCTCTATATCCACATGTGGCTAGTTGATACTGAATTATACAATACGTTTGTAGACCTCTTTCTTCTGTCTCTTTAATTCCTTTTCTGCATAATTTTTATTTCACTCCTCGCAGTTTCTTCTTAGTACAGGTTCATGTCTCAGAAGGGAGCCATGATGAGTCAGTTGTGAGAGTTCAGGGGGCCTAGATTGCTCTAGCCCTTTTAGTCCTTCTTACCTTACTGTGCACCCCTTGCATTTACCTAGTATTAAAGAATGGCAAAGCCCTGCCACTATTCTAAAATTGGCCAGCTGTTCATTCCAGCAAATAAATACATTGGCTGTTTAGGGCTGTCCCTTTCTCAGACCCATCAGATTTCACTCTTTTGCTGCCTTCTTTTTCTTACACAATGTAAGACTCTAATACAATGTAGTTCTTGTGGGTTTTGGTGGTTTGTCCTTATTAGCTTATATTTTAGGGTTTTTAGGACGGTCTGCCTAATTTAACTGTAAATGTTATCTGTGGTTTTTTTGGTTTTACTATCTTGTGCTGTCTCTATGTGAGGAGTCAGAGAAATTGAAAAATTGCCACTACTGCTTCTGTCTTCTTCTGACAAATAAAATTTTGATAATGCATGCAATTTCCTTTTGGGTTCAATGGAAACTAGAAGGAAATATGGTAGGCATTTAGGTTAAGCAAGAAAGGGAGGTCAAAGAATTAATAATGCTCATTCTTTTGCTTAAATAATTTTTTTTCCTTCTATGTCTTCGGTTTGATAAGAGTTCTACAGAGATGGAAGAATTTGTAATGATGAAGCAACAGCTCCAGGAGAAGGAAGAATTCATTAGCACTTTACAAGCCCAGCTCAGCCAGACACAGGCAGAGCAAGCTGCACAGGTAGGGACCTCACAAAATTAGGATAAAGAGCTATGAAGTCCAGTGGGTTATTACGCACAAGTCAATTCAGTGAGTCACTTTAAAAAATCCTAGTAGATAAAAGTATAGTAGCATGGGTGTTGCACTAGAAATTAGAAGGATATGTAGTAGAAGAGATTAGGAGATGTGTGGTAGGTAAGTGTGTCATTAGGGAACACCAGAAAACCTCACAATGTGTTATTTACCTTGATGAATTTTCTATAGCCTAATTGATGACTGTTTCTTAGTTCTGCATGTCCAGAAACTTAATTTTAATAGCAGACAGAGATTCAGTCTTTTGGGAATGGACTCATGCTGAGTTCAAAAGAGACCAATAAGTAAACCAAAAGAAATAAAAATAATTAGGTTCATTCTTTCCCAAAATAATATCTATCTTAATAGGAAATAAATTATAGTTAGATTACTTAGTGAGCCTGTAATGAGAAAGTGGTGTAGGTCATGTGATTTTATGTTAAATGGCACCAGTATGTGACATTCTTCTTCCCATTTTTTTCATCTGTCAAGACCAGACCATTTGGATTGGCATCCTCAACTTTTTCTATTTTTCTAGGTTTCTTGGTTGGCCACGCACTCCCACATATTTATTTTTGAAATTGGGTCTCACTCTGTTGCCCAAGCTGGAGTACAAGTGGTACAATCATAGCTCACTGCAGCCTCAGTCTCCTGGGCTCAAGCCATCCTCTCACTCACCTCAGCTTCCCAAGTAGCTGGGACTACAGGCATGTGCCACTGCATCTGGCTAAATTTTTTACATTTTTTGAAGAGACAGGTTCTCAATATGTTGCCCAGGCAGGCCTTGCACTCCTGAGTTCAAGTGATCCTCACACCTCGGCCTCCCAAAGTGCTGGGATTACAGGCACTGTAATTTTTTTTGGGGGGTGGGGGCAGCGGTGGGGGAATGCTTATGAATCATGAAAGATTTTTTTCCCTGAAGTACCTTTGTACATAGCTAATTATCCATTAGGTGTTTACTTTATTAATAATTTGTAGTATTAGTAGTGCCTTCTCTCTGTGGTTGGCCTACTGCTATGTATACAGTTAAAATTGTATATCCTGAAATTCTTGGTTTTACCTATTAGCTTTTATTGTGTCCTTTTTAAATTTTTTATTTATTTTTTATTGTGTCCTTTTTATGTATAAGCACTATATACAGTGCAGGATGAAGAAATACAAAATATGGTTTTTAACCTATGTGTTGCTAAAATATGGAAAGCCAAGATACATACATGTGTTAAGAGATTCATCGTAATTTAAGGCTTTCCGAATAAGTGCCAAAGCAAGCAGCAATACAAACAAAATATTTTGGAAGGCGAAAGAGGTTACTGTGAGTTTGACAGTTAAGGAAAATTACACGGAAAAGTTGGGATTTAGGCAAAACCATGATATATAGATAATATTCCAGACAAGCTGGGGGAGATATTTCAGTGATGGGGAACGGTGTGAGCAAAACTGCAGAGAAGGAAAAGAATATGGAACAGTTATGGGAAAGGAGTTAGAGATGTTTGGCTAATGAAAGACTCCAGTGCCTACACACTTGAAACACAAGAGTCCAAATTCCTAGTGAGGTCACAATTCAGATAATAAAAACATTCTGAGGATTTGTTTTTCTCCTACCAAAAAAGAAAGCCAAAGTTTGATTCAAGGTGTCACAAACTGAGATATCAGCAGTAAAGGACCAATGCAAAATAGGCAAGCTAACAGCTAAGCAGCATGCTCCACCATAGATCTTAAGGAGATGAATAAGCAGATGCACACACTCACAACCTAAAAACAAGACAGAAGCACTGATACTGAGCAGCTCACCATCAGTCCATTTATTTCCATTTCATTCTGTTCAGAGCCAGTTAAAAATGAGCATGATCTAGAAGGCTGCAAGTAATGACAGCTGAAAACAGCTGTCTGGGGAGGTGGTGTGGATTTAGAAGCACATGAGGTTCTTTGGTAGAAGCAATTCTTTGAAAATAAGACTAGAAAGATAGATTGGTATTTCCAGTTGTAGAGAATCTTGAATAAATGATATGTTAGTTTGAATTTTCATTTATAGGGCATGAGAATTTTACTGAAAGCTTTTCAGCCATGAGCAAGAAGTGTCCAGGGTTTAATAGAAATCTAACTTAACTTCACCTTATGTGTTTAATATCTTAATCTTTTTAGAACTTTAAAAAATACACTTCTTGTATATTTAAAACATTTCTAGTAACCATGAACATATAATTTTTGATCAAAATTTATGTTTAGGCTAACTTCTGAATTTGAAAATAGGCTTTCTCTCGCATTTCATAGTTACTGTCCAGCCTATCTCTCTTCCAACATCCTCATCCTTGACAATCAAAATTTCACTTTAAAAAGCTACTATCAAGTCTCAGTGTCTGTCTTGGAAAGTAGTCTGTGAGTTTTATTTGTGCAATATTCGGGGAGTGTAACTTGCATAGTTTCTCTGGTATGTGTCTTCAGTTGAGTTCCATGCAGCAGGTGGTCCGAGAGAAAGATGCCCGCTTTGAAACACAAGTTCGTCTTCATGAAGATGAGCTTCTTCAGTTAGTAACCCAGGCAGATGTGGAAACAGAGATGCAACAGGTGTGTTGCTAAAACTCGGTAGAATGACTGTCATTTTGGTTAATATTTAATCCATCACAGCCAATTTCCTACCCTTACCCACTGCTCTTCACTTGGTGTTAGTGTTTTCCTTATTGGCCTCTTTTGTGTCCTTGTCTTCTGTTGCATAAAAATTATTTATTTTTTCTTATCCTTTTCTTGCCTTTTACCCCTCTAATCAGGTTGTTGGTGCTCAAAAGCTGAGTTTAGTTGGTGAATTTATGTGGTAGTCAAAAATTGGTTTCTCTTCAGTTTTCTGATTATAGCTACCTTTGTGCATTACACACCTAACCCAAAGCTTCAAATCAATGAAGTCAGTTTTAAATATTTAAAAAATTAGAGAAGACAAAGAATGATTTTGAAGACATGAAGTCTTTTATTAGATCAGTAATTCTTTTTTAAAAAAATTTGAGTAGATTTTGAAAATTGGCTTCATTGTATTTGAGTTCACCATCTACTAACTCAAAGTATTTTATTTCACTTAGTGTGTAGTGCATTGTGGTACTGAAAGGCACTTCAGTGATACTTTATGTTTGATCTGTTTAATTAGATTGAAAATTAATTAGAATTAATTAGAACGGAAACTTTTAAGTTCTAAGCAATCTTTCAGAATGCACCACTAAATAAAGTTTTAGAATACAACATATTATTAAGTAGAATACTAATTGTATATGTGTATCATTGCTTTATTTATTCAACAATTTTTTTTCAAGTGCCTGCCCAGTGCATGAAACTAGGAGAAGAGAAATGATTCTTGCCTGCAGAGAATGTTCTCTTGGGTGGGTAAGATGTACATGTACCTATGCTATCTAGGTACAGGTTATTAACTGTATGATTTTGAAGGCAGATATGTGTTATTGTTTTTTCTAATTTTTAAAGAGACTCCCTAATTCAGGGACTTGCTTGTGTCTGGGTCTGGTTGTTGTTGGTGCTCTGGAGAAGACATTTTGGAGACTCTTCGTTGCTGCTGGATGGGGGGAGCATGGCATGCTGGTCTCCCACTCTTTAAACTGTCATTTTCAACACCCCAAAATTTAAGTATACAAATCTACATGACATTTTGAAAGATAAGCAAATACAAGCACTCATTTGTTAGCATATTATGTCTAAAATGTTTTCTTCTCAGAAATTGAGGGTGCTGCAAAGGAAGCTTGAGGAACACGAAGAATCCTTGGTGGGCCGTGCTCAGGTCGTTGACTTGCTGCAACAGGAGCTGACTGCTGCTGAGCAGAGAAACCAGGTACTGCCTTTTAATCTTTACTTCCTGCCTTGGAGGGTATTCATTTCCACTTTCGTTTGCCAGGCAGTAGATATAAAAGCCTATTTAAAGTCTTCAGAGAATTGATGCCATTTATTCATTCTTTCAACAAATACCTCGTACTTAAGTGGTGGGGATGCAGTACAATTATGAGCAAAACTAAATACAGTTCTTTCCCTCATGGAGCATACATTGCACTTCTTTATTGTTGCTCTTTCCCTTTGCCATTTTAGATCTAGGGTCCTAGTTTATCTAGAATGTCATACAGATTGAGTATGCCTAATCTGAAAATCCAAAATGCTGCAAAATCTGAAATTTTCTGAGCACCAACATGACACCACAAGTGGAAAATGCCACAACTGACCTTGTGGAACAGGGTAACAGATCAAAGGCAAATATGCACAAAATCATTTAAAATACTGTATAAAATTATCTTTAGGCTATGTGTATACGATGTATATGAAACAAATGAATTTCATGTTTAGACTTGCGTCCTATCCCAAGATATCCAAGATATTCCACCATCTGAAAAAAATGGAAAACTAAAATACTTCTGGTCCCAAGCATTTAGAATAAGGGATACTTGACCTGTATTATCCTTTAGTGAGTTTCTTTTTCATCAGTTACTCTTCTCTGTCTTGAATGGTTTTTGTGCTTTATGTACAGCCCATCTTTTCTTGTTTTTGTAAATTGACCTTCTGTTAGATTGAAATGATCTCGTTCTGCAATATTCTCTTGAGTATGAAGGTAATCAGTAATGCTGATCTGACTATAATCCATCCTGCCATTTTCTTTCTCATATTGTCCTGATCTTCATTCTCATTGAATTCCATTGAATTCCACTTTGCTTCTCTAGTATGTTAATTCTTCCTTACCCTTGCTCCTTTCTGTGTCCTATATGGACCCATGCTTGACAGTTTGAACTACCTTTTTTCTACCCCTTGGATTCCTTGTGTTCCTATCCTGTCACATCCAAGTAGTCTCATCATAATGCAGAATTGGTGCTATAGTCCACATTCTCTGTTTGTTTTTCTGGGTGCCTGTGTGCTGCTGGGGAGTCAGCCATCTCCTCTCTTCTTAATTTTCAACTCTCCTTCTTGAGAAGGGCTTTCTCTCTAGCATAGAAACATGTTCCCATTTTTTTCCATCCTATAAGAAAAAGCACTTTACAATGCTTGTTGAAATGAAATAATGTATTTATGGCTCATGAGACTTTGTCTTTTTTCTTAGATTCTCTCTCAGCAGTTACAGCAGATGGAAGCTGAGCATAATACTTTGAGGAACACTGTGGAAACAGAAAGAGAGGAGTCCAAGATTCTACTGGAAAAGATGGAACTTGAAGTGGCAGAGAGAAAATTATCCTTCCATAATCTGCAGGAAGAAATGCATCATCTTTTAGAACAGTTTGAGCAAGCAGGCCAAGCCCAGGCTGAACTAGAGTCTCGGTATAGTGCTTTGGAGCAGAAGCACAAAGCAGAAATGGAAGAGAAGACCTCTCATATTTTGAGTCTTCAAAAGACTGGACAAGAGCTGCAGTCTGCCTGTGATGCTCTAAAGGATCAAAATTCAAAGCTTCTCCAAGATAAGAATGAGCAAGCAGTTCAGTCAGCCCAGACCATTCAGCAACTGGAAGGTCAGTAGCTGATTGCTTTTGAAGTCCACATCTCTACCATCTGAGTGGCTTGTATTTCATATTTTCAGGGATCTGTTAATGAAATCTGTACTCAAACCAATTGAACCAATAGAAGGACTGAGAAAAACAGCTCTTCTGAACTTCTTGATGCATTTTTCTTGCCTCTGACTGGCTATAATCTTTCTTAATATTATAATTATCATTACAATACTAAAAATGTGATAGTGATGTTCCAGATATTAAATAGAATGCTATGTTAAATATGACTGATCTGAAGGATTCAATGACTGAAACGAGAAGGATTTGAATTAGTTTTTGGAAAACTCAGGCCAGATCTAGGTGCATAGGTTAGGAGACTAAATTGCATGGAGTTATCCATAAATCTGAAGAAGGATGGATCTCAGTGCTTTTCTTATAGGTGAAAATCTCTTTTCACCTGATTTCTTGTCTTACAGGTGAAAATTTATCCTTTATGAAGGTATAAAGGAAACTTTTAAAAAATGTGTTATTATAAAAGTAATATGTGCCTATAAAAAATTGAACATTTTAGAACTTTATAAATTAAAAAGTGAAACTTCCTCAACACCAATACTCCATCTCACCAATCCTCTTCCCCAAATTATAACCTTTACTAATATATTGACATAGACATAAAGGAAAGATTTTAGAAACAATTAAGTTGAAAATTTGTATTGAATAACTGAATGTTAGCCAGACAGTTTTGTTTTTTGTTTTTTTTTTTTTGTGACAGAGTTTCACTCTTGTTGCCCAGGATGGAGTGCAATGGCATGATCTCGGCTCACTGCAACCTCTGCCTCCTGGGTTCAAGTGATTCTCCTGCCTCAGCCTCCCAAGTAGCTTGGATTACAGGCATGCACCACCACACCTGGCTAATTTTGTATTTTTAGTAGAGACAGGGCTTCTCCGTGTTGGTCAGGCTGGTCTCGAACTCCTGACCTCAGGTGATCTGCCCGCCTCGGCATCCCAAAGTGCTGGGATTACAGGCGTGAGCCATTGTGCCCTAGCCAGACAGTTTTGAAGGGCATCACACAAGACCAGGGTGTTACATGAGCAAGCTGTTCTCTTAAGCATGCTGATGTTTAAAACCATGTGGTGGAATCTTGGTGGGATCCATAATACCTAAGTCGAGAGTGAAGAAAACAAAAACCCTAAAGCCATTTTCAAGGGGGAAAGGGAAAATGAACTTGTAAAAAATGCCTAGGGCTAGGCCTCCCCACGCCTGCTATTCCAGCACTTTGGGGAGGTCAAGGTGGGGGGGATTACCTGAGGTCAGGAGTTCGAGACCAGCCTGGCCAACATGGTGAAACTCCATCTCTACTAAAGATACAAAAAAAAAAAAAAAAAAATTAGCCAGGCATGGTGACGCATGCCTGTAATCCTGGCTACTTGGAAGGCTGAGGCAAGAGAATCCTTGAACCCATGAGTCAGAGGTTACAGTGAGCCGAGATCGCACCACTGCACTCCAGCTTAGGCAACAGAGGGAGACTCCGTATCAAAAAAAAAAAAAAAAAGTGCCTAGGCCTATTTTATTTTACTTTTGAAGGAAGTGATTTACTGAGGTGTCCTTTGGTTCTTGAGAACATTTAACATTTAGCTAATAATAATGTTGTCATTGGCATCATAATTTTAACTAAGGAAACTAAACTAGTAAACAGCATACAGTGTATCTTTAGAAGATAATAATAACTACATTTCAGACTTGAAGCAAATATTACATTTATTTTTTTTCTTTTCCTTAGATCAGCTCCAGCAAAAATCCAAAGAAATTAGCCAATTTCTAAATAGACTGCCCTTGCAACAACATGAAACAGCATCTCAGACTTCTTTCCCAGATGTTTATAATGAGGGCACACAGGTAATTAAATGTGAACTTCTTATGAATATTAACTGTTTGTCTTTGCTGTATCTGTACTTCGGTGCTCTAATGAGGATTTATTCCAGAGAGCTATATAAACCTTCTGTTTTTTCTGCCTGAAAAAATACTTTTTTGAGGACAATTCTATTTGAAAGGAATCATGAAAGGCATTAATGCAGTGTTTCAACAATAAAGAATGAGAAAATAATAGATAACAAATACCATGGTCTCAGAAGCCTTTCTGATTCTAAGGTCTTAACAATTTGTATCGGAGATGAATCATTACTTTTGCTTCTGTAGTTAATTTTCCCAGTTCGGAAGTCTTTTTTTTTTTTGGTAAACTAAGATTTGATCAGGTTTAGTGAACACGAGTCAGTCTAATCAAACTTAAAAGTCTACTATGGAAATCATATTGTTCCCATTAATTAATTAACAGTAAAAAAGTATATAATGGCCAAGTAGCTTCTTATTGGCCAGTATATTCTTTCTTTCATCTACAAAAATCTCTGTAGAGAGCTAGATTGTAATCATCGAAGGCTGATTCAGGCTGATTGAGCCTGAATATCAGAATGAAGGCAGTTAGTTTGATGTTCTTAATTGACTAATGTCAAGTTGAGATAACTAGATTCAGTCATCTCCATTGTAAGATTATACCCTTCCAAACTCACAAACATATTGGTCAGCAGAGTCCTGTCATTCCTGGGCTATGCTGTCCACTGATAAAAATTTTTGCCTCTTGGTTTCTAGCATCTAGGCTTTCCAGTCTCTTCTGTTCTCCCATTCTCGACTTTTTCCTCCAATGTTTTGTTAAGACGTTTTCCAACCATTCGAATAAGTTGCAAGAGTTTTGTAGCGAACATCTGTATACCCACCATCTGAATTCTATCATTAACATTTTAGCACGTTTGCTTTATCAAATGTCTATCTATTTATTCATCCCTCTGCCCATCCATCAGTTCATCTTAAATTTATAATACATTTCACTGTAAGTTGTGGACATCAGTACATTTCTCTCTAAATTTGTCAGCATTCATATCATTGACTATATTTTAATATTTATTTATAATTGTTCTTTTTCTTTTGAGGTAAGATTTACAAACCTTTAAATGCACAGATCTGAAGTATACCATTCCTTGAGTTTTGTCAAATGCATACACCTGTGTTACCCAAACTCCTATTCAAGATATATCACATTACCATCACCTCACAAAGTATCCCTATACCCCTTTACAGTCATCCTCACCCTTCCCCTCCAAAGACAACTACTGATTTTTCACCATAGATTAATTTTGCCTGTTTCACAGCATCATATACATTTAACCATACAATAGGTCCTCTTATGTGTAAAGCTTTTACTCAGCATATTTGGAGATTCATCCATATTGTGCATGTATTATAATTTAATCTTTAATATTGCTGAGAAGTATTTTATTTTATGAACATGCTGAATTTTCCTTTTGCATGATTGTACTGCATTTTCCTATTGATGGACACCTGGACTTTTTCATGCTTTGGCTATTATGAATCAAACTGCTGTGAACATTCTCATACAAATAGTTATGTGGACATATGTTTTCATTTATCTTCAGTAAATACTAGTTGAGGAATTGCTTTGCTGGGTCATAGAGTACCTATGTATTTAGCTTTATAAGGAACTGCCAGGTCTTTTCCCAAAGTGGTTGTACTATTTTTTTTTTCCAAGACGGAGTCTTGGTCTGTCGCCCATGCTGGAGAACAGTGGTGCGATCTCGGCTCACTGCAACCTCGACCTCCCGGGTTCAGGCAATTCTCCTGCCTCAGCCTCCCAAGTAGCTGGGATTACAGGTACCCGCCACCACACCCGGCTAATTTTTGTATTTTTAGTAGAGACAGGGTTTCACCATGTTGGCCAGGCTGGTCTCAAACTCCTGACCTCGTGATCCGCCCACCTCGGCCTCCCAAAGTGCTGGGATTACAGGCATGAGCCACCGCACCTGGCTGTGGTTGTACTATTTTATACTCCCACCTAAAATATATGAGAGTTCCATTTGTTCCACATCTTCTCCAAGATTTGGTGGTGTCAGTTTTAAAACATTTTAGCCATTCTAATGGGTATGTAGTGGTATTTCATTGTGGTTTAAATTTGCATTTCCCTGATGACAAATTATGTTGAACTTTTTTTCTTGAGATTCTTAGCCATATGTACACCTTCTGTTGGTGAAGTGTCTGTTCACATCATTTCCCCATTCTTAAATTTGAGTTGTCTTTTTATTATCAAGTAGGAATTCTTTATATATTCTGAATGCCAATCTATTATCATATATGTTTGGTGAATATTTTCTCCCATGCTGTGGCTTTGTGGCTTGCCTATTCATTTTCATTATGATATCTTTTCATTAGCACACACTTTTAAATTTTGATGAGCTTAATTATTTATCATTTTTTATTGTTTTTTTTTTCTGTGTCCTGTCTGTGAAACCTTTGCTTAGCCCCAGTTTATGAAGATATTCTCTTATGCTTTCTTCCACAAGCTTTATGGTTTTAGTTTTCATTTGAAGTCTCTGAATCTCAAATGAATTTTTGTGTGTGTTGTAAGGTGAAGGTCAAGTTGTTTTGTTTTTTCCTGTACGGATATTTCGTTGTTTCAGCACCATTTCGTAAGGAGACTTTACTTTCCTCATTGGATTCTTTTGGTACCTTTGTTGCAAATCAAAGACTAATACATCTATTTCTGAATTTTCTGTTCTGTTATATTGATCTATCTGTCAGTCCCTATGCCAGTATCACGGTCTTCATTATTGTAGTTTGTTGTTAGTCTTGAAGTCAAGTATTAATAGTATAAGTCCTCCAACTTTGTTCTTCTTTTCAAGATTGCTTTGACTATTCCAGGTCCTTTCCACATAAATTATACAATCAGCTTCTCAAATTCTACTTTTTAAAAAAAGACAGATGAGATTTTGAATTGGTATTGTGTGGAGTCTATTGATCAGTTTAAGAATTGACAACACTACTGTACTTTTAAATCTACGAATATAGTATATCTCTCCATTTATTTAGATCTTTAATTTCTTTCAGCAGTGTTTTGTAGTTTTCATTGGAGAAATTATGCACATTATAACATTTATTCTGAAGTAGTTAATATTTTTGATACTATTATAGATGGAATTATTTTTATTTCATTTTCCAATGTATGCTAATATGTAAGTATACAACTGAATTTTATTAAGCTTATATTCTGTGACCTTGATAAACAAATTAATTTTATTGGTTTTAGTCTCTTTTTGTAGATTCTCTAGGATTTTCTATGTAAGCAATCATGTCATCTGAAAATAAAGACAAATTTTACTTCTTTCTAATTTTTATGCCTCCAGTACACTGTTTAATAGAAGTGGTGAGACTGGACTTTCTTGCATTGTTTCTAATCTAAGAGGAAAGTGTTCCATAATTTACCATTGGCTGTGATACTAGTTTTAGGTTTTTAAGGAATTTCCTCTATCAGATCATCCTCAATCTTGTAGAGGAATTTTTCTCTTAGTTTTTTTGATATTTCTTAATTTTTTCTTAATTTTTAAAATAAACTTTCTCTTAATTTTTTTTTTATATTTCTAGGCTATGTGATTCTTCTATGAGTAATAACAAATGTCTAGTTGTAGCAATCCTCCTAAAAATTTTTCTATTTATTTATTTTTTGAGATGGAGTTTCACTGTTGCCCATGCTGGAGTGCAGTGGTGTGATCTCAGCTCACTGCAGCCTCCATTTCCCAGGTTCAAGTGATTCTCCTGCCTCAGCCTCCCAGGTAGTTGGGACTACAGGTGTCCACCAACACCCCCGGCTAATTTTTGTTACTTTTAGTAGAGACAGGGTTTTGCCATGTTGGCCAGGCTGGTCTGAAACTCCTAACCATACCTCCTAACCATTGGTGATCTACCCGTCTTGGCCTCCCAAAGTGCTGACATTACAGGCGTGAGCCACTGCGCCTGGCCTTTTTTTTTTCTTTTTTTAAAATTTTACTTATTTTTTTGTTTTGAGACAGAGTCACTCCATCACCCAGGCTGGGGTGTAGTGGTGTGATGACAGCTCACTGCAGCCTCAACCTCCTGGGCTTAAGTGATCCTCCCGCCTCAGCCTCCTAAGTAGTTGGGACTACAGGCACATGCCACCATGCCCGGCTATTTTTATGTGTTTGTTTGTTTGTTTATTTATTGGTGGAAATGGAATTTCATCATGTTGCCCAGGCTGGTACAGAACTTCTGGACTCAAGCAATCCCCCTCCCTTGGCCTCCCAAAATGCTGGAATTATAGGCATGAGCCACCACACCCAACCCCAATACATTTGTTGAAAAAAATGTGCATATATAAGTGAACTCATGTAGTTCAAACCCATATTCAAGAGTTAACTGTATTATCCTTTTTCTATAGTACTGAATTTGATTTGCTAATATTTTGTGAAGGATTTTTGTGTTCTTATTTATGAAGGATATTAGTCTACAGTTTTCTTGTTTTATGATATCTTTATCAGGTTTTGGTATTAAGGGTATGGCAGCCTCATAATATGTTCCCTTTTCTATTTTCTGGGAGTGTTTCCTTTCTTTCTATTTTATGAGAGTTTGTATGTGATTGGTATTATTTCGGTTTTTGAAAATAATTTTTTAAATACTTTTTTTTAAAAGAATTCACCAATGAAACCATCTGAGTCTGGAGTTTTAGGAAGGTTTTGATAATGAATTGAATTTCCTTTACAGATATAAGGCTAATAATAAGATTTTTTTTTTTTTTTCCACCCGGTGCCAGTTTTGGTTTGTTTGGGCTTTTTTTTTTTTTCCTGGGGTTTTGTCTATTTCATTGAAGATGTTCTAATGTTCTATTTTTGTCATAATGTTGGTTACAATGTTTACTTTTTATCCTTTTAATGCCTGTAAGCGCTGATCCCTGCTGTTGTTAATTTGTGCTTCATTTTCTTCATCAGTCTATCTAGAATTTATTCAGCTTTTTTCCCCCATCTTTTCAAAGAACCACTTTTGGTCTTGTTAATTTTCTCTGTTGCTGATTATTTTCATTTTCATTGATTTCTACTCTTTAGTATTTCTTTCTGCTTACTTGGATTTACTTTGCTCTTCTTTTTATAGCTTCTTAAGGTGAAACTTTGTATCAAAGATTTCAAGTCTTCTTTTCTCATATGAACATTTAAAGTTAACACAGTTCCCTCTAAGCATAGCTTGTTATGTTGTGGTTTTTTAATCATTTCAGTTTTTGAACATTTTTCTAAGTTTCTCTGTGATTTTTTCATTGACCATGGATTGTTTAGAAGTGTGTTCTAAATAAACACGTTGTTGTAGAATATCCAGATACTTGGTTTTATTTCTAGATATCTTATTGATTTCTAATATAATTTCATTATGATCAGAGAATATGTTTTATGTGACTTCAATCCTTTGAAATTTATTGAGACCTATTTTATGACACAGCATATGGTGTCTTGGTGAACATACCTTGTACACTTGTAAATAGTGTGTATTCTGTAGTTATTGGATGTAATGTTCTACAAATAGCACTTAGATCATAGTATTGTTCACGTTATCTTTGTCTTTGACTTTTGTCTGGTTATTGAAACATTTGCTAAGAGGGGGTTGAAATCTCCAACTATGACTGTGGAATTGTCTGTTTCTCCTTTTAATGTAGTCATTTTTTGCTTCTTGGTAATTGGAATCTCTGTTATTAGTACATACACATTTATTTTTCAGATAAAGTGTTCCTTTTTTCACTTACAAAATGTTACTCTATCTGTAGTAATACTTCTTTATTTACATTTCTCTGTATCTGGCATTAATAAAATAATTCTGTCTTATGTTTATTGCTTGAATGGTATATTCTTTTCTATCCTTTTACTTTTAACTTGTTTTTCTTTAAAGTAAATGTCTTGAAGGCAACATATAGTTGGGTTATACTTTTTTATTTCTTCTCTTCTTTGTGATTGGAGTGCCTAGTCCTTTTAATGTAATTATTGATGTGATTGGATTTAGGTCTACCATTTTGCTTTCTGTTTTTTCCCCTCTGTTTTCCCTTCTTCTTTTTTCCTGCCTTCTATTCGATAATTAGAAGTTTCTTGAATTTAATTTTCATTTATTGACAACTTTTTCTTTTAAACAGCTCTATTAAGTATAAAAAGGTATACTTGACATACAGTAATGTGTACACATTTAAAGTATACAGTTTAAAGAGGGTTTTGTGTGTTTGTTCATTTGTTTTTTGAAACAGGGTCTTGTTCTCTCACCCAGGCTGGAGTGCAGTCACATGATCACAGCTCACTATAGCCTTAACTTCCTGGGCTCAAGCAATCCTCTCACCTCAGCCTCCTGAATAGCTGGGACCACAGGCATGTGCCACCATGCCTGGCAAATTTTTTTTTTTGTAGAGACAAGGTCTCACTATGTTGCCCAGGCTGGCCTCAAACTAACTCCTGGGCTCAAGTGATCCTCCTGCCTTTGTCTCCCGAAGTGCTGGGATTACAGGTATAAGCCATAGCACCCAGAACAATTTGATGACATATAAAACCATCACTACTATCAAGAAAATGAACATATTCATCATCTCTAGAAGTTTTTTCATGTCCTCTTTTAATCTTTTCCCTCACATCTTTCCCTACCTAGACAACCACTGATCTGCTTTCTGTCATTATAGATTTTTAAAAAGTTTATATAAGTTGTATATGCACTTTTGTTGGCTTATTTTACTCAGCATACTTATTTGAGATTCATCCTAATGTTTGTTTAGTAATAATTCATTCCATTGTATTGTTGAGTATGTTGTAAACAGCACAATTTGTGTAACCATTGACTCATTGATGGATAATTTGGGTTGTGGACAGTTTTTGGCTAATACATATAAAGCATTTATGTTTATGTTTTAAGGAGATTAAAATAAGAAAATAAATCTTAACTACCATTGCAGTTACCATTTCTGGTACTTTTCATTCTTCGTTTGTAGATCAGAGATTGCCAATCCTTTTATGTATAGTAAATATTTTAGGCTTTGTGGGTCATACAGTCTTTGTTGCAGGTACTCAACTCTGCCATTGTAAAGTGAGAACAGACATAGAGCCAAGGTAAACAAATGGTTGTGGTTATGTTCCAATAAAACTTTATTTATGCAGGCCTCCAAAGTTTGCCAAACCCTGGCTTCATATTTCCATCTGGTATCATTTTTCTTCTATCTGAAGGACTTTTTTTTTTTCTTTTTTTTTTTTAGTAAGAGACAGGTTCTCATTTTGTCACCCAGGCTACAGTGCAGTGGCATGATCATGGCTCACTGCAGCCTCATCCTCCTGGGCTCAAGCGATTCTTCCATATTTGCCTCCAGAGTAGCTGTGACTACAGGCATGCACCATGCTACCCAGCTAATTTTTTTTTTTTTTGCTTTTAGTAGAGATGAGGTCTTGCTAAGTTACCTAGGCTGGCTGGTTTTAACCTCCTGAGCTCAAATGATCCTCCTGCCTTGGCCTCCCAGAGTGCTGGGATTACAGGTGTGAGCTACTGCACCTGGCTCTGAAGGACTTCTTTTAATTTTTGTGTCTGTGTGTACATGGATGTGTGTGCAAGTCTGCTGGTCATGGGTTTTTTTGTTTGTTTGTTTTTATTTTTGTTTTTTTTTTTTTTTTTGAGATGGAGTCTCACTTTGTCACCAGGCTGGAGGGCAGTGGTGCAATCTTGACTCACTGCAATCTCCGCCTCCCGGGTTCAAGTGATTCTCCTGCCTCAGCCTCCCGAGTAGCTGGGACTACAGGCACCCACCACCACACCTGGCTATTTTTTTGTTTGTTTTGTTTTTGTATTTTTGGTAGAGACGGGGTTTCACCGTGTTGGCCAGGATGATCTCAATCTCTTGACCTCATGATCCACCCGCCTCGGCCTCCCAAAGTGCTGGGATTGCAGGTGTGAGTCACCGTGCCTGGCCAGTCATGGGTTCTAATAACACTTTTTGTCTGAAGACATCTTTATCTCACCATTGTTGTTGAAAGATTATTTTTTGCTGACTAGAATTCTACATTGAAAGTTTTTTTTTCTTTCATTTCTCTAAGTGTATTACTCTACTGTCTTCTTTCTTGCATTTTGTTTTCTTTGTTGGTTTTTTTTTTTTTTTTTTTTTTTTTTGAGACAGAGTCTCAGTGTGTCATCCAGGCTGGAGTGCAGTGGCGCAATCTCAACTCACTGTAACCTCCACTTCCCGGATTCAAGTGATTGTCCTGCCTCAGCCTCCCATGTAGCTTGGATTACAGGCAACCGCCACCACGCCTGGCTAATTTTATATTTTTAGTAGAGATGGGGTTTTGCCATGTTGGCCAGGCTAGTCTCGAACTCTTGTCTCAAGCAATCCACCCCCTCAGTCTCCCAAAGTGCTGGGATTACAGGCATGAGCCACTGCACCCGGCCCTTGCATTTTGTTTTTAATAAGAAATCTGCTGTCATGCTTCTCTCTTTTTTCCTGCTTGCTTTTAGGATTTTACCACTGTTTTTGAGCACTTGAATTATAATGTACCTTGACATAGCATGTTTCTTGTGATTGGGGTTCATTGAGCTTTTTCAATCTCTGTGTTTATAGTTTTGGAAGATTTTCTGCCGTGAATTAGTCAAATATATATATTTTTCTGACTCCCTACTCTTCTTTGGGAATTCCAATTACATTTATATTAGATTACTTGAAGTTGTTCCAAAACTCATTAATGGGCTTTTAATTTTTTTTTTTTTTTGAAATGGAGTCTTGCTCTGTTGCCCAGGCAGGAGTGCATTGATGCAGTCTCAGCTCACTGCAACCTCTGCCTCCGGGGTTCAAGTGATTCTCCTTTGTTTCTATATTTGTTTTGTTAACATATTTTGGAGCTTTTTTTATGCGACTCAGTTAAATTCTTTGAAAAAAACTTGGTCCTTTCAGATCCTGCTGCTTTGATTTGTTAGGAGGGTTCGAATCAGTGCTCAGTCATTCGATACTCCTGAGGCAAGACCTTGCTGAGTATTCTACTCAATGCCCTGAGAAGTGTTTTTTCACATTTGGCTATATAACTGACACTTCCGGGTTTTGTGTGAGCACCAAGTGCTATTCTTTAATCTCTTCAGATAGGTAGGGGTAGTTCAGATAGCCTTGGATGCTTTCCTCACATTCATGTCCTGCCCTGTACTTCACTGAACACTTGTTCAGTCCCTTTGCAGATCTGCAGGGTTTTCTCTTTACGTGACTTTTTCCCATCTGGTATTCTATTCTGCGAACTGCAGCCATCTTGCTCTTTCTTGACTGTCAGCTCTGTCTCATGAACTTAGGGAGTCTACCAGGCTCAGCCTATGTTCCCCCTTCTTGGACCACAGCCTGAAAACTCTCTTAAGGCATGAAGCTTGGTCAGTTTTAGGGATCACTTTGTTTTCTGCCTCTCTCAGAGATAATTATCCTTTGTTGCTTGATATCCAGTATTCTGAAAATGATTATTTATTATTTTGTCTGGTTTTGGTTGTTATTGTTTCAGGTAGGAGGTTAAATCTGTTCCATGTTACTCAGTCTTTAGCAGAAGCAAAAGTCATCTATTGGGTATTGAGCTGTATCTTTTTACAAAAATTTTTTAAGTGGTTATTCTAGGAAGTATAACATATATCCATAATTTTTCAGTCTTCTTGAGTTAATACTGTACTACTTCACTTAAAAGGTAGAATCTTCATAATCATATACCCTCACCCTATTCCTGATGCCACAGTTGTTGTATGTATTATATTAACAAAAGTAATAAGCCTCAGCACACAATTTTAATATTTGTGCTTAAAATGGTTATATATATTTGAAAGACATTAAGAGGAAAATATTGACCTTAACATTTATCCACATATTTACCATTTGTAATGCCCTTTCCTCTCTGATGATCAGATATCTATTTGATACTGTTTTCTTCAGCCTCTACAACAACCTATAATATTATAGTATAGGTCTGTCTGTGAAAAAATTTTCTTAGTTTTTTTCTTATCTAAAAATGTCTTTATTTTACTTTTATTCTTGAATGATATTTGCTACTGGATATTATAATTCTCGATTGACAATTTTTCTTTCAGAACTTTTTTTTTTTTTTTTTTTGAGATGGAGTTTCACTCTTGTCACCCAGGCTGGAGTGCAATAGCACAGTCTTGGCTCACCGCAACCTGTGCCTCCTGGGTTCAAGCAATTCTCCTGCCTCAGCCTCCTGAGTAGCTGGGATTACAGGCGTGAGTCACCACGCCTGGCTAATTTTGTATTTTAGTAGAGACGGAGTTTCTCCATGTTGGTCAAGCTGGTCTTGAACTCCCAACCTCAGATGATCCACCTGCCTCGCCCTCCCAAACTGCTGGGATTATAGGCGTGAGCCACTGTGTCCAGCCTTTCTTTCAGTACTTTAAAGAAGGTGTTTCCCTCTTCTGGCCTATATTTTTTCCCTAACAATTGGTCAGTAGTCATTCGAATTATTGTTTCTCTGTATGTAAAGTATCATTTTTCCATGGAAATTTTAAGACTTTCCTTTTATCCTTGTCTATGAAGTACTTAGTTATAGTTTTCTTTGTCATTTTCTTGCTTGCTTTTGTTGAGTTTCTTACGTATATAACGTTATGTTTGAGAAATTTTTGGCCATTTCTTAAAATATTTTTTCTTCCCATTCTGTCCCTCGTCTCTTCTGGTACTCCAATTACACGTATATTGAACCTTTTAATATTGTCCCACATGTCCCTGAGGTTGTATTCATTTTTTTTTTCAATTTTTTTTATTCTTCTGTCTTCAGATTGGATAATTTCAGTTGATTTATCATCCTCAATTCACCAAGACTTTCTTCTGTCGTCTATATTCTACTGTCAAGCCTATCACATTGAAATTTTCATTTCAGATATTATGTTTATTAGTTCTGGAATTTCAAACTGGTTCATTATTTTTTTTTGTTTGTTTTACTAAGATTTCCTTTCTTCTCATTCATTATGAGCATATTCATTTATGTCCTAAGCATAGATATAATAGCTTCTTTATTAAAATTCTTGTTTGCTACTTACAAAATCTGCATCATTTTATGGCTAGAATCTGTTGATTATATTTTTTTTCCTTGAGAATGGGTCACTCTTTCCTATTTCTTTATGTGTGAATGGTTTTGTTTTGAATTCTGGATGTCGTGTTTTGTTCTCAAGATTTTATTTTGTTATTTCTAAAATTTCAATTACTTTTTATCAGACAGTAAGTTGGACTCAAACCCCAAACTCTGGCCTATGATAGAGAGGCATCAAAACTCAGTTCAGTTATTTTTGCCTTAGCTGGGCTGCTTTAAGTCAGTCCAACAAATACATTGTGCCATTGTTCAGTCAGAAATTTCAGCTAAGTTTATACACAGAATTCAGGGCTCCTCCTTCCTAACTCTTTTTCTTCTCTCTGATCTCCCTCCTCACATCCTGGCAGCTATGTTTGTCCCAAACTCTTCTCATTCTTCAAGCCAGAAATATCTGTGGCTATTCTATTGGAATTTTACTTGCCCTGCATACTGCAAACTGGGAACTTCCCTCAAGATAAAAGCCATAAAAACCCTAAATTCATCCCATGCTATTTATTTTAAACATTGAATGAAGATTTCGGGGTCAAATATGCTGTAAAGACCCTCATGGCTTAAAAATTCTACAATTGTATGAAAATTTTATAGAATAATATCCATGGAGAATAAAAAATATATACAAAGACATAAAACTAAAGATGTGACATAATTAGATATATGCCTATCCTTAGGAAAACCAAAAATTCTGGATGTATAAATTAAGCCAAGGGAATTTTTATTATACTTGGAAAACAAAAAACAATTTTATAAATCTTCTTCCTTTCTTAAGAGGTACATATTCCTTTGCCTCTATTCCTCTTTGTGGAACCTCTCTTCATGTTCATTCTCCTTCAGGAGAGAGACCATGTTACTTGGTGACATTAATCTAATCTTGTAATACTATTTGTTTGTGAACCTGAAAATGTTCTTTCTTATGCTATAGACTTGGGATTTCTATCTTTGTAATCCAGGCTTCAATCTTAAATTTAAAAGCCAATGAACTTGATATTTGTGTGAAATATTTTATTTCTTTTTCTAAATCTTTAGATAAAACACTTTTCTTCAAAGATTACCTAGGCAGATAAGTAGATGTTATTTTTAAAGTATTTTCATGGCTGGAGAACTTCTAGAAGACAAAAATGCTGGAGGCTATCTGGGCGTTAGTGTGAGAATTTTCTGCTGGAGAATCATTAATTTGTTGTCTTTCTACAATTTAGGCAGTCACTGAGGAGAATATTGCTTCTTTGCAGAAGAGAGTGGTAGAACTAGAGAATGAAAAGGGAGCCTTGCTCCTTAGTTCTATAGAGCTGGAGGAGCTGAAAGCTGAGAATGGTATGTATAAAAGAAAACCATAATTCTCTGTCTTCTTATCCCACAAGTGCCTCTACTTTTATCACTAATTATGTATAACATGTAGAATTCTCTGATTCCGTGATAATAAAGATTTAGATAATAGAGCTGGTAACTATCAAAGATAATACACATTAAACAATTAGAGCATAGTATCAGTGTTTACATAAGTATAACATTTTGCAATATGGACTATACATGCTGCAGGATTTCTTTATAACTCATAATCATTTTGGAATGGTCATCGTATCCTATAGGAAGTATGGCTTGAACAGGACCTTAATAAGATGATTTTTAAAATAGGTAAAATGAAGAAAGAAAGGACATTCTGGTAATAAATTTGTGGGATGAGGTAACAGAGATCAGTATAAAGGTTTAAAGGTAGAAACTATGTTGTGAGTGAGTGGTTTATGCTCGTGCTGTACCCTGCTTAGAATCCTGCTCCTTTCCTTTAGTCTGGATGATTGTTACTCATCTTTCAGGCCTCGACTAGCATATTATCTTTTTCAGGAATTTGGTATTGGTCCCCAAAAGTTGGGTTAAATGATTTTTTTGTGCTTCCATAACATCCTTGTATACTTTTAACATTGTATTAAAATGATCTGTTTATATGTTTGTCTTTTTTACTATATTATAAGCTCTTCAAAGTTTAAATATAAGCTCTTCAAGGGCAGGGGCCATTTTTTTTTCCATCTTTGCTTTACCCAAAACTAGTATACCACCTGGCAAATAATGGCTACTGAATAAAGTTTTGTTGGATTGAACTGAACTTAGCATTTTATCCTATTGGATTGTGTGTGAACAGTTAGTGAGAATGAAGACGTGTCTCCTTCCACTTATCATATGCTTCATGTAGACTTTATGGATTTAGTAGCGTGTCGTTAATGCTTTATTGATCTAATTCATCTTTAACTGACTACTACACTTTATCATCTAGGAGTGAGAATGAATAGCAAGTAAAGGTTGTAAAACTTTTATTAAACTCTAGAGCCAGTATTTCTAACTTAACCATTTTACAGTTTTCCACTTAGATCTAAATGGAAGCTTATGCACTTGTATTAGACGATTCCCACTATTTCTAATAAGTAAAGAACACCACAAATTCAGCTCATTATTTAACCCATTCAGAGCACTTCTTTGAGACCTTATCCATGATGCTTATTTTGCAGTTTTGCAAACAGTCTGTATCCTATCCATGTGGCTTCACATGGTTTGGAGGTATTATATGGGTTCCATTCCTTTGCTCTTTCCTGCAGGGATCACTGACCTTAAGGTTTTCTGTATTGGTTTTTGTGTCTGGCCTCATAGATTACTTTTACCTTGTATGTCATGTTGTTTTCAACTCACCTTTTGCACTGACATTTCTACCACTGTACTCCTTTTTCAAGTAATCTTGTGAAATGTCTGAACATATATACTGTCTTGAATTCCCTTGTCTCATCTATGGTGGCTTTCCTATGTGCCAGGCACTATTCCAGTTGCTGGGTATATAGCTATGAACATATTGGAGGGGAAGACAGACTACAAACCTGTTTATACACATAAGAAAATTTCAGAGAATGATAAGTATTAGGCTTAAAATAAAACAGAGTATTTCAAGTATGCCTTGGAGAAGAGGAACGCAGAATTGGAGTAGTGAGAGTAGGCCTTTCTGAGGACTTTAAACCTGAATGATGAAAAGGGGACAGCCATGCAAAGAGGCTAAGCAGAGAGCATTCCAGGCAGAGAAAAAAGCAGTACAAATGTTCTCAGGTGTGAATGAACTTGATAAGTTTGCAGAAGAGAAAACAGACCAGTGTTTTTAGAGCAGAGTGAACAAAAAGGGGGCAATACAAGAAGAGGAGGTTGGAGAATTAGTAGGGTCAAAGCATGAGGGTTCCTGTAGGTCACATTAAGACATTTGGATACAGTGTAAAAAATATATATATTTTTTTCCTTTGGTGTATCTGTGTTATCTTCTCAGAAAGAATATAAGCTTCTTGAGGATATTGATATTGATGCTCAATATATACACATTGTCACAGAACTTGGGTTAAAACTCTGAAGACTTGGATTCTAATCCCAGCTCCCTGAACTAGCTGCGTAACCTTTCGGGTTGTGTCATTTCTTTGTTTCCTTATATGATCATTGAGGAGATAGGATAGCTCCCTTTTAGTGCTAAAATTTGATATCTTTATGAACATTGAAGAACATTGTAAGTGCTATATTAATGCAAAATATATATTACAAACATAGTAGGATTATGGATAAATTATATGTATTGTCCTAGAAGTTCCAGATTATGCCACAGAAATAGCTGCTTTATGTCCTGCATCCTGGCATCCTTCTCCTTTCAAACCTTCCACTATTTAGTATACTTCATTCAGGTTCATTATCATCACCTAGTACTGTTCTATCTTATATCTCATGTAATCATATCCTCTTGCCACTTCTTTAATAAGGCTTTCACCTCTCCCAAGCTATTTTGTTTATTTTTTAAAAAATTATTTCATACAATTCAAATAGCTTCACATGCAATCCTGTTTTTTCACACACTCCACATATATCTTCTAAAGATATTTATTTTGTGACTTTCAGAAAAACTGTCTTCTCAGATTACTCTCCTAGAGGCTCAGAATAGAACTGGGGAGGCAGACAGAGAAGTCAGTGAGGTAAGTGATGTGTTCTTAATATAACCAGAACATGAGCTAGATTAAGAGAAGGTAGCTTCATATGAAAATACGTCCATAATTTTCTAGTGTTGCCAGAGAAGTACATTACCTATAGAGTAAGATCTATTAAAGAGATTCATAATGGTTATTATATCTCATTTATTGTTACTTGTTTCTGAATATTAAAATTCATTGTTCTAAAGCAACACAAATACAGTAGCTACTAATTTGGGATTTGATAACACATTTTTTTATACTGGGTTATCATCTATCTCAACTTCTTTGTTCATCTCAGAAAAGTTTCTCAGTGAAGAGATTAGATAAGACTGGCATAGTTTTACTAAGATTAAATAAAAAGGGATCTTTGGAGAATGATCCTTTTAATAATCTGAAAATTACTATAAGAAGGGTATGGTTGCTTAGTATCATTCTGTTGATTTAAGAGTATTGTTAGCTGCGTTTTGTTTAGTTAGCTGTGTTTTTCTAATCAGTAAGTCAGTGATAGAATTATACATGCCCTTGAGGAGTAATGTGGCTTCCTAACAAAAGTATCTGCTTACTTTTTAAAAAAAATCAATTAGGAGTTTTATTCTGAAGGAAAAAAAGCTTCTTATGTAAGGAATATCTAGAAAATGAATTCCCAATTTCCTTAGGTCTTATGAATAGGGCTTGACTTCAGTGCAGGATTGGCAGAGTGCCCTTGGAGGTCCAGCTGGGAGATACAAACTGATTTTAAAAGGATTTAGCAGTGTTATGGTACAAAGAAGGTTTTGACCAAAAAGTCTGAAGTTTTAGAAGATGAAATACAAGTTTTTAGTTGGGCTATTTTTTTAATGTTATAAAACATTTGATTACAGCTTTTTTTTTCTTTTTTAAAAATAGATCAGCATTGTTGATATTGCCAACAAGAGGAGCTCTTCTGCTGAGGAAAGTGGACAAGATGTTCTAGAAAACACATTTTCTCAGAAACATAAAGAATTATCAGTTTTATTGTTGGAAATGAAAGAAGCTCAAGAGGAAATTGCATTTCTTAAATTACAGCTCCAGGGAAAAAGGGCTGAGGAAGCAGATCATGAGGTCCTTGACCAGAAAGAAATGAAACAGATGGAGGGTGAGGGAATAGCTCCAATTAAAATGAAAGTATTTCTTGAAGATACAGGGCAAGATTTTCCCTTAATGCCAAATGAAGAGAGCAGTCTTCCAGCAGTTGAAAAAGAACAGGCGAGCACTGAACATCAAAGTAGAACATCTGAGGAAATATCTTTAAATGATGCTGGAGTAGAATTGAAATCAACAAAGCAGGATGGTGATAAATCCCTTTCTGCTGTACCAGATATTGGTCAGTGTCATCAGGATGAGTTGGAAAGGTTAAAAAGTCAAATTTTGGAGCTCGAGCTAAACTTTCATAAAGCACAAGAAATCTATGAGAAAAATTTAGATGAGAAAGCTAAGGAAATTAGCAACCTAAACCAGTTGATTGAGGAGTTTAAGAAAAATGCTGACAACAACAGCAGTGCATTCACTGCTTTGTCTGAAGAAAGAGACCAGCTTCTCTCTCAGGTGAAGGAACTTAGCATGGTAACAGAATTGAGGGCTCAGGTAAAGCAACTGGAAATGAACCTTGCAGAAGCAGAAAGGCAAAGAAGACTTGATTATGAAAGCCAAACTGCCCATGACAACCTGCTCACTGAACAGATCCATAGTCTCAGCATAGAAGCCAAATCTAAAGATGTGAAAATTGAAGTTTTACAGAATGAACTGGATGATGTGCAGCTTCAGTTTTCTGAGCAGAGTACCCTGATAAGAAGCCTGCAAAGCCAGCTGCAAAATAAGGAAAGTGAAGTGCTTGAGGGGGCAGAACGTGTAAGGCATATCTCAAGTAAAGTGGAAGAACTGTCCCAGGCTCTTTCACAGAAGGAACTTGAAATAACAAAAATGGATCAGCTCTTACTAGAGAAAAAGAGAGATGTGGAAACCCTCCAACAAACCATCGAGGAGAAGGATCAACAAGTGACAGAAATCAGCTTTAGTATGACTGAGAAAATGGTTCAGCTTAATGAAGAGAAGTTTTCTCTTGGGGTTGAAATTAAGACTCTTAAAGAACAGCTAAATTTATTATCCAGAGCTGAGGAAGCAAAAAAAGAGCAGGTGGAAGAAGATAATGAAGTTTCTTCTGGCCTTAAACAAAATTATGATGAGATGAGCCCAGCAGGACAAATAAGTAAGGAAGAACTTCAGCATGAATTTGACCTTCTGAAGAAAGAAAATGAGCAGAGAAAGAGAAAGCTCCAGGCAGCTCTTATTAACAGAAAGGAGCTTCTGCAAAGAGTCAGTAGATTGGAAGAAGAATTAGCCAACTTGAAAGATGAATCTAAGAAAGAAATCCCACTCAGTGAGACTGAGAGGGGAGAAGTGGAAGAAGATAAAGAAAACAAAGAATACTCAGAAAAATGTGTGACTTCTAAGTGCCAAGAAATAGAAATTTATTTAAAACAGACAATATCTGAGAAAGAAGTGGAACTACAGCATATAAGGAAGGATTTGGAAGAAAAGCTGGCAGCTGAAGAGCAATTCCAGGCTCTGGTCAAACAGATGAATCAGACCTTGCAAGATAAAACAAACCAAATAGATTTGCTCCAAGCAGAAATCAGTGAAAACCAAGCAATTATCCAGAAGTTAATCACAAGTAACACGGATGCAAGTGATGGGGACTCCGTAGCACTTGTAAAGGAAACAGTGGTGATAAGTCCACCTTGTACAGGTAGTAGTGAACACTGGAAACCAGAACTAGAAGAAAAGATACTGGCCCTTGAAAAAGAAAAGGAGCAACTTCAAAAGAAGCTACAGGAAGCCTTAACCTCCCGCAAGGCAATTCTTAAAAAGGCACAGGAGAAAGAAAGACATCTCAGGGAGGAGCTAAAGCAACAGAAAGATGACTATAATCGCTTGCAAGAACAGTTTGATGAGCAAAGCAAGGAAAATGAGAATATTGGAGACCAGCTAAGGCAACTCCAGATTCAAGTAAGGGAATCCATAGACGGAAAACTCCCAAGCACAGACCAGCAGGAATCGTGTTCTTCCACTCCAGGTTTAGAAGAACCTTTATTCAAAGCCACAGAACAGCATCACACTCAACCTGTTTTAGAGTCCAACTTGTGCCCAGACTGGCCTTCTCATTCTGAAGATGCGAGTGCTCTGCAGGGCGGAACTTCTGTTGCCCAGATTAAGGCCCAGCTGAAGGAAATAGAGGCTGAGAAAGTAGAGTTAGAATTGAAAGTTAGTTCTACAACAAGTGAGCTTACTAAAAAATCAGAAGAGGTATTTCAGTTACAAGAGCAGATAAATAAACAGGGTTTAGAAATCGAGAGTCTAAAGACAGTATCCCATGAAGCTGAAGTCCATGCCGAAAGCCTGCAGCAGAAATTGGAAAGCAGCCAACTACAAATTGCTGGCCTAGAACATCTAAGAGAATTGCAACCTAAACTGGATGAACTGCAAAAACTCATAAGCAAAAAGGAAGAAGACGTTAGCTACCTTTCTGGACAACTTAGTGAGAAAGAAGCAGCTCTCACTAAAATACAGACAGAGATAATAGAACAAGAAGATTTAATTAAGGCTCTGCATACACAGCTAGAAATGCAAGCCAAAGAGCATGATGAGAGGATAAAGCAGCTACAGGTGGAACTTTGTGAAATGAAGCAAAAACCAGAAGAGATTGGAGAAGAAAGTAGAGCAAAGCAACAAATACAAAGGAAACTGCAAGCTGCCCTTATTTCCCGAAAAGAAGCACTAAAAGAAAACAAAAGTCTCCAAGAGGAATTGTCTTTGGCCAGAGGTACCATTGAACGTCTCACCAAGTCTCTGGCAGATGTGGAAAGCCAAGTTTCTGCTCAAAATAAAGAAAAAGATACGGTCTTAGGAAGGTTAGCTCTTCTTCAAGAAGAAAGAGACAAACTCATTACAGAAATGGACAGGTCTTTATTGGAAAATCAGAGTCTCAGCAGCTCCTGTGAAAGTCTAAAACTAGCTCTAGAGGGTCTTACTGAAGACAAGGAAAAGTTAGTGAAGGAAATTGAATCTTTGAAATCTTCTAAGATTGCAGAAAGTACTGAGTGGCAAGAGAAACACAAGGAGCTACAAAAAGAGTATGAAATTCTTCTGCAGTCCTATGAGAATGTTAGTAATGAAGCAGAAAGGATTCAGCATGTGGTGGAAGCTGTGAGGCAAGAGAAACAAGAACTGTATGGCAAGTTAAGAAGCACAGAGGCAAACAAGAAGGAGACAGAAAAGCAGTTGCAGGAAGCTGAGCAAGAAATGGAGGAAATGAAAGAAAAGATGAGAAAGTTTGCTAAATCTAAACAGCAGAAAATCCTAGAGCTGGAAGAAGAGAATGACCGGCTTAGGGCAGAGGTGCACCCTGCAGGAGATACAGCTAAAGAGTGTATGGAAACACTTCTTTCTTCCAATGCCAGCATGAAGGAAGAACTTGAAAGGGTCAAAATGGAGTATGAAACCCTTTCTAAGAAGTTTCAGTCTTTAATGTCTGAGAAAGACTCTCTAAGTGAAGAGGTTCAAGATTTAAAGCATCAGATAGAAGGTAATGTATCTAAACAAGCTAACCTAGAGGCCACCGAGAAACATGATAACCAAACGAATGTCACTGAAGAGGGAACACAGTCTATACCAGGTGAGACTGAAGAGCAAGACTCTCTGAGTATGAGCACAAGACCTACATGTTCAGAATCGGTTCCATCAGCGAAGAGTGCCAACCCTGCTGTAAGTAAGGATTTCAGCTCACATGATGAAATTAATAACTACCTACAGCAGATTGATCAGCTCAAAGAAAGAATTGCTGGATTAGAGGAGGAGAAGCAGAAAAACAAGGAATTTAGCCAGACTTTAGAAAATGAGAAAAATACCTTACTGAGTCAGATATCAACAAAGGATGGTGAACTAAAAATGCTTCAGGAGGAAGTAACCAAAATGAACCTGTTAAATCAGCAAATCCAAGAAGAACTCTCCAGAGTTACCAAACTAAAGGAGACAGCAGAAGAAGAGAAAGATGATTTGGAAGAGAGGCTTATGAATCAATTAGCAGAACTTAATGGAAGCATTGGGAATTACTGTCAGGATGTTACAGATGCCCAAATAAAAAATGAGCTATTGGAATCTGAAATGAAGAACCTTAAAAAGTGTGTGAGTGAATTGGAAGAAGAAAAGCAGCAGTTAGTCAAGGAAAAAACTAAGGTGGAATCAGAAATACGAAAGGAATATTTGGAGAAAATACAAGGTGCTCAGAAAGAACCCGGAAATAAAAGCCATGCAAAGGAACTTCAGGAACTGTTAAAAGAAAAACAACAAGAAGTAAAGCAGCTACAGAAGGACTGCATCAGGTATCAAGAGAAAATTAGTGCTCTGGAGAGAACTGTTAAAGCTCTAGAATTTGTTCAAACTGAATCTCAAAAAGATTTGGAAATAACCAAAGAAAATCTGGCTCAAGCAGTTGAACACCGCAAAAAGGCACAAGCAGAATTAGCTAGCTTCAAAGTCCTGCTAGATGACACTCAAAGTGAAGCAGCAAGGGTCCTAGCAGACAATCTCAAGTTGAAAAAGGAACTTCAGTCAAATAAAGAATCAGTTAAAAGCCAGATGAAACAAAAGGATGAAGATCTTGAGCGAAGACTGGAACAGGCAGAAGAGAAGCACCTGAAAGAGAAGAAGAATATGCAAGAGAAACTGGATGCTTTGCGCAGAGAAAAAGTCCACTTGGAAGAGACAATTGGAGAGATTCAGGTTACTTTGAACAAGAAAGACAAGGAAGTTCAGCAACTTCAGGAAAACTTGGACAGTACTGTGACCCAGCTTGCAGCCTTTACTAAGAGCATGTCTTCCCTCCAGGATGATCGTGACAGGGTGATAGATGAAGCTAAGAAATGGGAGAGGAAGTTTAGTGATGCGATTCAAAGCAAAGAAGAAGAAATTAGACTCAAAGAAGATAATTGCAGTGTTCTAAAGGATCAACTTAGACAGATGTCCATCCATATGGAAGAATTAAAGATTAACATTTCCAGGTAAATGAGTAGTGAATTTTTCCTCCTCCAGAGGTAACTTCAAGCAAAGAAAGTCTCTAAACTATTTCTGTTTCCTTTTAGACAATGGGACTAATTTTGGCATAAATGTCCATGGAAGATATATTCTCTCTCACTTCTGACTTTTTTTTGGCAAACAACAATCCTGCTACAACTGCATGAACATGAAAAGTTCGCATCTTCTCTTCCCATCTTTCTATTGAGAGATTTCTGTACTTCTGTTTTGTTTTGTTTAAGATGGAGTCTTGCTCTTGTCACCCAGGCTGGAATGCAATGGCACGATTTTGGCTCACTGCAACCTCTGCCTCCTGGGTTCAAGCAATTCTCCTGCCTCAGCCTCCCGAGTAGCTGGGATTACAGGAGCCTACCAACACGCCCAGCTAATTTTTTGTATTTTTAGTAGAGAGGGGGTTTCACCATGTTGGCCAGGCTGGTCTCGAACTCCTGACCTCAGGTGATCCACCCACCTCGGCCTCCCAAAGTGCTGGGATTACAGGCATGAGCCATTGCACCTGGCCTCTGTATTTCTTTTCATTTCCATTTCAACTACTCTTGCCTGGATTTTTACCACAGTACTCTCAAATTAATTGTCTAGTCTCGTCTTTTCTTCTTCCTTTAGTCCACATTAATTCATACTGCATATACCTCTTAGAGTTATTTTTTCTCAAATTTCAATTTTCTGTCACTTTTTAATCTATAGAACTAATAATGTCTCTCATCCTTTGTATTCCTTACTTCCAATAGGACCCTTCTGTTCTAAAACAGATTTTCTCACTGTCTTTCATATCAAGATTATCCCTTAGAGAAGCCAAACGTTAGCTTGTCTGGAGCAAAGTAGAATAAAATAGGAGAAAATGTTACTTTTCAGTGTTGAAAACCATGTCACTAAAATAAGTGACATATTTTGGAGTTTATGACTTAAATATATGAACCCTTAAGTATGATATACCTTTAATACATAGCACTCAGTAGATAAACATGTAGGTGCAGAGAATTAATACCTCTTCAGTAAAATATTTAACACCTGTTATGAATGTTAATTCATTTGTAAATCTATTGAGTACATGTTATAGTATTTGTTCCTTGGGAAACACAGTTTTTTTCTTGAAATCTGTAACTAATGACCTTCTCTCTGTTTCAGGCTTGAACATGACAAGCAGATTTGGGAGTCCAAGGCCCAGACAGAGGTCCAGCTTCAGCAGAAGGTCTGTGATACTCTACAGGGGGAAAACAAAGAACTTTTGTCCCAGCTAGAAGAGACACGCCACCTATACCACAGTTCTCAGAATGAATTAGCTAAGTTGGAATCAGAACTTAAGAGTCTCAAAGACCAGTTGACTGATTTAAGTAACTCTTTAGAAAAATGTAAGGAACAAAAAGGAAACTTGGAAGGGATCATAAGGCAGCAAGAGGCTGATATTCAAAATTCTAAGTTCAGTTATGAACAACTGGAGACTGATCTTCAGGCCTCCAGAGAACTGACCAGTAGGCTGCATGAAGAAATAAATATGAAAGAGCAAAAGATTATAAGCCTGCTTTCTGGCAAGGAAGAGGCAATCCAAGTAGCTATTGCTGAACTGCGTCAGCAACATGATAAAGAAATTAAAGAGCTGGAAAACCTGCTGTCCCAGGAGGAAGAGGAGAATATTGTTTTAGAAGAGGAGAACAAAAAGGCTGTTGATAAAACCAATCAGCTTATGGAAACACTGAAAACCATCAAAAAGGAAAACATTCAGCAAAAGGCACAGTTGGATTCCTTTGTTAAATCCATGTCTTCTCTCCAAAATGATCGAGACCGCATAGTGGGTGACTATCAACAGCTGGAAGAGCGACATCTCTCTATAATCTTGGAAAAAGACCAACTCATCCAAGAGGCTGCTGCAGAGAATAATAAGCTTAAAGAAGAAATACGAGGCTTGAGAAGTCATATGGATGATCTCAATTCTGAGAATGCCAAGCTAGATGCAGAACTGATCCAATATAGAGAAGACCTGAACCAAGTGATAACAATAAAGGACAGCCAACAAAAGCAGCTTCTTGAAGTTCAACTTCAGCAAAATAAGGAGCTGGAAAATAAATATGCTAAATTAGAAGAAAAGCTGAAGGAATCTGAGGAAGCAAATGAGGATCTGCGGAGGTCCTTTAATGCCCTACAAGAAGAGAAACAAGATTTATCTAAAGAGATTGAGAGTTTGAAAGTATCTATATCCCAGCTAACAAGACAAGTAACAGCCTTGCAAGAAGAAGGTACTTTAGGACTCTATCATGCCCAGTTAAAAGTAAAAGAAGAAGAGGTACACAGGTTAAGTGCTTTGTTTTCCTCCTCTCAAAAGAGAATTGCAGAACTGGAAGAAGAATTGGTTTGTGTTCAAAAGGAAGCTGCCAAGAAGGTAGGTGAAATTGAAGATAAACTGAAGAAAGAATTAAAGCATCTTCATCATGATGCAGGGATAATGAGAAATGAAACTGAAACAGCAGAAGAGAGAGTGGCAGAGCTAGCAAGAGATTTGGTGGAGATGGAACAGAAATTACTCATGGTCACCAAAGAAAATAAAGGTCTCACAGCACAAATTCAGTCTTTTGGAAGGTCTATGAGTTCCTTGCAAAATAGTAGAGATCATGCCAATGAGGAACTTGATGAACTGAAAAGGAAATATGATGCCAGTCTGAAGGAATTGGCACAGTTGAAAGAACAGGGACTCTTAAACAGAGAGAGAGATGCTCTTCTTTCTGAAACCGCCTTTTCAATGAACTCCACTGAGGAGAATAGCTTGTCTCACCTTGAGAAACTTAACCAACAGCTCCTATCCAAAGATGAGCAATTGCTTCACTTGTCCTCACAACTAGAAGATTCTTATAACCAAGTGCAGTCCTTTTCCAAGGCTATGGCCAGTCTGCAGAATGAGAGAGATCACCTGTGGAATGAGCTGGAGAAATTTCGAAAGTCAGAGGAAGGGAAGCAGAGGTCTGCAGCTCAGCCTTCCACCAGCCCAGCTGAAGTACAGAGTTTAAAAAAAGCTATGTCTTCACTCCAAAATGACAGAGACAGACTAGTGAGTAGCTAGTTCTTTCTTTCTGATCTGTTTAAGAGTTTTTGAACCTTTCTTTAAATTTATTTTTATAGAAAAGGATAAACACATTCTTATACATATTATCTGGGAACGCAGGGAAAGTATTATGTATCCCACAGGTTCTGTTTGGTCTTAGAGAAGCACAGAAACATGATTTAAATTGCTAAACCTGCCAATACCATTAGAAAAAAAATCAGAAATTTCCTTGGCACAAAACTCTCCATTGGTTATAAAAGGACTAAGAGGTGGAGAACTGTTTTATATATTTTATATACACAAAGACATGTGTAAATGTTTCCAGAATTTGTCATAGCTTAACTGAAAGAAAGTAAAAGGATCACTTAGTGCCTTCTTACAGTGAAGTATAAGGATCATTTAGTGTCTTGTTTACAATTTAGCAATAGATTATCTGGTAGAATTTGGAGCAGAAAGGACTCAGTTCATCTCATGGGTAACTCAACCCTAATTTGTCAAAAATAAAAAAAAGTGACGTAAAAAGAGTTCCTTTAAATAAGTTGAAATGACTTTTTAGTAAAGTTTTATTTGCAGGCTGAACCATTTACCCACTTCCTTTTAATACCCAACATTTCCAATGGGAGAAAAAGCTAAAGAGGCTTCCTAATGCTGACATTTGACAGCTTTTAGTAGGAGTCAGGAGTTTAATCCAGGTCTCCCAAGATTCAGGGGCAAAACTGGAACTGTATGAGCCAAGCCAGGTTGTCAGGATTCTACTGCTCCTAGGCTCAAGCAGTCCTCCTGCCTCAGCCGCCCAAGTAGCTGGGATTACAGGCATGAGCCACCACTCTTGGCTTGTTAGGGGATTCTACTTGGCAACATTACTGTCTTCACTTTCATGATAGTCTGTTAACTCTATCAAGGCTTTGTATTTGTAGGAAAATAGGCCAAATAGGAAATAAATGGAGTTTTGAAAGGCTAGGCTTTCCATTTTGAAATGTGACCCATACCCAGAATCTGAAAATTCTAATTTTTTTTTTTTTTTTTTAATTGATCATTCTTGGGTGTTTCTCACAGAGGGGGATTTGGCAGGGTCATAGGACAATAGTGGAGGGAAGGTCAGCAGATAAACAAGTGAACAAAGGTCTCTGGTTTTCCTAGGCAGAGGACCCTGCGGCCTTCCGCAGTGTTTGTGTCCCTGGGTACTTGAGATTAGGGAGTGGTGATGACTCTTAACGAGCATGCTGCCTTCAAGCATCTGTTTAACAAAGCACATCTTGCACCGCCCTTAATCCATTTAACCCTGAGTGGACACAGCACATGTTTCAGAGAGCACAGGGTTGGGGGTAAGGTCACAGATCAACAGGATCCCAAGGCCGAAGATTTTTTCTTAGTACAGAACAAAATGAAAAGTTTCCCATGTCTACTTCTTTCTACACAGACATGGCAACCATCCGATTTCTCAATCTTTTCCCCACCTTTCCCCCCTTTCTATTCCACAAAACCGCCATTGTCATCATGGCCCGTTCTCAATGAGCTGCTGGGTACACCTCCCAGACGGGGTGGCGGCCGGGCAGAGGTGCCCCTCACCTCCCGGACGGGGCGGCTGGCCGGGCGGGGGGCTGACCCCCCCACCTCCCTCCCGGACGGGGCGGCTGGCTGGGCGGGGGGCTGACCCCCCCACCTCCCTCCCGGAGGGGGTGGCTGCCGGGCGGAGACGCTCCTCACTTCCCAGACGGGGTGGTTGCCAGGCCAAGGGGCTCCTCACTTCTCAGATGGGGCAGTTGCCAGGCGGAGGGTCTCCTCACTTCTCAGACGGGGCGGCTGGGCAGAGATGCTCCTCACCTCCCAGACGGGGTCGCGGCCGGGCAGAGGCGCTCCTCACATCCCAGACGGGGCGGCGGAGCAGAGGCGCTCTCCACATCTCAGACGATGGGCAGCCGGGCAGAGACGCTCCTCACTTCCTAGATGGGATGGCGGCCGGGCAGAGACGCTCCTCACTTTCCAGACTGGGCAGCCAGGCAGAGGGGCTCCTCACGTCCCAGACGATGGGCGGCCAGGCAGAGACGCTCCTCACTTCCCAGACGGGGTGGCGGCGGGGCAGAGGCTGCACTCTCGGCACTTTGGGAGGCCAAGGCAGGCGGCTGGGAGGTGGAGGTTGTAGCAAGCCGAGATCACACCACTGCACTCCAGCCTGGGCACCATTGAGCACTGAGTGAACCAGACTCCGTCTGCAATCCCGGCACCTCGGGAGGCCGAGGTTGGCGGATCACTCGCGGTTAGGAGCTGGAGACCAGCCCGGCCAACACAGCGAAACCCCGTCTCCATCCAAAAAATACGAAAACCAGTCAGGCGTGGCGGCGCGCGCCTGCAATCGCAGGCACTCGGCAGGCTGAGGCAGAAGAATCAGGGAGGGAGGTTGCAGTGAGCCGAGATGGCAGCAGTACAGTCCAGCTTTGGCTCGGCATCAGAGGGAGACCGTGGAAAGAGAGGGAGAGGGAGACCATGGGGAGAGAGAGAGGGAGAGGGAGAGGGAGAGCGAAAATTCTAATTTTTAAGATGAGCTCTAGTGAAAAGATTATTACCCCTAACTGTAGAGTGAGTTTTTCCTTTTTATTGTAGGTAATTGTATTCATTCCTATCTCACTTAATATCCCATATTTATAGACAGTCTTTCCCCTTTTGTAATCCGAACAAAGCCTCTCTGTTCAGTTATGGTTTTTACTTCCAACATACACATACTTGTTTATATTTTTTAAATAATTTGAGTTTAGCTGACTTTGCCCTGGGAGCTTGGCCTTTTGTCTGTCTTTTCAGACCGTAAATGCAAAAGGTTCTATTCATCAGGATGGTATGTGCCTCAAAGCTGTAATTTATGATATGCTGGTATTGATTATCTTCTAAGTCAAAATCTTTTTTCATGGAGCTGTTAGGATAGATTCTGAATTAGCTAACTATGTTTAATTCAGTGAATTGCTTTATTATTCTTATCTGTTATAAACACTAGGCACTAAACTTTGCACATTTTTGTCTGCTGGATAGTTACAGCCAAGCCAACTTTTTTATTTTCGTGTTTCTGTAATTCAGAGTCATATTATTCTGTTCCCAAATGCTCATAACTGTGATTTTATTTTAACCATCAAGATGTATCACTCCTTTATTCACAGTGTGCCTCAAGTATTTTTATTTTCCATCTTCAACATCCTAAGATAAGCTCTAACACTTTACCCTTAAACTGTTCTAATAATGTTGCTTCCAGGTTATCATCTCACCAGTATTTTCAGACCATCACCATATAAGTCTTTCTGAAACTCTACTGTATTACTGCACTACTCAAAAATATTTAAAAGTTGTACTATCTCTAGAATAGACTTAGTATTCAAACCCCCTTTAGTCTGGCATTTAAGACCCTGTTTTTTTGTTTGTTTGTTTTTTGAGATGGAGTCTTGCTCTCTCACCCAGGCTGGAGTGCAGTGGTGCAATCTTGGCTCACTGCAACCTCCGCCTCCCAGGTTCAAGCAATTCTCCTGCCTCAGCCTCCCAAGTAGCTGGGACTACACCATGCCTAGCTAATTTTTGTATTTTTAGTAGAGATGGGGTTTCACCATATTGGCCAGGCTGGTCTTAAACTCCTGGTCTCAAGTGATCCACCTGCCTCGGCTCCCAAAGTGCTGGAATTACAGGCGTGAGCCACCACACCTGGCCAAGACCCTGTAATTTATCCATACCTTTCCAGCGTTCCCTTTTACTGCTCCCTACTCATACCCTTCATTCACACCAAACTGATCTACTCAGTATGCAATAATCACACCTGGTACTTCCTACTTACCCATATTATCTTCAGCAGCCAAAATGTTCTCCCAATTGCTTTCCTTTTTTGAGTGTCTATTTCCCACTATTTAAAGGTCATTCCAGAGCTCAGATCCTCTTCTTACATTTCGTGATTGCCTGATTGTCTTTTGCCTTTGTACTTCCCTAGTATTTTACTTATCATTTGTCCCATATTGCCTTATTGTGTGTGTGTGTGTGTGTATATGTTTAATTTCTGTACACTATTTTTTATTTCCCCAATTAGATTGCAAACTCCTGGTAAGTGTCATGTCTTATACTTATTTGTACATCTTTAGCATAGAACTGACTAAGCAGATGACATATCTCTAGGGGTGCCTGTATTTATCTATACTCTCCTCATTCTGAAAATGACTTGGGGTAGCATATAAAGATATAAACAATTTTTCAAGATAAAATAAAAGGGACTGAGAAGGAGGAGAAAAAGAGGATAGGCTAGAAAAAGATCAAACCAGGAGTAAGGTTAGTGTCCCAAGGGGAAGTCACCATATCCTGTACTGTGTTAGAAAGAGGGATCCATAGTTTGCTCTGAGGTTTCTATTAGCCATCAGAAAGAGGGAATGAAAACCGCATGCATGAACTGCAGTATTTATAGTCTAGGAGAAAAGGAGAAAGAAAAATCACCTACTCAAGACAAGAATAGTCTTTAAGTATTGAGGCCTGTAAGAAATTTCTTCTGTGTTCCCATAAAGAGAACACTGTGCAGTTGTGAAACATCCATTACTTCTCTACAGTAAATATAATAATGTGTTTTTTAGGGTTTTTATTTAGCTGTCCCTTAATGTAAGTGCAGAGCAAAAGAATTACGTCCAGTTCACTAAAACTACCACTCCAAGGAGCTAAAATGCAGTCCCAGGCACACAGCTTTCTGATGGTCCATTCTAGGATACCTCTAGTCTAGTATCTAGACTAGAGGAGTGAGTGGATTGCATAAAGGAATATGTTTTTACCTTAAATCAAAACAAAAATATGTTTTGGGGTTTGGGTTAAAAATAAAGTTATATGACCCATATTTAATTAGTCACTAAATTCTACAATGTTTGGTGGGAAAAGCTAAGAGTAGCACTACCTCAACCCCATTTCTTCTGAGGCAATTTGCTTTCAACCCTTTTAGCTTATTCTTTCAGTATTTCCTGTGTATGTAAATATCATGCTTATATTGCATTTTTGGCTCTTTGTTGCATCAACTATTGATTTTCTTTACACTAACAGGGTTTAGCTCTCTGTACTCTCCCTGCTTTCACAGTAAACCCTGTTAGTGTATGCACTTTTTATTTATTTATTTATTTATTTATTTATTTATTTATTTATTTAGAAACAGAGTCTCGCTCTGTTGCCAGGCTGGAGTGCAGTGGCGCCATCTCAGCTCACTGCACCCTCCACCTCCCGGGTTCAAGCGATTCTTCTGCCTCAGCCTCCCGAGTAGCTGGGACTACAGGTGCACGCCACCTTGCCCGGCTAATTTTTGTATTTTTAGTAGAGACAGGGTTTCACCATGTTGGCCAGGGTGGTCTCAATCTTTTGACCTCGTGATCCACCTGCCTCAGCCTCCCAAAGTGTTGGGATTACAGGCGTGAGCCACTGCACCCGGCCAGTGTGTGCACATTTTAATACAAACCCCTTCCTCATTTTCTTGATGTAATTTAATTTTAATTTTGGTTAAATCAATTCAGAGTTACATTTTTTATGACTACAAATGCTACTAGAGCGTTAGAGACATGTTACTTTTATTTTCCTGAGTCTTTCTGTTTTTCCCAGATTAATAAGTTTTTGTTATTGTTGTTCCTTAGTTTTCTTTGTACTTAATGTAATTTAACCTCAGATTTACTGCCATTTGTCCACATCTCCTTTCAAGATGTTTATTCCCATCAATTTCATCTTCAGGAAGAAAATTCTCCTGGAGTACCTGATTTGCTCCTATATCAACCAGTGGCCCTGTACTCCTAGGATACCCTTTCTATCCCAGAATATTTCCCTTTACCTTTCTCCTATATTAGATCTCCTATTTTGTCTATTCTATGTATTCCTTTTCTTGGTTTTGTGCCATCTTTTTCCTGGAATAAATCATTCAGTAGATCCCTAAGAAATGGTATGTGGAAGGTAAATTTATTGAAAATGTCTTTTTATCTCTCTTATCTGATTGATAGTTTTGCTGGATATAGAATTCTAGGCTGAAAATAATTTCCCTTCAAAATTGTGAAGACATTGGTTTATTGCTTTTTAGCTTATATGTGGTTCACAAGTCTAAAGCTATTCTGATTCCTGATCCTTTGTATGTGATCTGTTTCTCACTTCCCTTCCCCTCACCCCACCTTCCCTCCCTTTCTCCCCTATTCTGAAATTTTTTGATAGTATAATTTGGTATAGGTCTTTTTTTCTTCATCATGCTAACTAGTCCTTTGAATCTAAGAAATCATACTAGCAGCTTTTTGGAAATTTCATTAAATTATTTTTTACCATTTTCCTCTATCCTTTTTCTCTGTTGTCTTATTTCTGAAATGTTTGTTATTTAGATGTAGGACCTTCTTGATTGCTTCTCTAATTTTCTTAACTTTTCCCTTTTTTTTTTTTTTTGCTGTATTTCTGGAAGATTTTCTTGCCTTCGTCTTTTGATTCCAACATTTTTTTCATTTTTGCCATTATATTCTTAATTTCTAAGGATTTTTTTTCTGTGTCTCATAGACAGATTTTCTTGTTTTTTTTTTTTTTTTTTTTTTTTTGAGACGGCGTCTCGCTCTGTCATCCAGGCTGGAGTGCAATGGCATGATCTTGGCTTACTGCAACCTCCGCCTCCTGAATTCAAGCGATTCTCCTGCCTCAGCCTAATGAGTAGCTGGGACTATAGGCTCCCGCCACCACGCCCAGCTAATTTTTATATTTTTAACAGAGACAGGGTTTCACCATGTTGGCCAGGATGGTCTCGATCTCTTGACCTCGTGATCTGCCCACCTCGGCCCCCCAAAGTGCTGGGATTACAGGCATGAGCCACCGTCCCCGGCCGGTAGATTTTCTTCTCTTTCTAAGGCTAATGGTGGTAGTTTTGTTTTTTGACGTTTTCTTATAATGAGTTTTTCTTTATAATTTTTAATTTATGCTGTAATGTTTCTTATTTACAATGTTATCTCTTAAATCTTTGAGTACATTACATTTTCTCCCCTGATAATCTCTTCTAAATTACCTTCTCTAGTTGGTTTTCTTCCCTTCCTTAATGTTAGCCATTCTTCAGGTGAAGGTTAATCCTCAATGTACTCTTCATGTTTAAGGGGAGGGTCTAAAACCTTGTGGGTAGGACTTACCAACGGAGTTTCATTGCATGATGATCTTATTGAGCTTATTGGTAGCCCTTATCTCAGTATCTTTAGTTTTTCTTGGGCTGGTCAGATTTTCAAGAGAAGACTTTTCATTTCCTTTGTGGAGGGAAAAGGCCTTTTACCAGCACTCTTCAAGCTCAGTAGGGGAAAGACTTCAAGCACTCAGGAAGCATGCATTCACTTTATTTGGAACAATACCCTTACTTGTAACTGTGCCTCAGGTGCCATAGTCCACAGAGACTTCTTTTACCTGTCCAGAGAATAAAATTAGTTGTCTGTTGGGGTAACAAAAAGTGTGGAGCTGAAGAGGGTACCTATAAATGAAGTTGTTTTCTGGCCGGGCGCAGTGGCTCACGCCTGTAATCCCAGCACTTCGGGAGGCCAAGGTGGAGGGATCACTTGAGTCCAGGAGTTTGAGACCAGCCTGGGCAACATACTGAGACTCCGTCTCTCCAAAAAAAAAAAAAAAAAAAAAAAAAAAAATTAAAAGAAATTGCTTCTTAAGCAGCTTTCATCTAGACCTCCTTATCTCAGCTATCACCTCCCTCCCACCCCCATCACCATCTTTTCCAGAGGTGCCTGATGCTGTTAATTCCTGAGCCTTTTGAAGATTCTGCAGAGTAAGTTCCACTGATTCTTGGATTTTCTTACTACCAGCTTTAGATTCTGCTTTCTCAGATCTGTTAAGTCAGTTACCACTTACTCATCTGCTTTTCAGCTTCCAAAATTAATTTTATTGCTGCTGATTCCTCTATTGTTTTTCCTGTTCTTGTGTTTTGTGCTTTAAAAAATGCTATTATTTTAGCTTTAGCGATGTCTCTAAGTGGGTGAAAGAGGTATGTGAACAAGACCCCCATCTTTGCCCAGATGTCCTGATATTATTTCTCCCTTACTAAGCTTTTAATGAGTATTGGAGATAAAGAAGTTGAAAATATATCTGAAATGTAGGTAGGCAGTGTTGTTAATTAAAGGCAAGTCTGTCATCATCACTAACTTTATGTGTGAAGTGCATTAATTTGCTCATTTACTTCTCATATTCTTATGAAAAAGGTACTATAATTATCTTCATTTAATAGATGAGGAAAATTAGCCTGGGCAACAGAGCAAGACTCCCTCTCAAAAAAAAAAGAAGAGTATGAGGAACATGCATTGGGTCACACGTCCAAGAAGTAGTAGGATATCTAACTCCAGAGCCTAAGTGTCCTTAACCACTGAGCAGCACTGCCTTCTTTATAATCAGTATCCGCTAAGCTACAGTTAAGATTGATAGCCCTGTAGGAAAGTTAAGAACCCTAACAAGGACACATGACTAGTTCTTGTTTTAGGATGTGACCACCCACAGTGAAGCTCTAGGTCTCTTAAGTCTACCCCACGTCAGAATTGTAGCCCTAAAGTGAACTTAGGACCTTAGGAGCCAGGGGAAGGAGTAGAAGTTGCAGGAATAGTCACACCCTGTAGCCTTGATGGCAGCTCCATGGGTGATTTCCACCAGCCTAGCTGCATGTATTTCACTACTTTAGAGACTTATGTTGCAGTGATATGTCATCAGTGGACTGTTAGGTGCTGGTTTCATGTTGTGGTGTCTGACTACTTAGTAGGGAGCTACCAATGACTTACAGTTAGATGAATGAGATGTGACAAATAATCATTTTACTTTCCCTTTGGTTAAAGCTGAAGGAATTGAAGAATCTGCAGCAGCAATACTTACAGATTAATCAAGAGATCACTGAGTTACATCCACTGAAGGCTCAACTTCAGGAGTATCAAGATAAGACAAAAGCATTTCAGATTATGCAAGAAGAGCTCAGGCAGGAAAACCTCTCCTGGCAGCATGAGCTGCATCAGCTCAGGTACTATATATAATCCCTCCTTTTCAACTCTTTTCATTTTAACTTTTTATTTTGAAATAATTGTAGATTTGGGAAAATAGTGCAGAGAGCTTCTATGTACCCTTCACCCAGTTTCTTCCAGTGGTGACATCTTACATAACTGTAGCACAGTATCAAAACCAGGAAACTGCCATTGGTACAATTCGCGGACCACATTCAGATTCCACCAGTTTTACATGCACTGATTTGACTATCTGTGTGTGTGGTTCTATGCAATTTTGTGACATGTATATTTAAGCACCACCAAAACCAAAATACAGAGCTACTCCATCACCACAAATACGTCCTTTGTGCTACTAGTTTATAGTCACATTCCTCCCTTCCCTACCTTCCTCACATCCTTAACCCCTAGCAACCACTAATCTGTGTTCAATTTTGTCATTTTGAGAATGTTTTCTAACTGGAATCTTGCAGTATATAACCCTTTGAAATTGGCTTTTTTCATGTGCCATAATGCCCTTGAGATCCATCAGTTTTGTTGTATGTATCAATAGTTCATTCTTTTCAGTATAAATAATGTTTCATATTATGAATATACCACTGTATTCACCTGTTGAAGGACATGCATATTGTTTTTAATTTTTAGCTATTCTAATAATACTACTATGAACATTTGTGTATAAGTTTTTGTGTGGACCTAAGTTTTCATTTCTTTGGGATAATTGCCCAGGAGTGCAAATGCTAGCTCATACAATAAGTGAATGTTTTGTTTTTTAAGAAACTGCAAAACCACTTTGCATAATGGCTGAACATCTTTTTAATGTGTGTATTTGACATCCATATATCCTCTTTGATGAAATATCTGTTCATGTCTTTTGTCCGTTTTCTAATTGGGTTAATTTTTTACTGTTAAGTTTTAAGCGTTCTTTATATATTATAGGTATGCATTCTGTGTTTGATTTGCGGTTTGCAAATATTTTTTCCCAATTTGCAGTTTATCTTTTCATCTCCCTCAACAGGGTCTTTTTAATTTTGATGAAATCCAATTTATTATTTTCTCTTTATCATTCAGATTTGGTATTTTCTATTTGATTTTCAAGTTCTCTGCTTCCTACCTCCATTCTGCTATGGCACCCAGTGAGTTAGCTTTTTATTTTGGATATTGTATTTTTCAGTTCTAAAATTTCCATTCAGTTCTTCTTTATATCTTCTATTTCTTTGCTGAAGCTTTCTATACTTTTTCCAGTATGTTAGTAATCGCTTGTTTAAGCATTTCTATGACAGCTGCTGTAAAATCCTTGTCATATAATTCTAATATTTGTGTCACCTCAGTGTTATAAACTGTTGATTTCCTTTTCTTAATCAAGTTGTGGTTTTCCTGGTTCTTGGTATGATGAGTGATTTTTAGTTACATTCTGGACATTTTGGAGATTATAAGACTTTCAGTCTTATTTGAATCTTCTGTGTTAGCAGGCTTCACTGACACCACACCGGCAGGGGAAGGAAGACACTAGGTGGATGGTGAACTCCAGGCACCCCATTCAACTTTCGTTGATACCCCTAAAAGGAAGGGATGCCCTGATACTGCCAGGAGGAAGTGGAAGTCCATGCTCCCCACATGGCCTCCATTGATACTGTGCTGGAAGGAGTGGAGAGGGGCACCTCATTATTGCCAGGTGGTGGTAAAAGTCCAGGCTATCCGCTTAGCCTCCACTGACACTATGGGGAATGGTTAAGAGGGGCATCTTGTTACCACTGGGTAGTACTCAAAGTCCAGAATCCCCACTTGATCTCTTCTGATACCACCTCTGCAGGGACAAGGAAGAGTGCCTTATTAACCTTGTTATGGTGGAGGGGGATGTCCAGGCCCCACATGTTGCCTCCACTGATACCACAGTGGGAGTGGGGGAGGAGGGGCAGTCGGAGAGAGGCACCTTCTTAGCACTAGGTGATTGTAAGAGTCCAAGCTCCATACCTGGCCTTTTCTGACACTACTCCAGTAAGGAGGGTGAGGTGTACCTTGTTACCACCAGCCAAGAATGTACCTAGCTTATCTACCAGGTCTTTGTTAATGGGAGTGGTGAGATACTGTGTTTTTTCCATGTTGTTTGCCTGGAGTATGGTGGTTAGTATCATTAATGGCTCTGTCTAGCTAGACTGTCCCTTCCTGGTCCTTTGGCAAGACTGAGTAAACTTGGTACTCATTGGTGTTTCCGGGTCATGGAATTCTCCAGTATCCGGTTTGGGATATGCAGAATACAAATGGTAAACCAAAGAACTTGCCACCATGTCATTCCTCAAGTCTGGGGATCCCTAGCTGGTTTGCCACCATCTTTCTAAATTTTCTTATGTTTGTTTTTATTTATAAGGCCCAAGAGTTTTATCTATGCAGGTTAAGTATTCCTTATCTGAAATGCTTGGGATTGGAAGTGTTTTGGATTGCGGATTTTTTTGGATTTTGGAATATTTGCATTATCTAATGAGCATTTCCTTTGAGTGTCATGTCAGTGCTCAAAAAGTTTTGGATTTTGAAGTATTTCTGATTTTCTGATTAGGGTTGCTCAGCCTTAGTTGGAAGAATAAGGAGAAATGTGTCTATTTTATTTTGTCTAGAACCAGAAATCCTAGCTCTTTTCTTTTTAAGGAACAGAACAATAATAATGCTATCATGGCAGAAGAAATTAAGATAGGAGCTATAATTCTGATTTTTTTTTTAATTCAGTTTTTCTGACAAATTTAATCCCAAGATTAAACACTTAGTGTATAAAAACAGGTCTAGTTGTTGCAGCCTCATTTTTGGGAGGTTGTTACTGTTTAACTTAAGATGGTTCATGCTGCCTTAATAAATTCATACTTGGCTGGGTGCGGTGGCTCACACCTGTAATCCTAGCACTTTGGGAGGCCAAGGCAGGTAGATCATGTGAGGTCAGGAGTTTGAGACCAGCCTGGCCATCTCTACCAAAAATACAAAAATTAGCTGGGCATGGTGGCGTGCGCCTGTAATCCCAGCTGCTTGGGAGACTGAGGCAGGAGAATTGCTTGAACCCGGGAGGTGGAGGTTGCAGTGAGCCAACATCATGCCACTGCACTCTAACCTGGGCAACAGAGTGAGACCCTGTTTCAAAAAAAAAAAAAATTCAAAAAGCTTTCAAGATTTGATATTAAAAGGAGAATTACCATGTTGGACATTGCTGCTGATCAAGCAGCACCTGCTTTGTTTCACCAATGCTAGAGGACAAGAGGCAAATGAATACAGAAAATATGAGTTGGAATCTCAATTTCTATCCAGCTTACAAGGGGCCATTAGAATGACAACTGTCAATATAGTATAAATATCATAACATCTCTAAGAGAGTTCTTAATGTTCAGACACAGGAGATTTCAAACCTTAAGCAACATTGATATAGCAAAATGCTTTTTGGAATTTAATGATTTAAACTTTATGGAGTAAAATTACATCTAAAAGATTTTCATATTTAACATCTTTATGGACTTGATTATAAGTGAACATTTATCAAGCTCATTGCATGGAGTTGGCAGCTTCCCCAGATAATACAAGAACAAATTTTTTGTTTAAACAAATGATGATGATTGCAGAGCAAGTAAAAAGAAAATGGCAAAACAACTGAGTTTTGCTCTCTAGAAATATAAATTTGTTTCTTCTTTTGAAATTGAATCTCAAGAGAAAAGATAAATTGCTCCATTTTAACCTCCATTTTTCTTCAGGGAATAGCACCCCAGCTTTATTCTGTTAGAATCTTAATTTATCATCAGAAGTTTAGGTGCTTGCTGTGTCCTTCAGATGCACTTGAATTTAGGGCCCTCCAAAGGTGATTGGTACCGTATCAGAGCATCGCTTGATGCCTCTCATCTTATCTCCACATCACCTAGAACTACAGAAATATTAAAGTGTTCAGCTACTAGTGTAAACCTAAGAAGAGCTGCAAAGCTCTAAAGGCTTATTTCCTGCAGCCTTTCTTCTTTAAATTTCCTCTAATGGCAATCTAAAAGGATATTTATTTTCCTTATTTCCTTATATAATTGACCCTTAGGGAAGAGAAAAGGAGATAGAGAAAAAAAGATTCCTGTTTTTTCCCCCACATTTTCTCTCTTTCCACCTTTTTCTTAGCCTTTCTTTCTTTACCTTCCAGATTTGAGTAACTTTGAAGATAAGCAAAGTGCTGAGGTTACAGGTGCGAGCTACCATGCCCAGTTACAAGTATATTTTTACCTGTGATTGTGTCATGTTTTTTCTAGGATGGAGAAGAGTTCCTGGGAAATACATGAGAGGAGAATGAAGGAACAGTACCTTATGGCTATCTCAGATAAAGATCAGCAGCTCAGTCATCTGCAGAATCTTATAAGGGAATTGAGGTCTTCTTCCTCCCAGACTCAGCCTCTCAAAGTGCAATACCAAAGACAGGTGAGTAATTTCAATGCTGATTGTTACTCAGAGATAAATTTTTAAACAAATGATGATGATTGCAGGGTTTTGTTTTTTTTTTAAGACGCTACCCAGAAAGCATCAGCTTCCTACAAATTAAGTGCCCATCTGCCACTATTAAGTGCCCATAAGCCACCTTATGACTTCTATGGGGCGGACAGGATTTCTAGAGGGAAGGAATTAAGCATGCGCAATCTTAGGAGAGAATCTGATCAATGTTTGTGTCCTGGCAGGCATCCCCAGAGACATCAGCTTCCCCAGATGGGTCACAAAATCTGGTTTATGAGACAGAACTTCTCAGGACCCAGCTCAATGACAGCTTAAAGGAAATTCACCAAAAGGAGTTAAGAATTCAGCAACTGAACAGCAACGTAAGTGTTTCTTGTTAGACTGGAATTCAGTTTCTTTTTTCCATGACTGGAACAAGAAGGCAAGTAGAAGCCAATTCAGCATAGAGTCCCAGCTGTAGCATATCTTAGGGTACAGAAGTTTCACCTTTCTCAGAACCTGGGTGCTTATTCCAAAGCACTGGACACAGGGCCATTTCTTGTCCTTTGCCCTTGGTGAGTCCTTGGGAATGATTGGATAAATCCAGACAGTAAAAGTAAAGAAGCCAACTACTTTAGGAAGCCTTCCCCCTGACCTGTATCACTTGTAGTAATGCTGAGGCTACTCCCTACCCCACCCTCTTAAGAATTGTCCTCCTGTTGTTCACTGACTATTCAAAATATTCTTTAGTGGCACCTGCCCTAGTTCTGCCCTCTTGAGAGGAACTCAGCTAAGTAGTCTATGATAGAACTACAAGATATTTAGAGATCAATCAGAATCAGAAGTCCAGAGATTAGCTTTGAGGAGAGCCAAGAATGCCCAAAAATTGTATGCACAATAGTGTGTGTGTGCGTAAGCTTTTCATCACAAGAACTCATCAGTTGACCAAGGGGTCTGTGATCCAAAAATTAAAAAGATCACTAGGCTGTTTTCACAGATGAGGAAAAAGGCCCTGGAGTAGTAAGTAACTTGCCTGAGGTGTTAGGACGAAGTCAGTCTGAAATAAACGTGATCATGCATGTGGAAAAGCACAGTGCCTGCATATGTAGAGGGTACTTATTAAATGTAGTTAAATTCAACTAATTGACACTGAAGTATCAGAGAGGAGACATTTGCAGTTTTTAAAGTCTGCAGGCCCAAATGAATTAGTTAAACTGTAGACTCTTTATTGGTAGATTTGTCTGGGAGTTTTCAAAGGGACTCCAGAGCAGCTCCCATGGAGTTCCCCTTCCAGCAAATCAGCTATTTCCGGAAGTTCCACCCTTTACAGCTCTAGCCTGTCTCTTTTTTCCGTCAACTAACTCCCGTCTCAGGCCTGTTACATTTGCTCTCCAAACATTAGACTCTGAATCACATTGGGCATTTGTCTGTCTAGGACAGTGTTTTAAACTGAAATTCAGGACCATTAATAAATGATGAAATCATTTTGGTGGGCAACAACTAAAAAAAATTTTTAATGTTTTATTGAAGTAAAACATACAGAAAAGTAAACAAATCATAAGTACAGCATGATATATTTTCACAAAGTGAAGATACCCATATAATCAGCACCCAGATCTAGAATCAGAACATACCAGAACTCCAGAAGTCCCTTGTGTCTTCTGTTCACTCCTACCCACTTAGAACTACATATAAATGGAGTCATACCTTTTCTTTTATATTGCTTCATTTATTTTGTGAGATTCATCCATGTCGTTGCATATAGTGTCATTTTTCCACTCTCATGCTGTGTAGTATTGCATTTTAGGCATATACCACAATCTCTATTCTGTTGAAGGACATTTGGGCTTCTCCAGTTTGGGGCTATTACAAATAGTGCAGTTGGTGTTTTTACAAAAAAAAGAAATGAGGTAAAAACACGTATGTAATATATAATAAAGAATATGTCTGTCTTTGGAAAACTTTAGTTTTAATTGTATATATTTATATACTGGGTTCTAAGTCATAAAGTTGTGTTTTTTAACACCTTTATTGAGATATGTAATTCCACTTAAAGTGTGAGAAACACTGCATAGGTCACTGTCATTCTGAGTGAGAAACAGTTTTTCCTTTAGAACTCAACTGTAAGAAAGGCACCTCAGGCCGGGCGCGGTGGCTCACGCCTGTAATCCCAGCACTTTGGGAGGCCGAGGCGGGTGGATCATGAGGTCAGGAGATCGAGACCATCCTGGCTAACAAGGTGAAACCCCGTCTCTACTAAAAATACAAAAAAATTAGCCGGGCGCGGTGGCGGGCGCCTGTAGTCCCAGCTACTCGGGAGGCTGAGGCAGGAGAATAGCGTGAACCCGGGAAGCGGAGCTTGCAGTGAGCCGAGATTGCGCCACTGCAGTCCGCAGTCCGGCCTGGGCGACAGAGCGAGACTCCGTCTCAAAAAAAAAAAAAAAAAAAAAGAAAGGCACCTCATTCCTAGCCTTATTCAGTCATTAAAACAATAACTATTATTTGTCTTCCATGAGCCTGGCTATATGCTAGATACTGAGGATATACATATTCCTTCATGAGCTTAGCCTCACTCTGAATGAGTCCCAGCTAAATAGGAGAATTGCTTCTTGGGCCCCAGAATGAGATTGTAGTAGATGGGCTGTCAGCATAGATTGTTCTTCTCTAAGCCACTTCCCTAATTCTTTCTTCAGATGTTCAGGTTTTATATTTATAGTTGGCCCTTCATATTGGTAATTTCTGCATTCACAGATTTAACTAACTGTAGATTGAAAATATTCAGGAAAACATGAATTTTAAAAATACAGTATAACAACTATTTATATAGCATTTGTATTGTATTAGGTATTATAAGTAATCTAGAGATTATTTAAAGTATATGGGAGGCCACAGGTAACATTGTACTGAACAGGGAAAAATTGAAGGCCTTTCCTCTAAGATCTGAAATAAGACAAGGATGCCTACTTTCACCACTGTTATTCAATATATTATTAGATACCCTAGCTAGAGCAATTAGGCAAAAACAAAACAAAAAAAAAAGCACATCCAGATTGGAAAGGAAGAGGTCAAATTAGCCTTTTTTGCAGATGATATGACCTTATACTTAGAAAAACCTAAAGAATCCACCAAAAAACTGTTAGAACTGATAAATGAATTCAGTAAAGTTGCAGGAGACAAAATCAACAGGCAAAAATCAGTAGCATTTATATATGCCAACAGCAAACAATCTGGAAAAGAAATCAAGAAAGCAATCCCAGTCAGCCATGGTGGCTCATGCCTGTAATCCTTGCACTTTGGGAGGCCAAGGTGAGTGGATCACTTGAGGCCAGGAGTTTGAGACCAGTCTTGCCAACATGGCGAAATCCCTTCTCTACTAAAAATACAAAAATTAGCCAGCCATGGTGGTGCACGCCTGTAATCCCAGCTACTCGGGTGGCTGAGGCATGTGAATCACTTGAACTTGGGAGGCGGAGGTTGCAGTGAGCTGAGATCGCACCCCTGCACTCCAGCCTAGGTGACAGAGCGAGACTGTGTTTCAAAAATAGATAGATAGATAGATAGATAGATAGATAGATAGATAGATAGATAGCAATCCCATTTATAATAGCTACAAAGAATTTAAAATACTTAGGAATCAATTTAACCAAAGAAATGAAAGATTTATAAAACACTGTGAAAGAAATTGAAGAGGACACTAAAAAAAGGAAAGATATTTCGTGCTCATGGATTAGAAGAATTAATATCATTAAAATGACAGTACTACACAAAGCAATCTACAGATTAAATGCAATCCCTATCAAAATACCAATGACATTCTTCACAAAAATGGGAAAAAAAATTTAATATGTATGTAACCACAAAAACTCCTAACTAGCCAAAGCAATCTTGATTAAAAAGAGGAAAACTGGGTCGAGTGTGGTGGCTTATGCCTGTAATCCCAGCACTTTGGGAAGCCAAGATGAGTGGATCACCTGAGGTCAGGAGTTCGAGACCATCCTGGCCAACATGGTGAAACCCCGTCTCTACTAAAAATACAAAAATTAGCTGGGCGTGATGGCGGGGGCCTGTAATCCCAGCTACTTGGGAGACTGAGGCAGAGAATTGCTTGAACCCGGGAGGTGGAAGTTACAGTGAGCCGAGATCGCGCCACTGCACTCCAGCCTGGGTGACAGAGCGAGACTCCGTCTCAAAAAAAAAAAAAACCAAAAAACAAAAAAACACACAAAACAAAGCTGGAAGCATCACACTACCTGTTTAATGAGCATGATACTGGCATAAAAACAGACACACAGACCACCAATGAAACAATTAGAAACCCAGGTATAAAGCCAGGCATTTAGGGGCAACTTGTCTTTGACAAAGGCACCAAGAACATATGATGGAGAAAGGACAATCTCTCTAATAAATGGTGCTGGGAAAACTGGATATCTATATGCAGAAAAATAAAACTAGACTCCTATCTCTCATCATACAAAAATCAAATCAAAATGGATTAAAGACTTAATTCTAAGATCTGAAACTATGAAACTACTAGAGCAAAACTTGTGGAAATGCTTCAGGACATGGATCTAGCCAAGGCTTTTTTTGTGTAAGTCCTGAAGAGTACAGGCAACCAAGGCAAAAATAGACAAATGGGATTACAGCAAGTAAAAGGCTTCTGTTCAGCAAAGGAAGCAATCAACAGAGTGAAGAGACAATCCACAGAATGAGAGAAAACATTTGCAAACTACCCATCTAACAAGGGATTAATAACCAGAATATATAAGGGACTCAAACAATTAAATAGCAGGAAAACAAATAACTCAACTTAAAAGTGGGCAAAAGATCTGAATAGACGTTTCTCAAAAGAAGACATACAAATGGCCAACAGATATAAAAAAAAATACTCAGCATCCCTAAACATCAGAGAATTGTAAATCAAAGCTATAGTGAGATGTCATCTCACCTTTGCTGAAATAGCTTTTATCAAAAAGACAGGTAGTAACAGATTCTGGCAAGGATGCAGAGAAAGGGGGAACTCCCATACACTGTTAGCAATGTAAGTTAGTACAGCCACTGTGGAGAACAGTATGGAGGTATCTCAAAAAGCTAAAAATAGAACTACCATATGATCCAGCAACCCACGTATCTACAAGAAAGAAAATCAATATATCAAAAAGACATCTGTACTCCCATGTTTATTGGAGCACTGTTCATAAAAAACAAAACATAGAATCAATGTAAGTACCCGTCAACAGATGAATAGATTAAGAATGTGGTATATGTACACAAGGGAATATTATTCAGCTTTTAGAGGTATGAAATTCTGTCATTTGTGGCAACATAGATGGAACTGGAGGACATTATGTTAAGTGAAATAAGCCAAGAACAGAAAGACAAATATCACATTCTCACTCGTGTGGGAGCAAAAAAAAAAAAGTGAATCTCATGAAGATAGAGAGTGCATTGGTAGTTACTAAAGGCTGGGAAGGATAAAGGAGAGGAGGGAATGAAGAGAAGTTGATTAATGGGTGCAAATACATGGTTTGATAGAAGAAATAAGACCTAGTGTTAGGTAAATCAATAGGTGATTATAGTTTACCACAATCTATTGTATATTTCAAAATAGCTAGAAGAGAAGAATTTAAATGCTTCTAGCGTAAAGGAAAGACAAATACTTAAGGTGATGGATATTCCAGATACACTGATTTGATCTTTACAAATTATATGAATATATTACATTATAGCATGTATCCTGAAACTATGTATATCTATTATACATGAATTAAAAAATTTTTTAAGTATCTGGGAGGTTGTGTATAAGTTATATGCAAATACCCTGCCATTATATATAAGGAATTTGAGCGTCCTCGAATTTTGGTATACTGGGAGTTGGGGGTCCAGGGGTGGTTCTGAAACCAATACCCCATAGATAACAAGGGATGACTGCATTTCTACCAGCTGTTTGGATGTTAGTATGTAATGTAAGAATGTGCTAGAAACTTAAAAACATGAGATGGATGATTAGTGACATAATGTAGTCTAAATTGTTCCCTCCTATTTTGTTTTTACAGGTATAGATACAGTGAAATATAGTAGCTTATAAGCTAGAGGAGAGGTCAGCAAACTTTTCCTTCAGGCTCAGACAATATTTTAGGTTTGTTGACTGTATGGTCTTTGTTAACAACTACTCATCTTTGCAGTTGTAACACAAACGCAGCCATAGACAATATAGAATCAATTGGGCTGGTTGTGTTCCAGTAAAACCTTATTTATGATAAAAGGGCAGCAGGCCCTGGATCATAGTTTGCCAACCCCTAAACTAGAAGGATCTATGTTTTTGTTTTTGGTATGGTTTGGACTGTTCATTGTGGCCAGGAAAATTAACTTCCTCTTAGGTTAAGGGAAGAACATGTTGTGCCCTGTCTCAGAATCCAATAGTTGTCATTGTACCCAGTTAACTGTCTTCAAATTAGTATCACTTCCCAAATATTTATATCCTTTCCTAACTATTCCCACCTCCTCCCACACCCCCCCCCCCAAAAGAAAACCCTATGATTTTCTTAGCTTTCCTTGCTAGACTATCAGACTGGACACCATCAGATAGTAGATAGAGCTCTAGACTTGGAATCAAGAACCACACTTGAGTCCTGGTTTGACATCTACTAGCCATTTGTAAACAAGGACAGAAATCCTTTCTCTACCTCTCTCAAATAAGATGATACTGGTGAAAGTACTTTGTAAGCTAACATTGCTCTTCAGAATGACAAACACAAAAAACAACCCTACATCTGAAGAGCAATTTTCAGCTAACAGAGCACTTTTACAAGTATGTATGGATTATCTTGTTCTAATTTTCTATTTGCATCAAATGCCCTTCCTCACAGTTGTCTCTAGAAAACTGTCGTCTCTCCTCTAAAACATTGTTTGTTTCAACTTTTTTTCACAAAAACTTACAAAAAAGAATCATCAAGAAAAAATTGAACATGCAACTGGTATACTGGGTTCCTCTCATATAATGTACATGGTCCTAGAGTAGATAACTTGGAGAGACATCTCCATGGTTATTAATGTACCTGGAGGCTAATCACAGCTAAAACTTAAAACTTGACAGCCTGCAAGTGAGAGAATTATAGTTCCAGAGTACCAAATTCAAATCAATGGGTAGAAGCTACAATAGGTAAATTTTTCATTCAATATAAAAATGAATTTTCAGTTTTTTAAATGGTTTGGGTTGCTTTGTCAGGCAGTGGGCGCCCTGACACTGAACATGTTCAAGGGAAGACTGAACGATGACCTGTTAGTCATGCAGTAGAGGAGAGTCCTGCTTTAAGGGACTGAAATGTTTCTACCTGGGAGAATCTATGCTCTCAACAGTTTCTGACATATACATATACATGTTGGGATTTATTCTGTTTCTCCCTTCTACCACATATTATAATTTTTTATTCTATTCTCTCAGTAACTTATAACTCTTTATGGCATTGAGGAATCTGCCTAGGAATATTATTGCACAGATTTTGGGGTGACAGCTCTCTCCAGCCATATTGAGTTCTGGAGATTATAGTCATTTGTTAGTACCATGAACTTTGACCCTGAGGTACTGCCTTCTCCCTCTTATGTACCCAGAATAGCCTATGTAATTAGATTGCTTATGGACTTCTGCTTCATGGTTTTTCAGTTAATGTACTGGGCACCATTTAAAAAAACAAAACAGAACAAAACAAAAAAACCTTTCTGCTACTCCTCCAGAATTGTTTTCTGTCTTGGTCAAAAAAAAATTATGCTTTTTCCAACTTTGAAGGCACACAAAGTGCTATTGTTGCTGTTGCTGAAACAAAGGTCTTCCATAGGAAAATTAGATCCTGAAAACTCAGAACATTTCACCTCAGCACTGCTTACAGTACTGCAGGATGATGCTTATCCTCGCCTCTGTTTCAGTTCTCTCAGCTACTGGAAGAGAAAAACACCCTTTCCATTCAGCTCTGCGATACCAGTCAGAGTCTTCGTGAGAACCAGCAGCACTATGGTGACCTTTTAAATCACTGTGCAGTCTTGGAGAAGCAGGTTCAAGAGCTGCAGGCGGTGAGTAAAGAGAAGGTGAGAGACTGGGAGAAGTGTGATGAAATTTAGTGCAAGTGGTGAAGCACTACAGAGCAGTATGGAAGAAGTTAATGTAATTAGGGGTCAGGGAAGAAAGTGGGAGAGAAGAAAGAGTTAATTGAGATGGGAATAAGGTCTGAGAAAAATTACAGTGAAGCAATTAGAAGAAAAAAGATCAGTGAGATGGTGGGAGAGAAATCAAAACATGAGTAGGAAACAGTGATGACTGAGACATTTGGTACTCTGAAACAGAGAAAGTGTTGATTTTGCTTTAAGTTATAAGAAAATTGTAGGAAACTTTGGATCTGAGAACAAAACAGGCAGCACTGTTGACAGCCAGGGAGAGGAGTACAGCATTGAAGTTGGAGGAGACTGAGAATTAGTATGGAGACGTATAGGATACGGAGGAGGAAAAGGGGGTTGGGAGGGGCTGGACAAGCAAGGGAAGGATCAAAGTGGCTTCTGGAAAAGCCATAAGCATCCACAGCAGACTTAACTTTTTTTTTTTTTTTTTTTTTTTTGAGACGGAGTCTCGCTCTGTCGCCCAGGCTGGAATGCAGTAGCACGATCTCGGCTCACTGCAACCTCCACCTCCTGGGTTCAAGCAATTCTCTGCCTCAGCCTCCCGAGTTGCTGGGATTACAGGCGCCTGCCACCACACCCGGCTAATTTTTTGTATTTTTAGTGGAGACAGGGTTTCACCATCTTGGCCAGGCTGGTCTTGAACTCCTGATCTTGTGATCCACCCACCTCGGCCTCCCAAAGTGCTGGGATTACAGGCTTGAGCCACGGCGCCCGGCCCAGACTTAACTTTTAAGAGGAGAAATTCAAGAATGAGAATCTGGGAGAAAAATCTAATCAAGACAAGAGTTTTATGTAGGTGAGTAATCTGCTAGAGCAGAAGCTTCTCACTTCTAAATTTGGACTTGAGAATTATAAGCGGGGATAGTCCTCTGTAAACGAGCTCTCATTTTGCTCAAATACACTTTCTTAAGAGCTTTCATCACTGAATTACTAAGCTTATTCTTCTTCCAGGGGCCACTAAATATAGATGTTGCTCCAGGAGCTCCCCAGGAAAAGAATGGAGTTCACAGAAAGAGTGACCCTGAGGAACTAAGGGAACCGCAGCAAAGGTAGGGGAGTGGCTCTCTAAACCCTGGAGCATACACCAGAGTCCAGAAATTGGGCAGTAATCTAGATTTAACTGGAGTCCTTTATATGGATTTAATATGTCTTGTTATCTTATTAGCCTCACAGAAGTGATGTGAGGATCAAATAGTAACAATAATAACTAACATTTGTGTGTGAAAAGTTTGTAAAACAAAAAGAGCAACACCAACACACACACACCACTAACAACTACTCTATGATAGTAAAATGAAAGATAATCAGTTCCTGAAATTTCTTTAGGTATTTTCTGCAGCTTCATTTAATCCCTCTACAGCTTTGCTTTTAAAATATTGTGTTTAGACAAGCTTCTATGGATTTTCTTGCTTTACAACCTTATGAAGACTTTGAATCCCTTGTATTAGCAACTGTTTTCTGCATCTGATGATGCTTTTTGTTTTCCTCTCATCCTAAAGCTTTTCTGAAGCTCAGCAGCAGCTATGCAACACCAGACAGGAAGTGAATGAATTAAGGAAGCTGCTGGAAGAAGAACGAGACCAAAGAGTGGCTGCTGAGAATGCTCTCTCTGTGGCCGAGGAGCAGATCAGACGGTAAAGGCTGAAGGAGATAGCCTCTGTTCCCTTCCGATCCTTTCTGATCAAACTCATGTACATTTCCTGCCAGACTTAGGATTTCTTAAGATCTTTTTCTCATCTTGAGGTAGTTGCTGCAATGAGTTTACCAACATTGTGGTCACCCAAGAGAACACTGTACTTTTGGAGTATAAGAGAGTCAGTGTTTTCTAAAACAGTTGTTCTTAGAGAATAATAATGATATCTACCATTACTGAAAGATATTTTATTTCACCCTAACCATAACTATATGAGGTAGGTGTTGGGTTCTCTAGAGGACCAAATAAGTGACAACCTCATTTTCTACCTGAGATCTGAATCCATGGAAATCTTTTTTAAAAGATTAAAAGATTGAGAGATTAAAAGACTGCTTTATAAATGATGTTAAAAGAATGTAGCTTTTTATTTGTTGGCAAATGCACTTCCTAACCCTGAACTTCCCCTCCCAGTCACAGACAATGTTGGGCCAAGGTAGACCTCCTTCACAGAAAATCCTGCTCTTGCCAAACAAGAGTATTGGAATAACAGAGTGAACTGTGCTTCCTATGAGCAGTTTGCTCCAAGTGTAATTTGGAAGGGCAGAGCTACACATCCCTAGTTCCTTATTCTCATCAAAAGAATCACTATGCATGAGAGGATAGAGAGTTGCTACAAGTATTTTGCTGCTGGAAGTCCCTTTCCACGGAAAATATCGTTAAAAGCAGGCACTTTTATTATATTTTGGGAGAAAGCCACCTATGTATATGATCACTTTCCTCAGAGAATGACATTTCTGATATTAATGCTTTCTTGTAAAGTTTATGTGGCAGAGGTGACAGCCCCATTGAGCAGGTCTTACTTGAGATACCTTTCTTTCCAATCCAACATATTCACAACTTCTTAATTTTCATCACCTATTCAGGCCTTGATATGCAGCTTTGAGGGTGGGCCAGCTTTGCTTAATGCCTTGTGTGGTGTCTTGCCATCTCTGCCGAGCATTTTCAGGCCTGTGCCCTCATGACTGTTTCTCTTCTACTTGCTATTGAATTGTTTAGACCGGTGAAACCTGGCCAATGGGGAGGTTGATCTCCCTCTTGTGTAACTAACCTGTCCCAAACCAACTGAGACTGCATGTGTGGGATGATGACTCTTGAGCCTGTGGGCAAGCCGTATTAATTCAAGCCACAATTCCCTCTTTAGCTCTGATGCAGAATGGAAGTTGGGGTAGCTAATTAAGGGCTGCCTGCCTAGTCCAGGTACTGCCATTGTAATGTTAGAATCTCACATGTACTCTAAAGAGCAGGTGGAACTCAGTGGCCCTCCAGTTTAAAGGCAGCCAGTACCATCTTCCTCATCAATACCTACAGACTTCTCATCCTTCCTCAGCATAGCCTACATTGACAGACTGACCTCCATAGTAACAGACCATGCTGTTCCAGATCAAAGCTGCTTCTGAAAAGCTTATCACATGGAGGAATAGACACAGAAGGTGTATTTTTTAGTCAGCCTGGCTCTCAGGAGGGAAGCAGGAAAGAAGGAGCTAGGCTGTGCATGCTCAGTTCTCTTTCTAGACTCACAAATTGGATTAAGGTGTTTCTTCTCTCCCGGGGAAAAGAATGTGTCCTGCAGAGAGCCCAAGAATATTAAACTAATAGATATCCTTTCAGAAGGAGAAAACACAAAGAGTAGAGGCAAGAGTTTCATCCTCTCTTCCCTATTGAAAAAGTTCATCCCTATAGGCAAATGCTTGATCAAACGTGCTGTGTTACATGCAGCTCCTTTGTTTGTTTGACATAACCATTGAGTGAGTAATGGCAGCTTCTTCATTAAATGGAGAAGTTCCAGTATTAAATAAGCAAATCAGCAAAAACTGAGCCAGAAGGCAGTGGAGACTGCCAATTCAATTTAATTTTTTTTAGTTCAATTTAATTTTTAAAACCCCACAGAAATCTTCTTTGGATGCTTTTGCCTATTAGCCTTTAATAAAAGAAAAAAATGTAATGAGTTTCTCCAAGTCAGGTGTGGTGTGGTGGAAAAAAGAACGTGAGGCTTGAAAGACAAAGTTGGGTATTGAATTCTGGCTCTGCCGCTTACTGGCTGTGCCGCCATGGGCAAGTAATTTAACCTCTGTAAGCCTTAGCACTTTGAAGATAATAAGACCAACCTCAGAACCTGAGGATTAAATGTATGTAAAGCACCCAGCCTAGAGCCTGATACATAGTGAGTAGGCAGTCAATTCCTGATAGTTATTGTCACATTTTGCTGCTGCTGAAGGAAACGTATCTGCTGGTACCCCCCTTGCATGGGTTTGGGTTTATGGGAGCAGCTTTTGCTGCAAGTCTCCTCCTGTGCTGCATTGTGTGGCAGGATGACTGGGAAGACTGGGCCTGATCAGCCTCTCATGCTATGAACCAATGCTATGCCTCTTTTTTTTCTCAACTCAGGTTAGAGCACAGTGAATGGGACTCTTCCCGGACTCCTATCATTGGCTCCTGTGGCACTCAGGAGCAGGCACTGTTAATAGATCTTACAAGCAACAGTTGTCGAAGGGTAAGAGGAAGAAGGATAAAGAGAGGGTGTTTTATTATCTGACAGGGCTGGCTATACTGGGGGCAAGGAGCTGAGGAGAAGGAATGTGGAAGTCCAGCCACTGAGCAGCGAATGAGTCTAAGGCTGGAAGGGCGTGGAAGATTAGAACCTGGTGGAATTTGCCAAGTTGTTGACTCTGAGGCAACTTTCCTCTCAGAATACCCCTTTCTACAGTGGTTGGGTCAGCTTTGCTTAAGTGCAAGACTAGTAGGAGGGAAAGCAACATAGCCCTATAGGGTGAAAACTCTCTGACTTTCACATTTTTCTTTCAGACCCGGAGTGGCGTTGGATGGAAGCGAGTCCTGCGTTCACTCTGTCATTCACGGACCCGAGTGCCACTTCTAGCAGCCATCTACTTTCTAATGATTCATGTCCTGCTCATTCTGTGTTTTACGGGCCATCTATAGACTTAGTTGTTACTCTTTGGACCACTCCCCTCAAAACTTGGAATTCTCTCACCTCTAACATCAGAACATCAATTCCAGTGGAACAGTCTTCCCATTTACAGGTCTTCTCTCCAACTCTTCACGGAAAGTGCCTGCAAAAACAGAGGTGGATACGAGGACAGGTTGGAGCTGCAGGGACTGGCGAGTCTGCTTTCTTCTACTGCCCTGAGCCTGAACGCTTCTGCTTAATCTGAGAATCACATTTGGTTTGTTGAGCCTAATATTTGTTGAGATTTTGCAGGACCCTGATCTTTTGTGGTCCTGTAAAAGATACTGAGGAATGTCTTTCAGCCAAGCCAAGAGGATGGTTTCAATAAACCTAATAATCTGAAGTTCAGTATCATTTTGATTGATAACTTTCTTTGCCTTGTTTGCCTGTATTTTCTCCTGTTTCAGGGGGAAGGTGGCTCTGCCATAAACAGAGTTCAGGGAAATGAACATGTCACCTCATAGGACATCTGATTTAGGTCTCTTGCAGAATAGGGTGGTGAAAGCTGAAGGAACTCCCTAGGGGTTTTAGCTGTTAGATCACATGGGAGGACAGCATCTTCTTCCCTGCCAATTTCAGATATAATTGGAGGGAGAATTTCAGGTCTTAGACTATAAGGATAGAATCCCTTTGCTTTTGCCCTTGATCACATGTATACTAAGGTATTAAGTGGCCCAAGTCTTTCCTTTCACCAAAGGGCAGGGAGAAGTGTCTATGGACAGCAGGGTTCCAATTCTTGTCATTCCAGGAATATCTGAATATTCCTGGAATGTGGACCCTGAGACAGTGCTCAGGGGCCACTGGGAGCCAATATTAGGCATTGACTCTCAGCCAGGAGTCTGACTGGTCTAACACCACACTGCAACTCCTGACCTCTTGAAGTACTAAGCTACTTTGCTGTTAGTGACAGTTATTACAGTTTCTCAGCCCCATTGTCTCTGCCCTCTGTGGCAATGGAAGGAGAATATAGAGAAGACAAAATTAAATATAGATAGACCTGAGAAGGACAGCCAGGATAGAATTCCATTTGTGCCTATTCCCTGCCTCCCCTCCCCTCCCCCATCCTACCAGTTGGTTATTTTCTCATTGCATACGTGATGTGTTCACTGCCTAGCCTCTCCCTAAAGAAGAGAGAAGACAAGTGGGCTGACTGATCTGCTCTAAATCTACTGTGGTGATTAAATCTTGGTTACAACATCCTGGGAAGTTTCCTGAACAACTGTAAAATAATAAAATTATTTTCAGAATGAAGAGTTTGTGTGTATGTGTGTGTACGTGTGAGTGAATGGATATGTGCACAGGTGTTTCGGTACCTGTGTTTGCATGCTGGGGGGTGGAAGGTGGGTAAGGGAAGTAGGGAAAGGAGGTAGCCAGGAATGGTTATAGGGGTAGAAAGCTCTACATATTCAGGCTTTCTTCTCACTGGCCAATATCAGTGACAGCTGCATGCATTTTTCCAGCCTTAGCTGCTAGACCCCAGGTGATGAATGCAGTGAGGAAATTCTATCCTAATACTGAACCAAATAAGCTGGGCCTTAGGGCATGAAATTGATGCAGGTCCATGCATGGTCCTGGGAGAACTCTTGTCTGGCACATAGTGAAAACATTAGGCCCCTAGGGATCCCTCTGGGTGGGAATGGGAGAAGAGAAGCTTAATAGCATGTAGCAGGTTAGATAGGCATTATTATGTTTTGTTTTGTTTTGTTGGGTTTTTTTTGAGACCGAGTTTCACTCTTTCGCTCAGGCTGGAGTGCAGTGGCACAATCTCAACTCACTGCACCTTCCGCCTTCCAGTTTCAAGCGATTCTCCTGCCTCAGTCTCCCAAATAGCTGGGATTACAGGCACCTGCCACCATGCCCGGCTAATCTTTGCACTTTTAGTAGAGATGGAGTTTCACTGTGTTGGCCAGTCTGGTCTCAAACTCCTGACCTTGTGATCCACCCGCCTCAGCCTCCCAAAGTGCTGGGATTAGAGGTGTGAGCCACCGTGCCCAGCTATTATGGATTTTTATATTAAGTTGCTGCTTGAGAGAAGATAGCTCACTTTCTCAAAGTACAATAAGTGGTTTAATTGAACCAAGTCTGTCTGGCTTCAAGGCCCATTCTTTTTCTGTGTGATACACCTCACTACCTCATCAGTAATGAACTTGTGACATTTGCTAAGGAAAGATGGGACTTCTTGGTGTCATCTCTGATTAATTTCTATATTTTCTCTAGAGAACTATGTACCTGGATGGTGTGTCACATCATCTAGTCTAAATCGTATTTTGACACTACATGAGGATTCCAAGTGATTTTTCTCTTGTACAAACGTACTCTTCCTTATCATAACTTTGGTACCACCATGATAAATAGGTAATAAAGTAGAAGGAATAAATAAAGCTCCCCCAGGCATAGAATCCTTAGATTTGGAAGTGACAGAGGCTTCATATTCCTAATGCAGAAAAGTGCCTGTATCATGGGCCAGTTTCATCCAGTCCTGCTTAAACTCCTTGGAGGATGCACCGTTGTGAACAAATCAAGAAGTCCACAATCAAGATTAGGAAAGGCTAGGTCAGATACAATAACAGACACCCTCAAATTCTCAGTAGCCAAAACAAAGGACTATTTTTTAGTGAAAGACTCCAATTCCCCCACATGGTGGATGGGGCTCCACTTGTGTTCTTTCTCACTCAGGGACCCAGTCTGCTGGAGGAGCCAATATGGAGAATTGCAGGTTGCCTTGGGCAGTGGTGAAAGCATGGCAAAGCTTGCAGTGGTCTTACGGCCTCCGCCAGAAAGTGGTATCTGTCACTGGCCAAAACAAGTCACCTGAGTAAGTCTGACTTCAAGAGGGAAGGGAGGGGCAGCAAGTCTTGACACGCAGTAAAACAGGATACCACAAAGACCTTCTTCCATCAGCTGACCAGCACCTGGTTCTTTCAGAATTCTTCCTACGCTCTAGAGCCAAATCTTTAGTTTGTTAGCTCAGACTCCACAGTGCCCCAAACAAGCTAGGAAACTCTCCTTCCATGTCTTGCCTTTTCCCTCATGAGTTATTCTCTTCTGGCATTCAATTGGTCGACGTTTATTTGAACATCTATATGAAAACTCCACTTTTAAGTGCTGTGGGTAATATAGGGGTGAGTTTCTTTTTAAGTCTTATGCTTCAAAACCCACATATAAATCACTTTTCCCATAAAGCCTTTCTTGATGAATACACCCAATACCAAATGCTCTGAATTCCTTTACTGTCTCAAATGTAACTGCCACCCTATTTAGGACACAATGCTGTTCTACAGCATTCTCTAATGTGTTTTCTGGTTGAATGTTTGTTTCTCTCACTGGATTACAAACTCAGAGTCAAAGCAGCATTTTCTATGACTGCTCTATGACCCCCATTGTCAAAACCTTGCAAAAGACCAGGCACAGAAACATTTAATCCTTTTAAAATTTAAGTGTCTAAAGCAGAAGGAACTGACTCAAATTTCAGGAAGTAGCTGTGAGGATGGGGTGGCAGGAAATGACGAAAACCTGAATACGGAACTGAAGCAGCAGCTCAGTTTCTCACTCCGAAGTGGCAGCAGCCAGAGAGGGAGTCGGTGTGGACGCGAGGAGCCGGGCGCTTAGAACAGAGGCTTGCACAGGTGGAGGTGGGTACTCTGAGCCATGGGACAGTTGGGAAACACAGAGTAAGAGTTGAGGAGGAACCTACCTGGCTCTTAGTCCTTGGTGATGGGCAAGGTCACCACTAGTAGGCTTTTATCCTTTTATGGCCAGAAGGCCTGGTTGTGAGTGGTTGTAGCAAATCAGCATCTGGAGATAGAAACAAAAGGGAGGGGCTTAAACCCAAGGCAAGTGTTTCAGGAGCCATCTAGCACCAACATCAAGCAAAGTGTTGCCTGGTTTCTGCTGACAATCTACAACCCACTCTAAGGCCTGTCTCCCCTAGGTACTGAGCTGGGAGGAGGACCACAGGAGACGAAAACAGTGTCTGCCCTTGAAGAGCATATGGTCTCAGGGAAACAAACCCACACAGGAAATGTAACAGATCAGGAAGTAGTCACTGATGTACACTAGCACTGAGTACCAAGTGCTGATGGAGCCCAAGAGAAGGCATGATTGTTCTGCTGGGGCTAGTTTCTGTGTTCGTAGATCACAGAATCTCAGAATGTCAGAAATCAAGGAGACCACAGATGAGCTACGTTAACCCCTTCATTATTTTCCACTGGGAAAATCAGAGATAATTGCTGATTTGCCAAATTATTAAAGTTAGTATTTCTTAATCGCCTGGTCTGATACCTGGCAAATGAGTACCTACTCTGTTGATGCCCTTGTGATGGTCCCTCAGAGGCTTAGTCACAGAGCTGGGGTGACAGCCAGGGCTTCTGACTCCCAGTCTGTGTACTTTGATGCAGGAGGTCAGCATCGCAACAAGGCCTCACCAGATTACTCTCTGGTTCTCACCTCTAGATAGCACTTCTTACCTTTCTGGTTTCTGGTCAATAGGTCAAGGATATTAGATAAATTGTCTCTATTTCAGAAACTCTTTATTTCAAAAATGGGTGAATGGGAGAGTCAGGCTGAGGCCTCAGAGGAGCCACAGGAAGGAGGATGGGACCATCAGTCCTCATTGCTTCCTTATTGCTCATGACTATTTCAGAAACTTCTCCATTCCAGTTTTCTGTGTGACAGTCCTTTTGTTGTTGCACAGCAGCCCAGGAGCCAGGGGATGAGAAGCAGAGGGGTAGTAAGGATGCAGGTAGTAAGGATGTTTTGCTGTCTCCAACCGCATCAGGGAAAGCCAAGCTGCTTTCAGCCATGACTCCCGGCTGACTCAGTCAATATCTCTCCGGTGTCCCCTTAGCATCTCTTTAACTGATTTACCCAGACTTCCCCTGGGCTGGTTTTTAAGAGGTTGCTCAATGGAGAAGATGGAGCTTTCAAGTGGAAATAGAAAACTGGAGAATCTGAAGGCCTAGGTGGAGACAGGAGAACCCGAGGAGTGGTTGTAAAGGGACTCTTTGGAGACGATGGAGAGCATGGGGAAGGTCTCCAATGGGATGAGGTGTCTGAGGAGGGAAGGATTGCCAGCTAGCAAGTGCTGCCAGGGTCAAGAAGTCTCAGTGGTGACCACAGCAGATGAGCATTGTCTGTTGTTACTTCTTCACACCAAATCCACAGATGCAGAGCAACTGTGCCGCTCTTCCTTCTGCACAGTCCGGAAGGCCGTCTAGAACACTGGGAATGCCCCAGCAGAATAAGTTTGGCACCCTTCCAAGCTAGGGTTCTCTAAATATTTCTGCAACATTTATTTAGTTGATAAAAACTGAGTACCTCTTAATGTTCAAAATCAGATTTATTACATATTATTCTTTTTTCTTTTCTACGGTAAATTGTCAACTTGAAAACATGCTATTTTTTGACTTTAGCAATTAATTGAACCATTTTTAAAAAATTGAGTAATAACTGACTTATTCCCAGCAAATAATGCTCTCCCAATGCATTGTTCCATGTGGAAATTTCAGCCGACTGTCGCTGCTGACCTTACACAGCTGTGAGGTGACCAGACTCAGGGTGGAGGTGGGACAGCACTTGGACCAGAGGCTGGAAAAATTCTCAGTGTAGTTCAGCAGGTTGTAAAGAGGGATGTAGATGTTCACTTTGTGAGAAGCAGAACCAATTTGTATTTCAACAGCAACAAAGGAATCATATATAGAAACCTGAGTGAAATAAGGCCATAATTCTAGGGATATTATAGCACCGCTCATTGCCAACCACCTCCAGCCACTGCCTGGCTGGCCTCGGGACACAAGTGAACAATTCCAGCAATTTTGACTCGTGGGTTACCTAGTGTTACCCACACCCATGATGACTTCTCTCTAGCCCCAGGTGGGCCCAGCCCACATCAATTCGTCTTGATTAAAGTCCCATCTCTCATCTTGTAACTGAGCAGAAAAGCCTTCCTACAACTCCCATTTGCTTTGCTTCATTTTCTATTTTCTTCTAAGAAAAAAAAAATGGCAGGAAATATTGGGCTGCTATATTTTGACTTCAGCATTCCTATTTTCCCTCCTCTTGATCCTTTTTTGTCCCTAATTATTCCCATCTCCGGTCACTCTCAGATGTGGAAGTCTGTAGTGGGCCATGATGTGTCTGTTTCCGTGGAGACCCAGGGTGATGATTGGGACACAGATCCTGACTTTGTGGTGAGTTTGGAAGTAGCTTTGCTTGGACAGTGCAGAGGGTGGGGTGAGGAGGGCATCTGGGCCACTCTGTGATCTTTGAGGATGCTTGGAAAAGGGCCTTCTAGGACTGAGACAGCCCTCATACTGGGACTAATTGGTAGGACAATTGGCTGTCACCTGTGGGGCATGCACGATACCTGGTATCAGGGATGAAAAGAGACAGGTGTGGGTGAGTTTGACAGTGTGATTGACAGGCCATGGCAGGCTACACTGAAGGTGAGAAGCAGGTGAACCTGGGTCTCCCCTGGCCCATGATCCAGGATTCAAGCTGGGCATGTGTAATTGGGGGATTAAAAAGCTGTAGGAGACCAGATGGGGTAGGCATGAAGTAGGCAGAGGAGGAACGGAGGTTTCAGAGCTCACTAGTTTAATTCTTTGTGTTTTCTTGTTTGTTTTTTGAGACAGAGTCTCACTCTGTCACCCAGGCTGGAGTACGGTGGTGCAATCTCAGCTCACTGCAACCTCTGCCTCCCAGGTTCAAGCGATTCTCCTACCTCAGCCTCCCAAGTAGTCCCTGCAGTTGGGACTACAGGTGCATGCCACCACACCTGGCTAATTTTTGTATTTTTTTGGTAGAGATGGGGTTTCACCATGTTGGCCAAGCTAGTCTTGAGCTCCTGACCTAAAGAGATCCACCCGCCTCGGCCTCCTAAAATGCTAGGATTACAGGCATAAGCCACCACGCCTGGCCTCACCAGTTTAATTCTTACATGGGGTCAGGATGGGATAAATATAGAGGGGATGTGAATAAAGACCCAGACTGAAGAAGGCAGTGGACACAGGGGACATGGAGGGCATGTGTCAGTTGGGTGGCCCTTCTCAATGTGGCACATTTCTTGCCGTCATGTATTACTGCGTGCTGTCGTTTGCAGAATGACATCTCTGAAAAGGAGCAACGATGGGGAGCCAAGACCATCGAGGGGTCTGGACGCACAGAACACATCAAGTAGGTGCCGAAAGGACTGGAGAAAAGGAAGGGGGTTATGGGAAGAGCCCAAAGAAAACTCGGAGACTTGGGGGAAGGTGAGGGAGGAAAAGGATAGGGTAGTTCATGTCTATGTATTATTGTGTTTGTTTTTTTTCTAGAGTCTGTTCCTGTGTGTACCTGTGTGTCATTGCATATTTCCATTTTATGTCTCTCCTCTTACCCTCCTCAACCCTATTATCTATCTTTTATACCTAACAACTCTGCTATTTCCCCAAGTGGGTCTATTGGATTAACTGCCTCCCTTCCTTTAGTAAGGCATGAGAGATTCATAGAGGAAGTGGACCAAATACTAAGGTCCTCTCTATCTATCTACCTGGCAATCATCTATCTCCTATCTATCTCTTCAGATAAATGTAAATATGTATTTAGAATTCAGGGTGACTTCCTTCAGATGAACTAAGAACAATTCAGTAAAATGTCAAGGTGAAGAACTCAGAATAAATGCTATAAAAAGAGGCCACTTCAGCTCCCATAACTGGCCCAAATAACTTTTAAAATACAGATTTGTACTTAGCTATTTGACAGAAGTTGGAAGCCATGAATGGTAATATGAAGAAATGTAACACTTGGAAAACCTGTTGATAAAAACTATTTTGGCAACGATGTTCAGGGATCTTTAAGATTATAGCCCCATATGCATTTTACCAGAAACAAACAAACAAACAAAACCCTCCGATACCAGAAGATAAAAGGAACTTACAGACATATCCAGGGGTTTCTGTGGGATATGTCATACATTCAGGCTGAGAGATCCCCTTCTCTCTTCCACGGATGATTCAGGATCATCTAACCAGGACCATCTGCTTTGGATAGTATCAGAATGTCAAACATTAGTAGCAAGGTAGACACAATAAATAGTGTAACAAGCAAAAATTCAACAACTACACACAAAATGGCAAGATTAATACAGTTTTAAGCTCCATTTTTAACTCCCCCTACCGCACCCTAAAAGCAGTGTTTTTACCTCTAGATTTTAAAAAGTGTCAGTGGATGACCACATTGCACAAGCAACATACTGTGAAAGCCTGGCACAAGTTTCTACAACTGGATGACAATACCACATTGTTTAATCAGAAATAAATGGTTTCGGCCGGGCGTGGTGGCTCACGCTTGTAATCCCAAAACTTTGGAAGGCCGAGCGAGGAAGATCACTTGAGGTCAGGAGTTCAAGACCAGCATGGGCAACATGATGAAACCCTGTGTCTACTAAAAATACAAAAATTAGATGGGCGTGGTGGCGGGCACCTGTAATCCCAGCTACTCAGGAGGCCGAAGCACGAGAGTCTCTTGAACCCAGGAGGCACAGGTTGCAGTGAGCTGAGATCGCACCACTGCACTCCAGCCAGGGTGATAGAGCGAGACTCAGTCTCAATAAATAAATAAATAAATAAATAAATAAATAAATAAATAAATGGTTTCAATTAAGTAGCTATAATGAATATTATTCTTAAACCATGCCATTCTGGAAAAAGATTGAAACAATGGAACAGGGTCATTCAGGAAGCTTCTGTGATACCCCTCTATAGACTCATAGATCAAAAAAAAAAAAAAAAAAACCACAAGACCCTTTTCCTTTTCTGAATAAAGGCCACTCAACGCTGGTATTCTGGGAATTGTCCAGATGAGGATGCACACTTCATGCCTTTGGTGGTATTGTAGCCAATGAGGTTTATCCGAGGTGTGATTATTGCTAATTGAAAACTTCCCAACACTCCGCCATGACGACTTGCAATATAGTAGGCATTGGCAAAAAAAAAAAAAAAAAAAAAAAAAAGAGCAAGCAACCCTCATAAAAAAATGAAATAACTTAAAAAAAAATAGCCACCCTGAAGATGTATAGTTACAGGTCAATGGGATAGCCAATGTCTAATGCAGTACTTAGCACTTCTGAGCAGCTCAGTGATGTTAGTTTTGTTTCCTGTTAATATAGGTTAGTTTAATCAGATTTCCTTTCTAAAATCTAACAAACATGTAAACAGACAACAGCCCTTTTTTCTCCTAAGTGGTGTCTACCTGGACTGTTGGATTGCACAACTCCTATACACAGATCACTCTGACGGGTGCTGCCTGGAGTGGTACAACATGGTGACCCTGCACATTTCCTTGTTAACCTAACTGAATCTATCAGATAGAATAAACGATGGAGATATTGACAAAAAAATCTCGCTCATCTCCCATTTACCCAGGTTATCAAGGAGTGAAAGCCTGGTATCTGCTGGTAACAGGCCAGGTGGCTTTAGACAAGTCCCTTTTCCTCTCTGATTCTCATTTTGCCCATCTGGATCAAAAAGACCTCTAGAGGACTTTCCAGTAGTAAGTCTCCACTATTTGGGGATTCCCTCTCGTTAGTGTGGGCTAAGTCAGTCTTTAACATCTGATGGGAATCACCATGGTCCTTGGAAAGGAGAGGGAAATTGGAGAGGAGAACAGTAGCTGTAGATGCTAACACTGACAGATCCCAAAATGAAAAAACAAAAAACAAACAAACAAAACAAAACAGTAGCTGTAGAGCTGAGACGACTAAAAGCAGGAAAAGGAAGTGGTTGCAGTTCTTACTAATCTTACTACCTTCCCCACACCGTGATGTCTCTTTTTAGGTCTGTCTTGAATAAATTTAGTTTGGATAGTAATTTGGTAATTCAGTGAATAATTCAAATGGTCCTATGCATCCCTTATCCATTCTGTAAAGGAACTGCCTGGTTTTCAAGAACTATCACCCTTCTCTCCACCTTCTTTTCTCCACTCTTGCCCATTCATTCTCAAGACTCAAGGGTGTCTTTTCCCTTGACCTGTTTGTTTATTTTCAAATCTGTCACAGACTGATACTTTTGTAAAATAAAATACAATTAAGTTTCTGGAAAAATAAATGGTTAAAAATAACATAGACAATACAAACACAGTTTTTATTTTTAAATTCAACAGATATAAAATCACGATGTTGTCAGGCATGCTAGTCTGTGCCTATAGACCCAACTACTCAGGAGGCTGAGGCAGGAGGATCACTTGAGTCCAGTAGTTCTGGGCTATAGTGCTCTATGCTGATTGGGTCTCCACGCTGAATTCTGAATCAATATAGTGACCTCCCACCTCCCAGGAGCAGGGGACCATAGGTTGCCTAAGAAGGGGTGAACTTGCCCAGGTCAGAAATGGAGCAGGTCAAAACTCCAGTGCTGATCAGTAGTGGGATTGTGTCTGTGAGTAGCCACTGTACTCCAGCCTGGGCAACAGTGAGACCCCATTTCTAAAAAAGAAAAAGAAAAAGAATAAAATCACTATGTCAAATTGCTATAAAAGTTTCTAAACACATATTCTCAATTTTTATTCTTATTTCCCTGTGAAACAGAAACAGTTCAGCTTGTGGACCACACACTGAGTGGCACTGCTCTGGAATAATCTTTCAGCACTTCCTGGAACCAGTCTGGCCTTTAGATTAAATCTTTACTGAGCTATAACCATAGGATGTCTGCCTCAGTGGCCCTGTCCTCTTCTCGTGCCCTGACATTTTATAGCAAGTGGAAATAAAGAATGGTGTAATGCCAAGAGTATAGAAATAGAATTCTGGAGCTCTAGGGACTGATTCCAGCTCTGCTGTAAAAAGGCTTATGATGCTGAGGAGAGTAATAATATTTTACCATCCTATCTTGATTTCCAGCGCTGACTGGAGATTATAGTACCATCCCTGTTTACCTCACAGGGGTACTGGGAAGAGCCATGGCTATAACTTAAGAATAATGACTAACATTTATTAAGCTATTATATGTCTTGCAAAACACAGAGTACTTTTTAAAAACAATCCTATATCATAGATGACGTTGGCATCCTGATTTCACAGAAAAGTGAATGGATATATTAATGTTTAGCAATTTGTCCGAGGATACAGAGATACAGGTTGAGCATCCCTAATCCAAAAATTCAAAATCTAAAATGTTCCAAAATCTGAAATTTTTGAAAGCCCACATGATACCACAAGTAGAAAATTCCACACCTGACTACATGTGATGGGTCTCAGTCAAAATACAGGTGCACAACAGTTTTTTCAGCGTCCCCAAGGGAAAAATAAAGTTACCTTCATTTATTTAGTTCTTCTTTAATACCTTCCTTAATATAGTGTATATGACACATAAATGAATTTCCTGTTTACACATGGGTCTCGTCCCCAAGATATCTCATTATGTATATGCAAATATTCCAAAACCTGAAAAAATCCTGAATCCAAAACACTTCTGGTCCCAAGCGTTTGGGATGAGGGATAGTCAACCTGTAGTAATTTGAATTCGGCTCAGTCTGACTCCATGGGCTGAAATCTTAACCAATATATTGTTTTTGTCTAATAAACATAATATCGTCATGTCCGTAATTCTTTTGTTGAAATGAAATGCAAATTCCCATGAACTAAGCTATTGCCAATTCCCTAAGGCTGCTTGCTATTCTGTTTACAGTGACAAAGTACTTGATAAGTTGGCCTTAATAATACTACAATCACTTCATAAACAAACCTCTTTATGAGTGCCCAAAGTCTCTTTCATTTAAGGTTTTCTTCACTTTATTATTTTTCAAAAATTAACTTTGTTTTTTTTGAGACGGAGTTTCGCTCTGTCATCCAGGCTGGAGTGCAGTGGTACGATCTCGGCTCACTGAAACCTCCGCCTCTGCCTCCCAGCTTCAAGTGATTCTCCTACCTCAGCTTCCCGAGTAGCTGGGATTACAGGCATGTGCCACCTTGCCCAGCTAATTTGTGTATTTTTAGTAGAGACGGGGTTTAACCATGTTGGCCAGACTGGTCTTGAACTCCTGACCTCAAGTGATCCGCCTGCCTCGGCCTCCTACAGTGCTGGGATTACAGGTGTAAGCCACCATTGCCCAGGCAAAAATTAAATTTATTGATACCTAATCATTATAAGCAAATAGTTCAATGAGTTTTGACTATATATATATAATATAACCACCAATGCAATCAAGATATAGAATATATCTATTACCATGAAAATTTCCCTGCACCTCTTTGCAGTCAATACACCCCATACTGATCTTTTTGTCACTATAGATTAGTTTTGTCTGGCATAGAATTTCATGCAAACAGAATAATATAGAATGTATTGTTTTGTGTTGTCTTCTTTCAGCATAATGTTTTCCAGATTTATCCATGGTGTTGTGTATATAAGTCTTTTGTTCTTTTATATTGTCATGTAGTGTCCCATTGTATGGATATGTCACAGTTTTATTATTCATTATCCTGTCAATAGCCATTTGGATTATTGACAATTTGGATCTATTACAAATGAAACTGTCATGGGCATTTGGGTACAAATCTTTTTGTTGACATATCCTTATTTCTCTTGGAAAATTGCCAGGAGTAGAATTGCTGAGTCATATAATAAGTGTATGTTAAACATTTTGAGAGACTCTCAAACTCTTTTCCAAAGGGAATTTACCCTCTTTCATTCCTACCAGTAATGTGTGGGTTTCAGATGCTCCACATTTTTGTCAACATTTGTTATTGTTAGTATTTTTAAATTTAGCTGGGTGCAGTGGCTCATGCCTGTAATCCCAGCACTTTAGGAGGCCAAGGCAGGAGGATGACTTGAGCCCAGGAGTTCAAGACCATCTGGACAATGTGGAGAGATTCAGAGTCTACAAAAAAATTAAAAATTGGCTGGCTGTGGTCTGAGCTATTCAGGAGGCTGAGGCAGGAGAAGCACTTGAGCCCAGGGGGTTGAGGCTGCAGTGAGCCATGTTTGCCCCACTGCACTCCAGCCTGGGTGACAGACTGAGATCCTCTCTAAAAGACAAACAAAACAAAACAACAACAACAACAACAAAACCAACTTAACCACTCTTTTAAGTTAATTTGAATTTCTCTGATGACCAGTTTTATTGAGTATATTTTCATTTGCCATTCATATATCTTCATATATCTTCTTTATGAAGTATCTGTTCACATCTTTTTCTCACTTTTAAAGTGAGTTGTTTGTCTTTTTATTAAGTTGCTGAAAGTTCTTTATATATTCTGGATGTAAGTCTTTTGTGAAATATGTGTTTTACAAGTGTATTCTCCCAGAACATAACTTGCTTTTTCACTTTATTGATTGATTGATTGATTATTTATTGATTGATTGCTCTGTTGCCCAGGCTGGAGTGCAGTGACATGATCTCAGCTCACTGCAACCTCTGCCTCCTGGGTTCAAGCGATTCTGCTGCTTCAGCCTCCTGAGTAGCTGGGACTCAGGCGCCCACCACCAAGCCCAGCTAATTTTTGTATTTTTGGTAGAGACGGGGTTTCACCATAGTGGCTAGGCTGGTCTTGAGCTCCTGACCTTGTGATCCACCCGCCTTGACCTCCCAAAGTGCTGAGATTACAGGCGTGAGCCACCACACCTGGCCACTTTTTCATTTTATTAATGGCATCTTTTTAAGAGCAAAAGATCTTAATCCTGATGATGTCTAATTTATTGAAAAAAAATTTATGGGGCTAATGCTTTATGTGTCTAAGAAATATTTACCTACCCCAAAGTTGTGAAGACTTTCTTTGATGTTTTGTCCTAAAGGACTGACAGTTTTAGCTTTTACATTTAAGTCTATGACCCATTTCAAGTAGACTTTTCTGTGCAGTGTGAGGTCAAGATTGAGGTTCATTTTTCTCCATGTGATTATTTAGTTGTTCAACAATATTAAAAGAGTATTCTGTTCCCATTGACTTACCTGGCATCTTTGACCACATACATGTGGGTCTATTTCTGGACTCTATTCTGTTCTGTTGATCTATTTTCTACCCTGACAGCATACCATACTGCACTGATTATTGTAGCTTTATAAGTCAAGAAATTATGTAGTCCTCAACTTTGCTCTCCTTAAAAAAAAAAAAAGAAACAAAAGATTTTACTATTCCAGGACTTTACATTTTCACATAAATTTTATAATTCACTAGTCAATTCCTACAAGAATGCCTGTTCAGATTTTGATTGGGATTGCATTGAATCTATAGATCATTTTAGGGAGAACTGACATCTTAATGATATTGAGTTTTCCAATCCATGAACATGGGATATCTCTCCATTTATTTAGATCTTCTTTAATATTTTCAGAAATATTTTTTAGTGTTTAGGTCTTGCACATACTTTGTTAAGTTTATCCTAAAATGTTTCATGTTATTTCATGTATTTATATTTAACTTCCAGTTTCCAAATGTTTATGGCCAGTATGTAAAAATACAATTGATTTTGATATAATGACCTTGTATCCTGTGACCTAGCCAAATGCACAATGCTTTAGTAGCTTTTTTTGTGTGAATTCTTTAGGATTTTCTACATACATGATCAGGTCATCTGTGAATAAAAACCTTATATTCTGAGTCACTCACATTTGTGCTTTTAGTTTTGTAATAAAAAACAAACACAGATTGAGGAATGAGTCATCTTTGAGGTGCTACATTTTGCTTGGTTCACATAAACTGCATTGCTTTATCAATACAAAGTCTTTTAAAACTTAAATTGGATATCTGAGAGTTAATATGTCAAAAGTTTCTTAGGCACAACACAGCATATTGAATTGGAATTTTTTGTTTTCCTCTCTATCTCTTCTAGCTGTCCTCTATCTCCATACATAAAACATTTTTGTGTCCTCAGAGCCTAACAGTACCTCACACTTAAAAGTTGTTTAGTTAATAGTTATAAAATGAAGGAATGATGTGATTAAGACCTGTTTAGGCCAGGCGTGGTGGCTCACGCCTGTAATCCCAGCACTTTGGGAGGCCAAGGCAAGAGGATCACTTGAGGTCAGGAGTTTGAGACCAGCCTGGCCAACATGGTGAAACCCTGTCTCTACTAAAAATACAAAATCTAGCGGGGCATGACATGCATGCCTGTAATCCCAGCTACTCTGGAGGCTGAGGCAAGAGAATCACTTGAACCCGGGAGGCGGAGATTACAGTGAGCTGAGATCATACCACTGCACTCCAGCCTGGGCGACAGAGCAAGATTCTGTCTCAATAATAATAATAATAATAAAGACCTGTTTAGAATGACTTCCACTATAACCTAAAGAAGTCTGTTTTCTTTGGGCCTCAACAATTTCATTCAAATTATATCATTGGTATGATCCCCTGACTAGTTTTTCTGTTATCCTTTAGATGAATATTTCTGAGTATCATTTTCTAATCCCTTTTAAAAACTTGTTTTAACTATAATATAGTTATAACCCATTTAACAATTATTATATTCATTAAAAAATTGCAGATTTTTTCCATTTGAAAGTAAATTTTGGCCCCATTTTCTTGATCTTTCATCTGAATACTTCAGTTGGAAGATATTGGGCAGGCATTTACATGTCCTTGGTACTAGTAGCTTATGACACAGTGTTGGTGTTGAACTGACAACACAAGATCTCTGCTTTCAACGCTGCCAGAGAGTTTAGAGGAGGCATGGGAACAGGGGGTTCTTCCAGCACTTGGCTTAATTTCATCTGGTTCATAGCCAGCTTTCTAAAATTAACTGCGGCTAAAGCTGAGAAGGCTTTTTAAAAAGACCTTTGGTAGAATTATCCACTAAAGGCCACCAGATGGATCTATTCTTCCTTAAAAGAAGACAATTTCTGCTGTGAGACAGCCATTCTACGTATAACCAATGTGTCTGGTTGTCCTGCGCTGGTAAAGTCCCAGCTCACCATCTAACATCACTATCTTAATACCCTAAACCCTCATTGCTTGCTGCAGAAAGTCAAATTTCTTATTTAGGGTTCTCTTGCCCAAATGTTTCCAAGAATCCCCGGATCCTTATATGTGTCCAAATAACAGATCTGATTGTCACGTGGGGCTGAGCTATCACTTCATATCCTCAAGCCAAAGAGGTTGGCCAAGATGGCTTTCTGCCCTCTTAATTGTTGCAGTCACCTTCATGGTAAAGATGGAAGTGGGTGTGAAGTAAGAAAGATAATGCCTTTTTTGGTGGTACTTTCTCTTAGGGATAGAGGTGTCCCTTCAAATCAAGATAATTTGAGGCTTAAAGTGTTATAGCAATAACTGTGAGTGGATTTTCTTAGTTAGTTTTCATTAGTCCTTAGTTTTCTCAGGTATTATCAGCCTGGGGGGAAGGGGCAGAAGATCTTAATTCATGACCAAAAAGCATAAAAAATACCACTAATGTTTACATAAATTTCCCCAGTTCTGTGTTTTTATAAGCATTATATTTAATGACTTCCTAGTACACTAGTGAAAGGTAGTATTTCAATTTATTTAACTATTATCCAACCATTGGTCATATAGATTGTTTCTTAGTTATTGCTATTATATACGATGCTTCAATGAGTATCATTTAGACATTAAGGACATTAAGCTTTGCCATATTTAAAATCATTTCCCTGGTGTAGACTGCTAAAACTAGAATGTGTAGGTCCAATGGTATGTGAATATTTTTCTGCTTTTTGAGACACATCCTCTAATTGATAGAAAGCAGATCCATTCAGAAAAGAAAATAACTTTCCAGTTATCAGAATATAGGTACCATTGTCCTCTAATATTTAAGAACATGAAAAATGGGACTAAAGATCAGAAGGTTATTTTAGTGAGCAAATAACAGACTAGAGGAAATATTATTGGCCTATGGAGAGTTTAAATCAGGCTATGGTATGCAGGCCAGACTGATCTTTTACTTCCAGACCCATCACTAGTATATTTTGGGGGCCCAGGTTATTACTGAAAGTAAACAGGACAGACTTCAAGGCTTCCATTTTTCTGGGAAGATGGGTTTCTTGATCTCCCTAGGATAGATGAGCCTTGGTCATGTGGTTTCTTCCAGCATCCACCAGCTGAGGAACAAAGTATCAGAGGAGCATGATGTTCTCAGGAAGAAAGAGATGGAGTCAGGGCCCAAAGCATCCCATGGCTATGGAGGTCGGTTTGGAGTAGAAAGAGACCGAATGGACAAGGTAAGTTGAAAGGGAAAGATTTGCTTTAAAAAAATACAAGCCGGGTGCGGTGGCTCACGCCTGTAATCCCAGCACTTTGGAAGGCCAAGGTGGGTGGATCATGAGGTTAGGAGATCGAGACCATCCTGGCTAACACGGTGAAACCCCATCTCTACTAAAAATACAAAAAATTAGCCGTGCGTCGTGGTGGGTGCCTGTAGTCCCAGCTACTCAGGAGGCTGAGGCAGGAGAATGGCGTGAACCTGGGAGGCAGAGCTTGCAGTGAGCCGAGATCATGCCACTGCACTCCAGCCTGGGAGACAGAGCGAGACTCTGTCTCAAAAAAAAAAAAAATAAATAAAATAAATAAATAATACATTAAAAAATTGATATATATACTTATATATTTTGTAAATATGTATAATTATATACTTATATATAATTATATACCTCTATAATAAGAGCCAACTATATATAAGTATATATAATTGACTCTATAATAAATAATTGGCTCTATAATAATTGGCTATAAAATAATTGGCTCTATAAGAGCCAATTATATGTAAGTATATAATTATATAAGTATATATTTATTATATATACTTATATATTTTATATATGTTATAAATATAATATAATGTATATTATATTTTATATATTATATATAAGTGTATATATATTATAAGTATATATAATATAATATATACTTATAATATATAATATATAATAAGTATATATATTAATATATATTATATATATTAATATATGTAATAAATATATATTAATATATATAATATATACTTATATACTTATATATAACAGATACTATATATAAGTATATATAATATATAATATATCTATATTATATATTATATATCATATATAATATATAATCTACATTATTAATACATTATATTACATATTATTACTATGTAATATATTACATAGTAATATATTACATAGTAATAATATGTAATATAATGTAATATATTATATACTATAATTAATATATAATATATATTATATTATATAAGTATATAAAATATAATACATAAAATATAATATATATTATATATTTTTATTTATAAATATATATAAAATATATATAAATATATAAAATATATAAAAATATAAATAATATATTTAATATTATATTATTATATATTAATTATAAGATATATTATATATATACTTATATATAGTATCTGTTATATATAAGTATATATTATATATAAGTATATAATTAATATATTATATATTAATACAAGTATATAATTAATATATTATATATTAATACATTATATATTATATACTTATATAATTATTTATAAATATATTTATAAATATATATTATTAATATATGTTACATAATTATAAGTAAATGTAAATATATAAATTTATATTATGTATATTTTAATATATTATAATTATATGATATAACATATTTATATTATAAATATATAGTTTATTCATAAATATATAGTATATAATATTTAAGTATATTTAAAAATTTTGCTAAAACACCCAGATACTTTTGTTCTAGATCAAAATATATATTTTTTGACTCATTCATTGGTTCATGAGTTAAAACTCATTCAAAAGTACAGTAGTCATTTGGTCTAAAATATAATGTCCACATATTATTTGTATCAAATTTTTCTGATCTCAACACATAAGATATACATGGCAGAAAATAAGAACCAAGATATTAGAACTGCTGGCCTGTTGTAGCCCCAACCACATTGTAACTCCTAGACCAAGAAGACAGGGAGCACAAGTGGAGAAGGAAAAAATATGTTTTAAAATTATTTGCTGCATTTAAATGTTTATGTATTATGTCTATGTTGCAACTTCTCTTTATTATTTTATTTACTGTGTATTTAGTGATTTTTTTTGTATACATGTCCTACATTACATGGTGTATAAAGCTCAGAGTTCACTTCTGAACTTTGATGGCCATACAGGAGCAAAGATCTAGAACAAAATCATTGGCTCTCCTAGTGAAATATTCCATCCCGGCTATGGCGTCCGGTCAGTCCCCTTGGTCTCTCCTCCACACTACCCCACACTACACTCTGTTCTGCTGCACAATGCTCTTGTTTCAGCTCTTTTTGTTTCTGGTTTAAACACTGCTCTGTCTACCTTGTCTCTATCCCCTGGTTCCCAGCCCATCCTATGGGAGTGTTCAGAATGAAGGATTCCTAATGGTATTAGAGAAGAACAGGGATGAGCAGGTCTCCAGAAAAAGTCATCTTGCTCTCCCATCGCGTATTCCTTGGCACCACTGTCAGAGGCTATAGATCTGACCCAGAATGGAATTTCTTACATGCCTACATCCCACTCCATATCTGTATTTATTTTTTTAAGGTCATTTTTATCTTTTCACTCACTCCATCCTTGATTTTTCTCAGAGTGCAGTGGGCCATGAGTATGTTGCCGAGGTGGAGAAGCACTCTTCTCAGACGGATGCTGCCAAAGGCTTTGGGGGCAAGTACGGAGTTGAGAGGGACAGGGCAGACAAGGTAAGTGACCACTCTCTCTCCCAACCACCCACCTCCAGTCCTGTGAAAATTGCCCACGATCACCCCTGGATGGAGGCACATGCTTCTTTGTTGAAAGACAGGACAGTGGATGCTGTGAGGACCTGACACCGTCACAGGGATACCTCCCTCAGCAAGTTCCTTGGTGCCAATGTTGGAAGCCACATGCTGAGCTGAAAGACAGTGATTCAAATAGGAGAAGACTCTCAAACTGTGTGTTTGAATGAATAATTCCTCAAGCCACTGGTTTTTATTATACTCATATGCATGAAGATAGAACAGAGAATCATCTAAGCTCTTCTTTTGGCTTAACATCAAAACCTTATAAATACTCATGCCGTTTAGGAAAACAGATTCATCAGTTTAAATATTATTGCCATAGCAGCAGATAATCAAGTTAAACAACTAATTAGGGTTACTATTTACAGAATTTAGCATCAATCTATGAAGTCCAGATATCTTTAAAGACTCCTTTGTACAAAACAAAACAAAATGTTGTTTTAAAGAGAAAAAAAAGTACCGTATGATTACAGCATCATATCGTTGACAGGAGAGTAAGATTGATAACTCATCGATGTTTTTAGTTCCACGCCTTATTAGGTCGGATTCTTTGAACTCATTTTTTATGGTGCAGAATGGTGTCTCCTGCCCTGCAGCTGCACACAGAGAGAGGACAGCTCCTTCACAGTTAGCTGAGATTTTTTCTTTGTTTTTACCAACAGTTGTTAATTAGGTGGACATGCATCCTTAAAGCTAAGGATTGGAAGCTAAGGCAGCTAAGTTCTAGAAAATTAATTGTTTGCATCATGGGGGGTAAAACCATGAAAAACAAAATCAGGAAAGTTTAAAACATACTGCAAAGCTAAGGGAAGATGTAGAAGGCAATAGTGAAATATGGAGCATGCAGTGTTCTAGAATCAGGATGGAATTCCCTGTTCCATCTTGGCACCACTCTTGCCTGCCTTTGCTTAATCACCGATTCTTACATCTTTTGCTCACAAGCCACAAATGGAATCACCCAGTCAGTGTGTCATGTAAATCAAGAAACAATACATGTTAATTAGTTCTTAATATGCAAAAACCCAGACTTGCTTAGATACCCATAGTTCCTGAGCCAGATGGAGAACAAAGCTCCAAAACTCTGCGGTAATGTTGGGTATCTGGGCAACATATCCAGTCCCAGAGCCAGCTAGGATCCAGACTCTCCTGGTTGCAGTTATCCCACCAAAATCCACATATTTGTGTTTCCATTATTGAGTAATGAAAGAGAAGAGGCACAGCATTATCAACTGGGAATAGGGTAATGTCTCTTCATGAGCAGAGTGCTTTATACTTTACAAGGCACTTTTCTAGGTATCACATTTCACTTTTGTGAGGATTCGTTAGGAAGAAAAGCGCTAAGTTAGTGAATGAAACTAAGTAGACACTTTACCTTGTCCCATTTAGTTCTCATGACATCCCAGATGAAGAGGGATCATTTCTCTCATTTTACAGTCGAGGTAGATAAGGCAGGCATGCCTCTCCTGATTTTATATTGAAAGAGACTGGGGCTTAGTAATATAAAGGAACGTGCTTAAACTTCAACAACTATAAATAGGGGATGTAGGGTTTGAACCTAAAACTGTCTGTGTCCAGGGCCTATGTTCATTGCTCTGTAGTATCCTGTGTCCATACCAGCCTGTTTCTACATTAAACACCTATACTCAGCCTGAAGCCCCTACAAACTACCTCTGGGGCTGGCTGGGAGTAAGGGGAGGTTAGGAAGAGGAAAACCTGTCAGCTCTGACTCTAACCAATTCTGTCTCCTCTTCTCTGTAGTCAGCAGTCGGCTTTGATTATAAAGGAGAAGTGGAGAAGCACACATCTCAGAAAGGCAAGGACACTGTACTTCACTCAGCCTCAGCAATCTGACCGGCAGGCTCTTCTGCTAAGACTTTATCTTCCAGCAGTTGTCATCAGCTTTTTAACTTCCATGACCCAGCGCACCACTATTTTATTTACTTTTTGTTCATTTGTTTGTTTTTGAGACAGGGTCTTGCACTGTCACCCAGGCGGGAGTGCAGTGACACAATCATGGGTCACTGCAGCTTCGACTTCCTGGGCTCAAGCGATCCTCCCACCTCAGCGTTCTGAGTAGCTGTGACTACAAGTGTGCACCACCATGCCTGGCTAATTTTTTATTCTTTGTAGAGATGGAGTCTCACTATGTTGCCCAGGCAGTGTCAAACCTTTTGGCTCAAGTGATTCTCCCCTCTCACCCTCTCAAAGTGCTGGGATTACAGGCATGAGCCACCACACCCACCGCTATTTTACATACTTTTTTATTTTTTTGAGAGGGAGTCTCGCTCTGTCACCCAGGCTAGAGTGCAGTGGCACTATATTGGCTCACCGCAAGCTCTGTGTCCTGGGTTCACGCCATTCTCCTGCCTCAGCCTCCCAAGTAGCTGGGACTACAGGCGACTGCCAGCACGCCTGGCTAATTTTTTTTTTTTTTTTGTATTTTTAGTAGAGACGGGGTTTCACTGTGTTAGCCAGGATGGTGTCGATCTCCTGACCTCGTGATCCACCCGACTCGGCCTCCCAAAGTGCTGGGATTATAGGTGTGAGCCACCGTGCCCGGCCCTATTTTATATGCTTTTTAAACCCAGTGTGCACTTGCTTCTCTTTTTCTCCGTGATCGCTTTCTATAATATTGATCAAGTTTTTTTTTTTTTTTTTTTGCGACGGAGTCTGGCTCTGTCGCCCAGGCTGGAGTGCAGTGGCTGGATCTCGGCTCACTGCAAGTTCCGCCTTCCGGGTTCACGCCATTCTCCTGCCTCAGCCTCCCGAGTAGCTGGGACTACAGGCACCCGCCACTACGCCGGGCTAATTTTTGTATTTTTAGTGGAGACGGGGTTTCACCATGTTAGCCAGGATGGTCTCGATCTTCTGACCTCGTGATCTGCCTGCCTCGGCTTCCCAAAGTGCTGGGATTACAGGCTTGAGTCACCGCGCCTGGCCATATTGATCAAGTTTTTGAATCCCTCTTTTTTCTCTAATGGGTTGAAAATAAGGTATTCTATTCCTTTATTTTAGAAGGTTATTCCTAAATTTTAACATGCATCTTTGACTTAAATTTAAAATTAATCACAATCTCTTCCTGAGTGTATTGGAAACATAGAATATTTTAACTACATTCTTTTTAACCAACCATATTGTTGTTGTTCAGTATATTGGTTCCATCTTATTCCATCTTATTATTGATTCCATCTTATAAACCCCACAAAAATGAATCATTATTATTACTTAGTAAATGCTTATTTAAATTGACCAAGGTATTTACCTATTTCCTAGCTCAACATTGCTTATTGTATTTCATTGTTTCACCTTTGTGTCTTCTATTTCCTTCTTGCTAAAATATTCCATTGATAATTCTTTCAATGAGTCTATGAAAGAACTTTCAGTCTTTGAAAAATGTCTTTATGTTGCATCATTCTTCATTTTTATTTTCCCTTCATCACTTTGAAGATCTTATTTCATCGTCTCTGACATCTCTCTTGTGTCAGACTATCATTCCTGAGTAGGTAACATGTCTTATATCTCCGGGTTTTTTTTAATTAAAGATTTTCTTTTGGTCTCTGATATTCTTCACTATTATTAGGGTGTGTCTGAATGTTAGATCTACTTTTATTATCCTATATGGGACTTACTGCCCTTTTTCAACCTCAGATGTGACTTTCATTATAGGAAGTTCTCAGGCATTTTCTCTTGGAATAATACCTCTTCTCTCTTCTCTTTATGTCCTTGTGCCGCATTCTGGGTTATTCCTTTAGCTCTAGGTTAAGTTCACTAATTCTTCCTTTAGCTGTATTTCATTATTGTTTAAGCTGTCCATTGCATTTTAAACTTTCTTTCAAATATCTTCCCTTCCCTTCCTTTCCCTTCTCTTCCCTGCCCTGCCCTGCCCTGCCCTGCCCTGCCCTCCCGTCCCCTCCCCTCCCCTGCCCTCCCCTCCCCTCCCCTCCCCTCCCCTCCCCTTCCCTTGCCTTCCCTCTCTTTTTTTAGATAAAGTCTTATTATGTTGCCCAGGCTGGCCTCAAACTCCTGGGCTGAAGTGATCCTTCTGCCTTGGCCTCCCAAAGTGCTGGGATTACAGGCATGAGCCACCACATCAGATATTTTCATTTCTGGAGTTTCTTTTGGTTCTATTGCATATCTGCTGATTCATTTTCCATAAGACATTATGGTTTCATTATGGTTCCCTGTGCCACTTCTTTAAGCTGTTTAATTATTTTAAACATGTACTTTGCAGTTTCTTTCATATTTTATATTATTTGCAGTTCTTGGCTGTGCCATTTCTTCTGACTAATCTGCGTTCCTCATGGTTATTTATTTCCTTGATGGTTTGTAATCTTGTTTATAAACTTATTTTAGTGAAGGAGAGGGATATTTGTTTTATGAGAATTTCATGTGCCCTGGGTTTAGTAAGTACCTCATCCAGGGAAATATTGCCTCTACTTCTGGCTCAACTCTAGAGGTCTTAATAGTAACGGACATTTTTTTTCCTTTATTATTATTTTTTCCCATGGAGTTCAAGTCTTTCTGGTTTTTAAGTTGGTTATGGTATGTTGTGCTTTTCAAGGAATTTGTTCATTTTGTCTGTGTTGTCAGGTTTATTGGCATAAATTCATTTATAATATTCTCTTCTTTTTAACTTCTGTAAGATTTCTAGTGATATGAAATGCCTATTTTCATTTCTGATCTTACTTACTTGTGTTTTTTCTCTTTTTAATTATTCTTACTAGAAGTTTATCAATTTTATTACTCTTTCCAAAGAACAAGCTTTTGGCTTTGCTAATTTTCTCTATTATTTACTTGTTTTAAAAAATGTATTGGTTTCTGCTCTTATCTTTATTATGTTTTTCTTCTACTTAGTATTAATTTAGTTTGTTCTTTTCCTAGCCTCTTAAAGTAGAAACTTAGATAATTGATTTTAAGCCTTCCTTTACTATATGGGCACTTGAAAAGCTATACATTTCCCTCTGAACACTACCTTCATTTGCTACAAACATTTGCTACATTCAACAAATATTTGAATGTGTGTGTTTTAATTTTCATTCATCACAAACCCGTGGTCCCAGCTATTCAGGGGACTAATGTGGGAGGATCACTTGAGCCCAGGAGGTTGAGGCTGCAGCAAGCCATGATTGTGCCACTACATTTTGGCCTGGGCAACAGAGTGAGACCCTGTCTCAAAAAACAACAACAACAACAACAACAACAACAACAAAAAATAAAATCATTCAGTTAAAAATATTTTCTTATTTCCCTTGTAATTTCTTCTTTGACACATGTATTATTTAAAAGCTGTTATTGATTTTCTGAGCATCAGGGAAATTTTCTAGATAATTTTATTGGTATTGACTTCTACTTTAATTCTATTGTGATCAGAATATGATCTCTGATATTTCAGTCTTTTGAAATGTACTGAGACTTACTGTCTTAGAGACTTATGGACTGGCACATGGTCTATTTGGTCAATGTTCTATATGCATGAAAAAAGTATATTCTGTAGTTTGGGGTATAGTGTTGTATAAGAGTCAATTAGGTTTATTAGTTGATAATGTTTGGATCTTCTATAATTTTACTGATTCGTTTTTGCCTAAAATACCTATTAATTAATGAAAGAATGGTGTTAAATGTTCAACTACTATTACAGATTTGTCTATTTCTCTTTCTACTTCTGTCAGCTTTTGCATTATTTGTGTGTGTGTGTGTGTGTGTGTGTGTGTGTGCGTGTGTGTGTGTGTTGGAGTCTTGCGATGTTTCTCAGGCTGGTCTCGAACTCCCGGGCTCAAGTCACCCTCCTGCCTCAGCCTTCTGAGTAGCTGGGACTACAGGCATTCACCACACCTGGTTTTTTACATTTTTCTTTTATTTGAGAGCTTCATGAATTTTGGTTCTGTGAATAGGTTTATGCCAGCATACATACTCCTGATGTAAGGTATTGTTCTTTTATCATTGGAGCATGTCTTTCTTGTCTCTTAGAATGCACTTTGTCTTGAGATCACTTTATCTCATATTCATGCCATCTTTCTTATGCTTACTCTTTCCAAAATGTATATTTTCCTGGATCAGTATTTAGTTAATTTCTCAGCTTAGAATTCCTGCATCACATAAGTGGAAAAAAAATGTGTATTTGCATTCTACACTCAGATGTAGGCTTGGAGTTTCCAAGTCTCATAAGCAAATTTTCCCCCTATCAAATATTGAACAGGTTACAAGCCCCCTTCATGATTTTCCTGAGTAAATGAGTAGAATTTTTCTAGCACTCTCTTATAGGAGTGGACAGAGCTTCGTTTCTGGCTTTCTTCCCTCCTCCCCCATTCTTAAATGGAAATTAGAATCACAGAGCCTCGATCCTAATCCCTATTCATTACATTTGGAATTTAAAATCTGACCAGGTGTGGTAGTTCACACCTGTAATTGCAGCATTTTGGGAGGCTGAGGTGGGTGGGTCCTTTGAGCCCAGGAGTTTAAGGCTAGCCTGGGCAACACAGTGAGATCCTATCACTACAGATTTTTTTTTAAATTAGCAAGTCATGGTGGCACCTGCCTGTGGTCCCAGTTACTCAGGAGGATTGCTTGACCCCAGGAGTTCAAGGTTACAGTGAGCCATGATTGTACTCTGCACTATAGCTTGAGCAAAAGAGCAAGACTCTACCTCTAAAAACAAAAAATCCCCCAAAAATGCCCTTGGGTTTTCTGTGGTGTCAGTTCATAATTATCTTCACACATACAGCTTTGATTCATCTCTTTGTCTCTGGTTTCTGGAGCCAGGATTTTTTCCCTTCCTTTCTGCTGAGCTTCACTTTTTTTTTTTTTGAGATGGAGTCTCGCTCTGTCACCCAGGCTGGAGTGCAATGGTGCAATCTTGGCTCACTGCAACCTCCACCCCCCATGTTCAAGTGACTCTCCTGTCTCAGCCTCCCCAGTAGCTGGGGCTACAGACGCACATCACCATGCCTGGATAATTTTTGTATTTTTTAGTAGAGACAGGGTTTCCCCATTTTGGCCAGGCTGGTCTCAAATTCCTGACCTCAGGTGATCCACCTGCCTCGGCCCCTGAAGTGCTGGGATTACAGGCATGAGCACCGTGCTCGGCCTGAGCTTCACTCTTTAAAACACAATTGTTATGTTTTATCTGACATTTCTATGTGCTTATATGGGAGTAGGGGAAAGGCATACATTTCATGTATCTGCCTTTTTTTTTCTGCAATCTCCTCACTCTCTATACTTTCCCCTTCTTGAAGAAGAAGGGAGAAAATGGGAATGTTCTTCTCATCTTGGCATGGAAATGAGAGAAGAGAGGGAAAAAGTAAGCAATATTCAATTAAAAGACTACTTAAGACATGGCTTCTCTTTAATTCCCCTGTATTCAAGCCCTGCTCTTTTCCCAGGCCCCTAACACTCTGTACCCATTCCTGCTGACCTCTCTTCTCCAGCGCTTCCCTGTGTGCTGGAGCCTAAGGGTGGGCTCTCATGACTGCTCCTTCGACCACAGATTACTCTCGTGGCTTTGGTGGCCGGTACGGGGTGGAGAAGGATAAATGGGACAAAGCAGCTCTGGGATATGACTACAAGGGAGAGACGGAGAAACACGAGTCCCAGAGAGGTGAGTTGGGGTTGGAAGGGGGAAGGTCACAGATAGCACAGGGATCTCCTTCCTTCCTTTCTGGAAGCTCACCCGGGTGCCCCAGAATACAGAGGGGCAGATGTGCAGAGCAGGGGGTGCCAGGGCAGTAAGCACATGTGTGGGGACAGGTGGTGGTAGTGAGGGGAGAGAGGAGAGATGGAGAGGAAAACAGAAGGATTAAGAGCAGGGCCTAGGAGGGAGGTGAGAGAGAAGGGGGCGTTGAGGAAGGAATGAGGACAGACAAGCTGAGTGATGGTCAGAAGATGGTTTGCCATGAGTCTTAGAGGGATCTCTGCTGTCCTCACAGAGGATAAAGAGGTTTACTGCTTCCCTGGAACCCATACGGATGGCTGAAGTGCTCTCTGTATTTTTTCCTATTTCTTTTACATTTTTCCTTATCTGTTGCTTTCTGCTTTCCATGTTTCCCTACTTCCATCTTTGTCTTCTCCATTCGCTCCCAGATTTTTTCCCCATCTGTTTCCCTCTCTTCCCATCCATGCCTCCCTCTATCCTCTGATTCTCACATTTCCTCCTACATTTGTTTTCCACATTCCTGTTTTTCTTCCCACTGATTCTTCTCACCACCCATTCCCAGCATTTTGATCTCCTATAACTCAGAACTTTCTGTCCTGCAGATTATGCCAAGGGCTTTGGTGGCCAGTATGGAATCCAGAAGGACCGAGTGGATAAGGTAAAGCACCGGAACACCAATGTCTTAAGAAGAGTTCCCTAAGTTTAGGAAAGTGTGCAGAGAAGAGCGTGAAGAAGGCTGGGAGAGGGAGGGGACGGTGGTGCTGGGCACACAGAGCCTGTCCTGCTGGCGTCCTGCAGTCCCCACTGACTGCCCTCAGCATCTAAGGGGCATGTCTGCCAAAGCCTGAGCTTTGAGGACAGTGGGAGAGGCATACAGAGAGACAGGTAAACCGCCGGGAAAGGTCGTATTGGACTGGAAATTGTATTGATTTCTTGGCATTGCTTAACCCAATCTTAAGTCTCTTCCCACCCCATGCCACTGTCCTCCCTACACTAGTTCCTCCTCATGCATGAGCCAGGGGGCCCTGCTACATTCTAGGCAACTGGGCTTGGAGATGTGAGATTCTAAGGTCACTGAGCTGCTGAAAGGGGGAGCTGAACTCAGCACTTAAGAACTTCTTTACCCCCTCTCTACCACAAAACAACATTGGAACATGCTGTCCAGCTGTTGAGCATCCAATGGTTAGGGATACCTCTTATAGTGGCCCCCAACCCCCAATACTACCTCCAGGTCACCACTACCCTTGCCCCTCTCCCGCAACACACATGCTGTTCTCCTGCCTGCAGAGCGCTGTCGGCTTCAATGAAATGGAGGCCCCGACCACAGCTTATAAGAAGACGACGCCCATAGAAGCCGGTGAGGCTTAGTGATTCACTCTCCATGCACCTCACTTCCTTCTCCCTCATTCTTTTTCTTCCCCAGACTATATCCTCCATGCCTTTAACTACCTAGATTAGCTGAGTTAGACCTGATCCCTATCCTCATATTCCCAGATTCTGTCTTTCCTAGAAAAACCAGGTAAGGCGGAGCTCACATCTGTAATCCCAGCACTTTGGTGGCTAAAGTGGGAGGACTGCTTGAGCTCAGGAATTTAAGAACAGCTTGGACAACATGGGGAAACCTCATCTCTATAAAAAATACAAAAATTAGCCAGGCATGGAGGTGCACACCTATAATCCCAGCTACTTGGGAGGCTGAGGCAGGAGAATCACTTGAACCCAGGAGGCGGAAGTCGGAGTGAGCTGAGATCATGCCACTCAACTCCAGCCTGGGTGACAGAGTGAGACGAAAGAAAGAGAGAGAGAGGAGAGAGAGGAGAGAGAGAGAGAGAGAGAGAGAGAGAGAGAGAGAGAAAAGGGAGAGAAGAGAGAGAGAGAGAGAAAGAAAGAAAAGAAAGAAAGAGAGAAAGTCAAGTGGATAGACAGAGTGACGTCGGGGAAGGAATCGGAGGCAGAGAACACAGTGTGGCTTGGGACAGGGGTGGGGTGGCATGGGAACATTGGTGAGGAACCACTTGGGAAGAACACACAGGGACAGGAGTTTCGGATGAGGTTGAGGATGAGTGGTGGCTTGAAGAAGGCATACAGATTTATGGAATATGGACAGGGGAGGATGCTTTTTGGAAGCCCAAAGTTTACAATTTAGAAAGGACACAAGTCAGCTGGGCATGGTGGCTCACACCTGTAATCCCAGCACTTTGGGATGCTGAAGTAGGATAATCACTTGAACCCAGGAGTTCAAGATGAGGCTGGGCAACACAGCAAGATCCCCTCTCTACAAAAAATACAAAAATTAGCTGGGTGTGGTGGTGCACATCTGTGGTCCCAACTACTCCAGAGGCTGAGGTAGGAGGATTGCTTGAGCCTGGGAGGTTGAGGCTGCAGTGTCCCATGACTGCACCACTGCACTCTAGCCTGGGCTGAGACCCTGTCTCAAGAAAAAAAAAAGACACGAGTCTTAGGTCGTATAGCCTGGCTTTATAAAAATCCAGGCTTCAGGGCTATGCCATCCTCCTATTATCCCTTGTTCCTCTATCGATACCTCTTTACCATCCTGTCCCACAAATCCCTCCTCCCGGATATTTAACTGATTCCCCTTCTTCCTTCAAGTGCCATGCCCTTCCCCACTCTCCAATCCAAGACAACCCTAATTTTTCTTGCCTGTGTCTGCAGCTTCTAGTGGTACCCGTGGGCTGAAGGCGAAATTTGAGTCCATGGCTGAGGAGAAGAGGAAGCGAGAGGAAGAGGAGAAGGCACAGCAGGTGGCCAGGAGGCAACAGGAGCGAAAGGCTGTGACAAAGAGGAGCCCTGAGGCTCCACAGCCAGTGATAGCTATGGAAGAGCCAGCAGTACCGGCCCCACTGCCCAAGAAAATCTCCTCAGAGGTGAGCGCCTGGCCCTCTGGGATCCACATCCAGGATCTCTTGCCCAGACAGGAGCCTAAGGGGTCCAAACCATTGGCAGAAAATAAGGCAAAGTCCTCCCCTGGGTTAGGCAAGGTCTGTTGTCTCTGTCTTTAGAAGACTTCAGTCTGACTGTAATTGGACCTCCTATCAGAATGTTAGAAAAAACCCTCAAGATTTACATAGTACAACAGAAAGCAAGTCACCAGCCAGCACAGCCAATTATTGCTGTAGGAACTATGAGGAAGGGGCCGTCACTTCAGGCTGGAGCCCATCTTGAGGGATGAGTTCCATTTGAATTGGCAGAGAGTGGGAGAGGGTGTTCCTGGTAAATGTAACAGTGAAGACATGCATGGTGTGGTGGCTCATGCCTGTAATCCTAGCACTTGAGGTGGCCAAGGTGAGAGGATCACTTGAAGCCAGGAGTTCTAGACCAACCTGGGCAACATAGTAAGAACCTATCGCTATAAAAACAATTAAAAAATTAGCTGGGCATGGTGGTGTGTGCCTATAGTCCCAGCTACTTGGGAGGCTTAGAGAGGAGGATTGTTTGAGCCCAAGAGTTTGAGGCTACAGTGAGCTATGATCTCACTGTGCTCCAGCCAGGGCAGCAGAGTGAGACCCTGTCTCAAAAAATGCATAAAATAAAATAAAAAGAATGAAGATGGGCCGAGCGTGGTGGCTCATGCCTGTAATCCCAGCACTTTGGGAGGTCAAGGCAGACAGATCACGAGGTCAGGAAGTCAGGAGTTCAAGACCAGCCTGACCAACATAGTGAAACCCTGTCTCTATTAAAAATACAAAAATTAGCCAGGCATAGTGGCGTGTGCCTGTAATCCCAGCTACTCAGGGGGCTGAGGCAGGAGAATCGCTTGAACCTGGGAGGCGGAGGTTGCAATGAGCTGAGATCGCACCACTGCACTCCAGCCTGGGCTACAGAGCGAGAGTCTATCTCAAAAAAAAAAAAGGAGTGAAGATGGAGGCTTGCTTACTTGAGAGATGCTTCATTTTCCACAGGCCTGGCCTCCAGTTGGGACTCCTCCATCATCAGAGTCTGAGCCTGTGAGAACCAGCAGGGAACACCCAGTGCCCTTGCTGCCCATTAGGCAGACTCTCCCGGAGGTAAGCAAACCCCCAAAGATTCTCTGCCCCCACCCCATCTTCTCGAGTCTTAGGAATGTGGGCTGTGCAGGGTGGCCAACCATCCTGGTTTGCCTTGCACTGTTCTGGTGTTAGCACTGAAGACCTTGCCTTCTGGGAAACTCCTCTGTCCTGGGCAAACTAGTATAGATGATTATCCTAGCTGTGGTAGCTCAACAATGTGCTCTTGCTTCAATGTTTTCTTGGTCTCCCAAAGAATCTGACTTGTTTTCTACTTCCCTCCCCTCACACCTTTTACATTCTCTTCCCATTGTCTCTGGAATGTGTTTTGGGTGGGTGGGTGTGGGAGGAGATTGAAGAATGAAGATGGATGAAAGGCTGTGTTCCCCAGGAGAGGCTGTTAGATGGAGGCAAGGGTAGAGGGGAGAAGAGGCAGGGTGGTGAAGGGCGGGGGATCTTATCAGTCCTCCATTGATTCCTCCTGGAAAGTGGAAGTCACAGTGCTCCACACTGTCTCTTCTCAGGACAATGAGGAGCCCCCAGCTCTGCCCCCTAGGACTCTGGAAGGCCTCCAGGTGGAGGAAGAGCCAGTGTACGAAGCAGAGCCTGAGCCTGAGCCCGAGCCTGAGCCCGAGCCTGAGAATGACTATGAGGACGTTGAGGAGATGGACAGGCATGAGCAGGAGGATGAACCAGAGGGGGACTATGAGGAGGTGCTCGAGCCTGAAGATTCTTCTTTTTCTTCTGCTCTGGCTGGTGAGTGATGGGAGGAGAAGCAGGAGAATTTGCTCATGTCCAGGGGAGGGTAAGAGGAAGAAGAATTTCTCTATTGCCCCAGTAGGATCTTTCTCTGTTTGCCTTCTTCATGTTGATGATCCCATGTTTGTGTTTCTCATTATGCAGGATCATCAGGCTGCCCGGCTGGGGCTGGGGCTGGGGCTGTGGCTCTGGGGATCTCAGCTGTGGCTGTATATGATTACCAAGGAGGTAGGTTGGGAGTGGCCCGAGGAGCCTGGTACATGGAGGCCCCTGATATAAGACAGGGGGACATGTGAAAAGAGATTCATGTCTGACCATTCTAATATCCCCTCAACTTTCTCCCCAGAGGGAAGTGATGAGCTTTCCTTTGATCCGGACGACGTAATCACTGACATTGAGATGGTGGACGAGGGCTGGTGGCGGGGACGTTGCCATGGCCACTTTGGACTCTTCCCTGCAAATTATGTCAAGCTTCTGGAGTGACTAGAGCTCACTGTCTACTGCAACTGTGATTTCCCATGTCCAAAGTGGCTCTGCCTCCACCCCCTCCCTATTCCTGCTGCAAATGTCTAACCAGATGAGGTTCTGGACAGACTTCCCTCTCCTGCTTCATTAAGGGCTTGGGGCAGAGACAGCATGGGGAAGGAGGTCCCCTTCCCCAAGAGTCCTCTCTATCCTGGATGAGCTCATGAACATTTCTCTTGTGTTCCTGACTCCTTCCCAATGAACACCTCTCTGCCACCCCAAGCTCTGCTCTCCTCCTCTGTGAGCTCTGGGCTTCCCAGTTTGTTTACCCGGGAAAGTACGTCTAGATTGTGTGGTTTGCCTCATTGTGCTATTTGCCCACTTTCCTTCCCTGAAGAAATATCTGAACCTTCTTTCTGTTCAGTCCTAAAATTCGAAATAAAGTGAGACTATGGTTCACCTGTATGCTGAGGTAAATAGTACTTTTTGTGTGGCCCTCATGGCCTCAAATCTTAAGGCTCCAACCTTTCCTCTTCCAGGCATATCCAGGAAACTTTCTCTTACCACTGCCAATTCCCCTGTACCCTAGATGTCAAAGACTAGGCCTTTTCCTTAGGCTGAACTTTTTTTTTTTTTGAGAAGGAGTTTTGCTCTGTCACCCAGGCTGGGGTGCCGCAGTGTGATCTCAGCTCACTGCAGCCTCCACTTCCTGGGTTCAAGAGATTCTCCTGCCTCAGCCTCCCGAGTACCTGCAACTACAGGCGTGCACCACCATGCCCGGCTAATTTTTGTATTTTTAGTAGAGATGGGGTTTCCCCATGTTGGCCAGGCTGATCTTGAACTCCTGACCTCAGATGATCGCCCCCCGCTTAGCCTCCCAAAGTGCTGGGATGACAGGCATAAGCCACTGCACCTGGCCTCCTTAGGCTGCATTTTAAACCCAGTCCAAAACAGATCAGCCTGAGCAATGGCTGGGCATGGTATTGTGGGCCTATAGCACCAGCTACTCAGTAGTCTGAGGTGAGAGAATCACCTGAGCCTGGGAAGTCAAAGTAAAGGCTTCAGTGAGCTGTGATCACACCACTGCACTCCAGCCTGGGCGACAGAGTGAGAAGCTGTCTCAAAAAAAAAAAAAAAAAAGAAGAAAGAAAGAAAAGATGGAGAAGGCACTGGGATCAAGGAGGAGCTAGAATGGTTGCTAAGACCCACAGTTAGTTGCTCCAGGGCTTCATAGAGTTGGTGAGCTGCCCAGCAGGGTGTCCAAGGGAGAGAATTCAGCCATGGGTTCATAGTTTCTGTTTCTGGTTGGGCCAGTAAAGCCCCTTTGTCATTCCTCTGTTCTGCTTATCACTAGAGACAGAAACTAAAAACCATGGCTTCAGGCTGCTAAAAGCCTAAAACAAAACAAAACAGAACAACAACACAATAAGGCAGGTTGGACAAGTTTGGTCTCAGGCTTGTGCTCTGGTCTTTCTTCATGATACACACTTGGTTTCAGCGACAACTTCTATGCCTGTGAATCACACATCTGTCTCTAGACCTAACTTATAAGATTCACCCAATTAGCCTTTCAGAGTGCAAAGCAGCTTTTATTTCCTCTTCTAGAGATGTTGAGGTTTCTAGTATACAGAGGTCAGTCACCACAGATATACTCAATCTCATTCTTCATTTCAGTTTGATTTGACATCACACATAAATCAGACTTTTATAGTGATTTTCGTGACGTATCTTCAAGTTCCACCTTGCTTTTCACTTTTTCCTTTGTTGTGAGATAGAAACTTCTTTTCCAGACCCTTATGCTACTAAGGCAGTAAGGTCCTCTCTGGCCCAGTTCTACAGACCTCAGCCTCCATATTCGGCTGATCTCTACTCTGGACTGCCTTTCTTGGTGATGATACTCACCAAGGGCTCTGCCCATAGACATCCTCCCTCCCTGTGTACACAGTCCGTCTTTGCTCCCCTCAGCTGTTTCTAAATCTGAAGCCACTTCTAGCTGTCTTGCCTCTGTCAGGTAACACTCGCTGTTCATGCTGTTCACTCCAGCTTCCTCTCACAAATCATTTCTGTCTAATCCATAGTCTCTCTGAAAGGCTTTGGTACCGCTGCCCTCTCACTATGAAGTGTGCTTGTCTTATTGAAGCTCGTGCTTCAGTACGGCTCTGAAGGCAGCAACTGGAGGGGGAGAGTGCGGCTGGAAGTGCACAACCCACAAAGCAGTTGTGGGCAGTGCCACTCTCCTGAACCAAGGCTTCCCCAGCTCACCCAGTTTGGGAAGGGAAAGCCTTCTGCCCTCTTCCTTTCTCTATGTAGCACCTTATTTCTCCTCCATCTGTCGATAGCCCCTGATTTTCATCTCCATTGGTCTATAGTTTCCCTTTCTATTTCTATTAAAATCACAAACCCAGAGTGGACTTTAGGAGCTTTTATCCTCCATGTAGGAAGGACTAGATTCAAAACACGTCGAACTACCACCTGGACAACTCTCTTCCTTCCTTCCCACTGCAGTGTTAGCTTCTTTCCAGTTACTCATCTTCACAGAATAAAACCTTAGGTCACACCCTAGTCATATTTTTAGAAAATGGTGCCTTATATACAAATATGAAATACAAACCAAAGGATGGGATTAGGAAAAATAGAGTGACATTACCAAATAGTACCGAGTGGCACATTACGATGAAAAGATGAGCATGTTTCTGGTCTGGGACTTGCTCTACTGCCTTCTAGACTCTTTTCAGAGGTTTCACCTACTTCATCTACACCAGCTCTGAGCCATGTTTAGAGAGAACCCAGGAAATAAAAGCACCCAGATTGACTAGATTGTTTCTTTTGTTGGCTAAATTCTTTATCCTCTGCTTCCCTACAATGCCTGTCCTTTTCTTTTCCGATTTCCCACTTGCTTGAGGACTGCTAGGACTGCTGGGAAAATGACACCAATTACAGTGAGAGGAATATAAACACAAGGCTAATAACTCAACGCTCCTGGCTTCAGGTATAACCAAAGAGAGCTGAAAGGATACATTCTTGGGGGTGGCTGAAGGACATGAAGCCATACCAAACGAATCATTTCCTTCTGGTTCCCAACTTAAAATCACCACATGTCTAAAACCTATTTCATAAATAAAGAGCTGCATTAAATCATAACTATTGTGGATAGCTATGTGCGATAAGATTTTGCTGTACTAAAAAATAAGCATATCCTAACTTATTGTCACTAGTATGACATCCTTTAGGGATTTTCAACGGGGAGCCATTTTGCTCCCCAATATTTAGCAATGTCTGGTGACATTTTTGATTGTTGCCACTGTGGGGGTGCTACTGACATTTAATGGATAGGCCAAGGATGCTGCCAAGTATCCTGTAGTACACAGAACAGTCCCTTGCAACAAAGAATTATCCAGTTCAGGCAGGGCGCAGTGGCTCACACCTGTAAACCCAGCACTTTGGAAGGCCAAGGCGGGCGAGTCACCTGAGGTCGGGAGTTTGAGACCAGCCTGAACAACATGGAGAAAGCCCGTCTCTACTAAAAATACAAAATTAGCCAGGCGAGTAATCCCAGCTACTCGGGAGGCTGAGGCAGGAGAATCGCTTGAACCCAGGAGGCGGAGGTTGCGGTGAGCCGAGATCATGTCATTGCGCTCCAGCCTGGGCAACAAGAGTGAACTCCATCCCCTCCCCACCTAGAAAAAAAAAAAAAGAATTATCCATTTAAAAATGTCAATAGTTCCAAGGCTAAGAAGCCCTGCTTTAGGGGATGCCAGTTTCTACTGTGTCTTTTTTTCTTTTACTTTTGTTCTTATGAATATTCACTGTTTGTTACCAAAAACAGCAGTATCATCCATTTTTGTCAGACTGAAAGCATGACCAGAAATATGGATGGGTAGGAGCAATTTCAGGGAGCCGTTATGTTCACATGTCTTCCTCTCCAAGACCCCAATGGGGTACCCAAGTGCTGTCTAGGAGCTGGTGACTGGCGCCATAGGAACTGCAGTGGGCCTTGTCTGGACTTTGCCAAAGGTGTGATCTCCCTGGGCTGCCCTGTGCATTCTGGCATGACGCTGAGGTTGGCATTAGTGTATTGAGGTCATTTCAGATAGCACAGGGTGGCCCAGGGCCATGGCTATGTTCTGCCTAACTCAGAACATAATTTTCAGAAGAAAAAAATCTTGACCCTTAAGTCATTATTAAAATGTTACAAAGTAAGTTGGTGACTTTTTGTCCTAATGTTCTCCATAAATATGGTGTCTCCTTTGGACTCCCGATTTATCAAGGCTTTCCTGCTGTATGTTGCCAAGATTCTAGCAACAGACTCTGTGATCCCATTTCTGCCCCTCATGTTTTGGCCTGTGGTGTCTTCAAGGCTGCCATGCTCAGCCAGGGGCTCTCCTATGTCAGGCTGTGTTAGGACTACCCTGGCCTAGAGGCAGTAGAATAACCAAAATGAGCCCTGGACTTGACCGTCAAAACAGACCCAGCTCCAGAGCCTCCAGCTTTGTTCCCTTCACCCTGCGTTCCCTGGGGAGTCCCATCCTGCATTTCCTGTCCCATAAATTTGAAAGTGCTTTGTGAACTAAAAAGCCCATGTAAAAGCACAGGCCTGTACTGGTTATGGAATTTCGTGCTCTCTCATCACTTAAGAAATTGGGCCCATCTTCCAAATGGCCTCAAATTACTTATTTTCTTCTCAGACCAATCTATTTTAGAAAGAAAGAAAAAAGAAAAGAAAAGAAAAGAAAAAAGGAAACAAGTCATCAATGTGGCACTATGGTACAAGACATGGCTTAGGAAATTCTTAGGCCTCGTGTTGAGGTTTCGAAGGACATTGCGTGTTCCAATACACCCCGATAAGCAAATAGGCAGTTTACAGAAGGGAGTCCTCAAAACCACACACTCTGTCCTACTTCAGGAACTCCGAGAAGAAATCCAAGAAGGGTGCATCGAGTGGCATCTGAATTTTTAGGAGACGTATCTTCCTCGTGGTCTGATTCTAAAGGTGGAGACTAAGCTCTCTCGGGCCTGCTCACGGGGCTGACACATGCTAGTCAAAAGAATCGGGTCAGTTTTGTGCTCTACAATGTTGAAAGGACAGGACTTCAGGTGCTCAGACATGGAGGTGACTTCATTAAACTCCCAGCTCTTGATTTTGGAGAAGAGGCTGCTGAACTGCCAGATCTGTTGAGAAAGATAGAAGTTCAAAGGTGAATATAGGGGTGTTACCCTCTGGCTGGCTTTATTTGGGCACTATAAGGAAATATCCTCCTGTTCTTCATATTCTTAGACTCCAGAGTGTTTAGTGGCTCCTGCAGACATTTGGTAGCCCCTCCTCCAGCATCCAATTCCTAGTTCCCCCTGCCAACCAATAATCTTCCCAACCAGCCCTGTAGTTGTGAGAATCACTAACACCAATCAGCATATTGACACACACTCTCCCTTGCTCCTCCACCAGCAAGTGATTAATTTTAAAGTAGATGCACAGTTCAAATCAGAACAATTAGTACCAGTGCAACTCTTATTCCAGAACTTTTGTTGGAGATACCAAAAAGCAGATTCTCTTTTTCTTTCTCTACTTGAACTGCAAAGCTGAAGTCCTAGGAGGTGCCAGCAATCACCAGAGACCACCGAGTGAGCACTATCTTACAATGTAGCCATTATTGAGGAAGTAGAGGTAAAAAATAGAAAGAAGAGATGTCATTTGGGGGCATTTTTTGAGCTGTTAGATCAAGCCTTACCTGAAGCCATTACCTTTAGACTTTTTAGTTACATAGGCCAATAAATTCCCTTTATTGTTTATGCCACTTTAGGTTGATTTTCTGTTGCTTGAAATTAAAGTATTGTAACTCATAAGAGTCTCACTAGAGTGGGAACCCCATAGGAGAATTCTATGAGTTCTGAAATATCTTCTGGTCTTTCCACCTGGGATGTGATGGCAAAGTCACCGTTTTCAAGTCTGGTTATGTGAGTAGGCATAGCCTAATACTCTTTCAACCTGACTACTTCACCTACAGTTTCTTGTCCTTGTTGCTATGTAGGAAAAGTGGTTTTTTTGAGATCTTAGAACTGTTTCCCTTTTTACTTTAAAAATCCATTCTAATGTGAGTATCCTTTAGCCCCAACTAAATTTTCTTTATTTCTTTCTGCAAGGAAATTAGCTCGTCCCAAATAATATCTGAGAGTGGTCAGTCATCATTGAATTGGGGAAAAACTTGAGCCAAAAAATAATTTATAGTATCTAAATTAAATTATTTACATCGGATTTTAGGCGTTTTTAAACAATACGATTCCTGAAGGCAGTGTGTTAGTCTTCATTCATGTTTCTTCCTAATACGTGCTTGGTTGGCAATCAGTGTTTATTTAACACTTGAATGCAGGCACATATACAAGAGAGAGAGTCTTGTAATTACTTTTTGAGGAAGACTGCTCAGGAATAAATAATGGAAAACATACAAAATGTTTTAGACATGATCAATACAAATAGATGCAAACAACTCTAACTCCCCAGTGCCAATTTGCAAATACCACATATTAGGAAGAAATTCAACAGTGAGATTATAGAATTATTGACCTAAATGGGCATCACAAATTCATGGTTCATAGTACCAACAGGTTTACCATGAGAAAGGATGCTACAGGCACTGGGATATGATGAATTAGGTGCCTCACTTCAGTATGGTACAAGCTGGTAGAAATTATAATACAGTTAAACAAACATGACCTACTGGGGAAAAGGAACAAGGTATTTCTGAAGGGAAAGGTTCTTTGATTTATACAGCAGAGTGTTTTTTGAACAATTAAATTAGCACTTGAACCGGGGAAATCAGTGGGCCAAATTCATTTAGAATTTCAAAATGCCTTTATCAAAGCAAAAACTGTTTTAAAAAATTAGTTGACTTGGGACTGAGGAGATTTGTTGGCCTCCTGTATCAATCAGAGTCACAGCTGGGAACAGGCGGCACTCTCAGACCGGGTAATTTGAAGAGATTTTTTTTTAAAGGAATGATTTACAGACACGAGAGCAGGGTATAGGAAAGCCACGAGATACAGTGTAGTATCCAGGGTGAGTAGCTACCTAGAGAGTTATGCCCTGGGCCTGAAGGAGAAGAAGGAAGGTCGTTGGATCCCACAGTGAGTAATTTTGTGTAGAGAGCCGCCTGATAAAGGCACCTTCAGTGGAGGGACAGCACCTGCTCAAAGTGTCACAAAGGGGAGGAACCATGCAGGGGGGAAGCCAGGAGAATAGATACTTCAACGTCATTCTTCCCTTCCTCCCATCTCCTGCTGACACGCTCCATTTACGTTAGCCCCACTGGAAGATGGAGGGTAAGGGAGCCAGCTGAGGCAATCTGTCCAGGCAGCCTCCTGGGGGACAGACAGGGTGGAGAAGGATGGAGAATGGGTCTTGAGAGCAAACAGAAGATATTCAGCACACATACACAGATGAACAGGCACTACCCTCCGGATTGCTATTTATGTATTTATAGGTCTGTCTTTTCTACTAAACTGACCTCCTTGAGTCAGTCTTATTCTCAGCAACTGTTCCCATGCCTAGTACCCTGCTTGGCACATAAAAAGCTCTTTAAGGCCGGGCGCAGTGGCTCATACCTATAATCCCAGCACTTTAGGAGGCTGAGGCGGGTGGATCACCTGAGGTTGGGAGTTCGAGACCAGCCTGACCAATAAGGAGAAACCCCGTCTCTACTAAAAATACAAAATTAGCCTGGCGTGTTGGTGCATGTCTGTAATCCCAGCTACTCGGGAGGCTGAGGCAGGAGAATTGCTTGAACCTGGGAGGCAGAGGTTGCGGTGAGCTGAGATTGCACCATTGCACTCCAGCCTGGGCAACAAGAGCAAAACTCCATCTCAGAAAAAAAAAAAAAAAAAAGGCCAGGTGCAGTGGCTCACGCCTGTAATCCCAGCACTTTGGGAGGCCGAGGCGGGTGGATCACCTGAGGTTGGGAGTTTGAGACCAGCCTGACCAACATGGAGAAACCCCGTCTCTACTAAAAATACAAAATTAGCTGGGTGTGACAGTGCACGCCTGTAATCCCAGCTACTTGGGAGGCTGAGGCAGGAGAATCACTTGAACCTGGAACGTGGAGGTTGTGGTGAGCCAAGATCATGCCATTGCACTCCAGCCTGGGCAATGAGAATGAAACTCCTTCTCAAAAAAAAAAAAAAAAAGGCCTTTAAAAATATTTGTTAAGGCCAGGTACAGTGGCTCACACCTGTAATTTCAGCACTTTTGGAAGCTGATATGGGAGGATCACTTGAGGTCAGGAGTTCAAAACCAGCCTGCACAACACAGTAAGACCCCATCTCAATTTAAAAATTAGTCAGAAGTGGTGATGCACATCTGTAGTCCCAGCTACTTGGAAGACTGAGGCAAGAGGATCACTTGAGCCCAGAAGTTCAAGGCTGTGATTGCACCACTGCACTTTTGCCTGGGCAACAGAGAGAGAACCTGTCTATAAAAAATGAAACAAAAAATTGCTGAATGAGTCAATCAATAAATGAGTGTTTACTTACCTCTCTGTGGACTCTCCAGGAGGTGCCTCCATGGGAATACCTCTTTTTCTTCCATTGCAAAAGGACCATTCCTCTCTCTTGTAACAAAGTGGCACAGATATTCCTCATCAGCACAGACACCTGGGAGAGCTGGGCCAGGCTGACGCTGTCCAAGAACCCAGCAATGTACTTCAAAATCTCCAGGGGCAGGCTGGTTAAAGAATTCTGGCTTTTTCCTCCATGACCCAAAAGATGGTTGTTCTTCCTTCCCTCGCTCAGCTCTGGAGCAACCTCCGGCTTAATGGCAAAGGTCTTGAGCTCCTGGCTATAGATTACTTTTGCCTTTTGCCCTGGGGGACGGAAATGGTTTTGAACAAATGTACATCCCAAGTAGGCGAGGGGGCATCGATGCTGGAACCAGCCATTGAGACATGACTGAATGTCTGTGTGGACATTCTTGAAGTGCAGGGGGAACTCATCCCTCCTGAAGAATTTGTTGCAAGTGAAAGTGAAGGCAGAGCTGCTTTTGTTGTGTCTCCTGGTCACACACTCGCTGTGGAGCTCCACGTGGAGTCCCCCTGGGGTGGCAGCGGTTAGGTCAGCCAGCACTGTCCCAGAGGAAAACTGTTCTGGCTCAAAGTTGTATGTTTGTGTGGCAAAATCCATGAACAGTCCATCAATGCTTCTGGATTCAGAGATGACGTGGCCTTTGAGTTCTCTTTCCAAAGCACACTGGAGGGTGGTCTTGATGAGATCTGATTTGGGCAGGTCCTCCACAGTGATCCCCAAATCTGAAGTATCCACTGCCTTGTGTTCACTTGGCTTACAACTCAACATGGCATCTCCAAGTCGAGCTCGCTTTCCACAGTAGCTCACAGGAACTTTGAAGGTGTAAACAGTCTTAACTTCCTGAGCCTCCAGCTTGCCATAAACAAAGTCTCTCTCCTTGGGTGTACAAGCAGGCATCTGACCAAAGTGTATCAGCATCCGCCCATTGTGCACTAGATACATGTTATAGTCCTTTGCATCCACAGCTGTTTTCAGTCTTTCCAGAACACCATCCTGCCAAGGGGCAAGCCCTGTGGTTTCCATGGCTGTACGAACGTCCTGCTGCTTCTGATTTTCCTGTGGTTCTTTCTTTTTGGGAGCGCCCTCTCCTTCTACCATGTTATGGCCACTGGAAATCTGTTCTTTCTCGGAGTCATTCTTGTTCTTGCTCTCACAGCTCGCTGATGAATTTGTTAAAGCAGAGGCTGCGTGCTCTTTGCTGAAAATATTTTCCCACTGGCCAAACTTGACCAGGTCCATCCCTTCTTTGGTTTTGGCTAGCACCTCCCGTTCTTCTTGACTTAGCTCTGCCATCTCCCCATTAGTTGCTGACAGACCATGTGGTACCAAACCGATATCCACTCCACCCACTGCTCCTCCCATTTCCTCCACACTGGTTTCACCATTCATAGTTGGTTCCTCCTCAGTAGCCTCTCTAGTTTCTGGGAAAAGTTCCACCATTTTCAAGGATCTGAAGAGGACCTTCTGATCCTGCAGGGCCAGGGCTGTGTCCAAACACTCCTCACTGGGGGTCTCTTTCATGATGTTTTCATGAAGGGTGGTTTCAGAGTCCACATTTGGCCAGCGGTTCCACTCCATGGAGCAGCAGACCACGCTGGCGGGGCACACCTGCAGGTGCTTGGCCAGTTTGTGGCGGGACATGGACAGAGGGCAGCCATATTCGGAGTTGAGGCACGGAACCTGCTCTAAAGGGCAGAGGAGCTGGTGCTCTGCCTCTTTGCACATGTGGAAGGTGGCACCACAGAGCAGGTGGCAGCTTATTACCAGGCAGGAGGTGTTGGGTTCCACAGGAATGTGGCAGTGGCGGTTGAAGCATCCCTCACAATGCCTGTGGTGCCCTGGCGGGGATCTGCGGGCTTTCCCCTGGACACACCAAGGACAGGGGGAAGAAAACAAATGAATACTGAGGAGAAGCTCTATGCATGTCTATGACTGTGTTTTAATTGACATATTTCCTGTTTATACCTGCTTTTTGTAGAAACCTTGAAATATATGGAATATCACAATCCCACAATCCAGAAATAACAACTATAAGTACTTTTTAGAATTTTCCAATAGTTTATTATATATATGTAGTAGATGTGTTTAGAATAGGAAAAAAAGAATTGAATATAATGGACTACACTGTTGACAATTGTTATTTTTGAGTTGTGGATTACAGGTTATTTATATCATACGGATAATACTATGAATACAACTTTTCATCCTGCTTTTTATCTTGCTATTAGAACATGAAACTAGATTGTTTTATTAGTTATTCTTTACAAACTTTCTTCATAATGGCAGTGTAACATTCCGGAATATGGGTGTGCTATCATTTAATCAACTACCACCAGAGTGCGGGCTGGGAGGACAGCAGCCATGTCTGGTTTTGCTCGCATTTATGTCCCTAGCATCTAGCATGGGACCTGGACCTTTGTGGGTATTCAATGCTTGCTGAATGAAGGAATTGCTAGCCATTTAGATTATTGCTGGCTTTTTGACTATTTTATTTAAATTTTCACTTAAACTCTTTGCTCAAAAATCCTTCTCAACTGTTTTCCCCTTACTCTGTGTCAATTTCTTCCAAGTTCTGTTCAGCATCTCTAGTTTGGAAAAAAGTTGATAAATATCATCAAACCATAAGAGCAAGTCTGCTAGCTGCTTGGGCTACAGGATAAATGAAGGAAGACCTGGACCTCTCAATGGTGAAGCTTCAATAAGCTCCTGGTGCTTACCATGGCGCCCCAATTTCTTCTTGCTTCTTAGCTCTACGGGAAAATATGAATATAAATAATTAGTAAGAAAAACAGTTAGGTTACCTATATTAATAGAGGCTAAAGAGACTTCACACACTATCTCATTTAATTCCTTCCACCATCCTGGAGGTGTCTTTATCTCCATGTTTGAGTCAAGGAAACAGAAGCTTGAAGGTAAGTAACTTGTCCAAGGTCACACAGCTGCTAAGTGATGGAATCAGCTTTGTAATCCAGGCCATGCTGGCCCATGTTATTTTCACTGACCCCCGCTGCCCTCTGATAGGGCATATTACCAATCATGGGATGTTAACTTCTGCTTCCTATAACTTTCTCCATTGTCTGCTGACAATTATCCTGGCATCCTAAACACTCTGCTACCCACAATCTGGCCTAGGTTACCTTCTAATCTTCTCTTCCACTGGGGCTTCCTGTCCACTTAGAGGTTAGTCTGAGATCTAACTTTGTCTGGGGCAGTGTATAGGTGTCTGTGAAATATCTGTAACATGCCATTTCCCCTGGTATATTCAGCTGTGCTAGAGCAGGGGTCAAAACCCCAAAGGTCCCAGAAGTTGACTGAATGGAGACTCTGGCAAGTGAAAGAGAAAATGCCCTGTCTTCAGGGAAATGAAATTTCTCAGCCCTGGTTAATTGATGCCATGTGGGAATGTGTTGCCAGACCTGGTTTTTCCAGAGACAGTGGGGATGCGGACTTTTGTGAGCTGTGATATGGTTTAGTGGTTAGAAGGCAGACTGCACAGGTTTCCACCCTGGAGCTACAAGTCAGTGGCTGTGAGACTTTGGGAAATTTACTTCACTTCTTCGCTCATCAGTTTCCCCATCAGTAGAGAGAGGATAATAATAGTACCTATCCCATAATGCTGCTGTAAGGAGTAAATGACCTAAATATACATGAAACTCTTAGAACAGTGCTTGTTTCACAGGCAGTGATCTATACATGTTTGCTATTATAAAGTAGTATTTTATATTTCATCACAATGCAAAATATTTTACTACATAATATATCGAAATAAAAATACTCTGAATTTTAAATGTTAACAACTAACTTAATTTAAAACAACACTATTTGAGCCAAGGAAAAATGTGAATGCTGGCCAGATAGGATCTGTAGGTTGCCAGTTTGCAATATCTGGTCTACAGAATTTGTAACATAATTTCAGCACAGTGTTAGTCTGTGATGGAGTGGGGAGGTTAGCATCCAAATGTCAGAAGATCCATAAGTTTAAAATTTGGCCAGGCGCAATGGCTCACACCTGTAATCTCAGCACTTTGTGAGGCTGAGGTAGGTTGATTGCTTGAGCCCAGGAGTTCAAGACCAGTCTGAGAAACATAGCGATACCCTGTATCTACTAAAAAAAAAAACAGTTAAAAAATTAGCGGGGCATGGTGGTGCACGCCTATGGTCCCAGCTACTTGAGAGTGACACTGACGTGGGAGGATCGCTTGAGCCTGAGAGGTCAAGGCTGCAGTGAGCTGTAATGACACCACTGCACTCCAGCCTGGGTGAGAGAGTAAGACCCTGTCTCAAAAACAAACAAACAAACAAAAAACCATTTTACTTTACTTTAGAATTTGCCAATTCATTGTGGGTAAAATTTCCCCCAACTTAAAAAAAAAAAAAAGACATTTCAAATATACAGAAAAGGTGAAGGAATACATACAATGAACACCAAAATATACTTTATCTAGATTCAACAATTGCTAACATTTTACCATTTTTGTGTCCTTTCTTTCTCTCCTCTCTGTCTCTCTCTCAATCTCTCCCTGCCCTCCAACCACACACGCACACACACACATACACACACACACACAGTTTTGGCTGAGCCACTTGAAAATAAGTTGCCAGCCAGGCGCGGTGGCTCAAGCCTATAACCCCAACACTTTGGGAGGCCCAAGCGGGTGGATCACCTGACATCAGGAGTTCAAGGCCAGCCTAGTCAACATGGTGAAACCCCATCTCTACTAAAATTAAAAAAAAAAAAAAAATTAACCGGGCACTGTGGCATATGCCTGTAATCTCAGCTACTCGGGAGGCTGAGGCAGGAGAATTGTTTTAACCCAGGAAGCAGAGGTTGCAGTGAATCGAGATCACGCCACTGCGCTCCAGCCTGGGTGACAGAGTGAAACTCCATCTCAAAAAAAAAAAAAAAAAACAAGAAGGAAAGAAAATAAGCTGCTGATATAAGACGCTTTATCCCTAAGTACTTCAGCTTGTACTTCCTAAGAATAAAGACTTATAATAATATTGTCTCACCTAAGAAAACTAAAAATACTTTTCTAATATCATGTAAAATGCCTATAGTCACATTTCTCCAGTTGTCTCCAAAATGTCTAGTATAGTTATTTTTAAATTTTTAATATTTTTATTTATTAAACATTTTTATTGATATATAATAGTTGTACATATTTTGGGGGTATATGCAATATTTTGATGCCTGTATACAATATGGAATGATCGAATTAGGGTAATTGGGATATCCATCACCTCAAACACTTTTCTTTATGTTGGGAACATTATAATTCTTCTCTTTTAGCTTTTTTTTGACAGAGCCTTGCTCTGTTGCCCAGCCTGGAGTGCAGTGGCACATCACAGCTCACTGAAACCTCCACCTCCTGGGTTCAAGCGATTCTTCTGCCTCAGCTTCCCAAGTAGCTGGGATTACAATCAGGCGCTACCACACCTGGCTAATTTTTGTGTTTTTAGCAGAGACAGGGTTTCACCATGTTGGCCAGGCTAGTCTTGAACTCCTGACCTCAAGTGATCCGCCTGCCTCGGCCTCCAAAAGTGCTGAGATTACAGGTGTGAGCCACTATGCCTGGCCTCTTTTAGTTATTTTGAGATATACAATAAATTATTGTTCATTATAATTTTTCTACTGTATTATCAAATACTAGAACTTATTTCTTCTAACTTTATTTTTTAAAAAATTTTGTTGTTGTTTTTTGTGACAGAGTCTCACACTGTTGCCCAGGCTGGAGTGCAATGGCGCAATCTTGGCTCACTGCAACCTCCGCCTCCTAGGTTCAAGCGATTCTCCTGCCTCAGCCTCCCGAGTAGCTAGGATTACAGGTGCCCACCACCATGCCCAGCTAATTTTTTGTATTTTTAGTAGAGACGGGGTTTCACCACGTTGTCCAGGATGGTCTCGATCTCTTAACCTCGTGATCCGCCCGCCTCAGCCTCCCAAAGTGCTGGGATTACAGGTGTGAGCCACTGTGCCCGGCCCAAAATTTTTTAATTGATACATAGTATTTGTGCATATTTATGGTGTGCATGTGATATTTTCTTATATGCATACAGAATCTGTAATCATCAAGTCAGGATATTTAGGTCATCATCTCAAGTATTTATCATTTCTGTGTGTTGGGAACGTTTCAAGGCCTCTCTTTTAGCTGTTTTGAAATACACAATACATTGTTGCTAGCTATAGTCACCCTACTCTGCTATCAAACACTAAAACTTGTTTTCTCTGTCTGTTCATATCCATTCACCAACCTCTCTTCTTCCCTCTCCTACTATCCCCTACACCCTTCCCAGCCTCTGGTAACTATCATTCACTCTCTACCTCCATGTGATCAACTTTTTTAGTTCTCACATATGAGTGAGAACATGCAATACGTGTCTTTCTATGTCTGGCTTTAAGACCTCTCATTTTTGAACAAGGATCCTTTTAATGTCAATTTGTTCCATTCGATTGCCAAGTCTTTTTAGCCTCTTTAATCTGGAACAGTCCCCCACATTTTCTTTTTCAGGAGAGACAGCCTTAAACCACAAGGAAATTATAGTCTGGTTCATTCATTTATTAGTTCCTCCACTCATTCACCCACTCAACAAACATTTGTTGATTACCTACTACTACTTGCCAGTAAGTGAGCATAAGGATCACCTGGACGGCTTGTTAGAGTCTTAAACACTATTGTTCATTAGAGTCAGCTGTGATGCTTGCTAAACCTATAGATCTGCACTGGTCAATATGAAAGTCACAAGCCACATGTGGCTATTTAAATTTAATCAAAATGCAATAAAATGAATAATTCAGTTTCTCAGTCACGTTAGCCACATTTCAAGTGCTCAATCGCCATTTGTGGCTAGTAGCTCCTCTTTAGGACAACACAGAATAGAACATTCCCATCTTCACAAAAAGTTCCACTGCTACAGATGCTGGCTGTACCCCTGGACCTGAGGGAATGATGGACTCCTGGAATTTACATGCTTAACACACTCCCCATCTGATTCTTATGCACATTAATAAATGAGAACCCTTGTTCTGGACCCCACTGGGGCTACTGAGTGTGAAAGAGGAATCACGGCAGAGTGCTCTATACTCCTAATAGCCCTAGTCAGGGGGCAGGTGAGAAATCGCAAGCAGAAGCATCAAACAGGGTCAGGGCCCAGCAGAAGATAAACAAAGGTGTTAAAGCCAGAGAAGGAGAGGAACAGAGCAGGGTGGCTGAGAGGGTTGGACTGTGCTATGATCTGAATGTTTGTATCGACCCCCAAATTCATATGTGGAAGTCTAATTCCCAGTGTGAGGGTGTCTGGCTGTGGGGCCTTAGAGAAGTGATTATGTTAAAGGAAGCTCTGCTTACCAGGCCTCTGATTTAATAAGACATGACCAGAGTGACTCCATCTTAAAGTGAATAGCGAGGCACTCACAAGACACCTGTAAGGTTAATACTTATGGTCTGAAGATAGCCACATCCCAAGCTGACCACCACTTATAATTACAGAATATTTATGGCCAGACAAAACTTCTCCCACCAAGCCTGCAGAGTGCCCAGATGTCCTGAGAGTGCAGCCCTTTTTACTTAAAGATAATGTTAATGAGCAAGCTGAGGTTAAAAGATTGATGGTGTTCAATAACACTGACAGCTGCTACCTTTAGTGAGCACATCTGCCCATTTCAAGTTTAATTTAGCTCCTTATAGTTTCCTTATAGTTTCTTTCTTTCTTCTTCTTCTTTTTTTTTTTTTTTTAAGACACAGTCTCACTCTGTTGCTCTGTTGCCCAGGCTGGATTGCAGTGGCACTATCTTGGCTCACTGCAACCTCCACCTCCCGGGTTCAAATGATTCTCCCACCTCAACCTCCCAGTAGCTGGGATTAAAGGCGCGCACCACCATGCCTGGCTAATTTAATGTTTTTAGAAGAGACGGGGTTTTGCCATGTTGTCCAGGCTTGTTCCAAACTCCTGACCTCAAGGAATCTGCCTGCCTCGGGTTTCTTATAAGTAGAGACACTAACAAAAGAGGGAGCGTTCCTCCTTCTGCTGCGGACGCCCTAGTCTGTAACAGAGTAGTTTCCAACAAATGTGCTACTTTTTTTTTTTTTTTTTTTTTGAGATGCTCTCTCTGTTGCCCAGGCTGGAGTGCAGTGGCACGATCTTGGCTTACTGCAACCTCCGTCTCCCAGATTCAAGCGATTCTCCTGTCTCAGCCTCCCGAGTAGCTGGGACTACAGGCACATGCCACCACACCCAGCAAACTTTTTGTGGGGGTTTCATCATGTTAGCCAGGATAGTCTCGATCTCCTGACCTCGTGATCCACCAGCCTCGGCCTCCCGAAGTGCTGGGATTACAGGTGAAAGCCTCCGCACCTGGCAAATGTGCTTCTTTCACTTGCCTCAAATCCTTTCCTGTGAGAATCCAAGAACCCACTCTTGGTGTCTGGGTCGTGACCCTCTTTTCCTGCAACATCCTTCTGGTGTCCTTGTATGGATGGACAATAAGAAGAGACTCCCACTCGGAAGGAAAACAGTCTGCGCAGCATCAGTTGGCTGACTTTGGGTAAGTGGGGCTCATTTTAGAGTCATTAAGCTATTCCAGGGGACAAGGATGCTTGTCCACTGCTACTTGAGTTTGAGGCCCAGGGCCCAAGGAGTTAGAAGCCCCAGGGTTTATTTGGAAAACGGATTTGGCCCTATGAGATGTTTGCCACTAACTCCTTGGGAGTAATCCACCTTGTGCTTTCTGTTGCTGGCCTGAGCGTCCTGCTTCTTGTCTCCTGTCGGCTTGCTGCCTTTGTTTCACAGAACCCCTGAGGCTGCCACGGGAAGGATGGCCCAAACAGTTTAGCATTTTCTTTTTCTTTTTTTTTTTGAGACAGAGTCTCACTCTGTTGCCCAGGCTGGGGTGCAGTGGTGCGATTTCGGCTCACTGCAACCTCTGCCTCCTGTGTTCAAGCAATTCTCCTGCCTCAGCCTCCTGAGTAGCTAGGATTACAGGTGCACACCACCACGCCCAGCTAATTTTTTTTTTTTTTTTTTTTTTTGAGCTAGAGTCTCGCTCTGTCACCAGGCTAGAAGGAATGTAGTGGCACAATCTTGGCTCACTGCAACCTCCGCCTTCCGGATTCAAGCGATTCTCCTGCCTCAGCCTTCCAAGTAGTTGGGACTACAGGCAAGCGCCACCACAGCCAGCTAATTTTTGTGTTTTTAATAGATAGAGGGTTTCACCATGTTGGCCAGAATGGTCTCGATCTCTTGACCTTGTGATCTGCCCACCTCGGCCTCCCAAAGTGCTGGGATTACAGACATGAGCCACTGCGCCCAGTCTAATTTTTGTATTTTTAGTAAAGACAGTGTTTCACCATGTTGGCCAGGCTGGTCTCGAACTCCTGATCTCAAGTTATCTGCCCACCTCGGCCTCCCAAAGTGTTGGGATTACAGGCGTGAGCCACAATGCCCGGCCACCAAACAGTTTAGCTTTTACTTTCCTTGCCTCTCCTCTGACTTAATTCGCCACTTGTCTGAGGGACACTGGAAACAAGAAGTCACTCAGGATCTAGTCTTTTTGTACCTTAATTATTGGAAGAGATGGGCAATAACTTCTCCATTACTGCAGTTACAAGTTAAAGTGTGGTATTTAACAGCCATATGTGACAAGATTAGAAACGCCCTTTAAGAAAAAAGCCTCTTTTATGACTTTCCTTGCAAAAAATTAGCCCCAGAATGGAGGACAGGAGACTTTTTCTTAACAGTTTTCTCTTGTCTATTAATCAGAAGATCATCTTTTATTGGCTGGTCACGGACAGCCGGGCCCCGCTTTCTAGACCCAGAATGTCATTTTTGCCCTGAAATAGTTTTGTCAGGGGATCCCAAGTTACAGCTTGCCCACTTCCCTTGTTTGGTTCATCATCTTTTCTTCGCTGGGTTCCTTGTGGCATTGCCTCAGGCGACCATGGGTCTGCTTACTTGTTCTTATTATCTGATATGAACAAGGGGACCCTACTGGCTCCAGTAGTTCCTCCCTTGGCCAAATTGGCACTAAGAATTATCTTGTCCCTTTCAGTGGAGCTCGGCTGGAGGCAGTACAATCTTGCGGACAAGGAGTGGTATTCAGCACCTTCAGTCCTGGTGGAGAACGCAGTACCTATCCTGAAGAGCTCACTGTTAGGGTGCATTTTAACCTATTAGGGAAGGGAAGGTTTAAACTGGATGGGCTTAAGAGAATTTTTTTTTTTTTTTTTTCTGAGACGGAGTCTTGCTCTGTCGCCCAGGCTGGAGTGCAGTGGCTGGATCTCGGCTCACTGAAAGCTCCGCCTCCCGGGTTCTCGCCATTCTCCCGCCTCAGCCTCCCGAGTAGCTGGGACTGCAGGCACCCGCCACCATGCCTGGCTAATTTTTTTGTATTTTTAGTAGAGACGGGGTTTCACTGTGTTAGCCAGGATGGCCTCGATTCACTGACCTCGTGATCTGCCAGCCTCGGCCTCCCAAAGTGCTGGGATTACAGGTGTGAGCCACCGCGCCCGGCTGAGAAATTTTTTTTTAATATAACACTGGCCCCAATATCCTTTGAGAGGACCAGAAAGGTGGACCTCAGGTGTTACAGCGGCCCCTAACACTATACTTCGGCTTGATTTGTTTTGTAGAAGGGAAACTAAGTGTGGAGAAATACTCTATGTGCAGGCCTTCCTAATGGTTAGTCAGGATAAGGATTTAAAATACGCTTGTATATGTTTGATAGAAGGAGAGAAAAATGAAGGACTAGACATAATTCATGACCACTTATGCAAGTGCCTCCTAATCCCAGGCTTCCCCCAGCTGGTTCCAGACTCCCCACTGTAAGTTCAAGTGCTCCGGAGGAACAAAGTCAGACTCCTAGTTCCCCAGAAGTGTCCAAAGTATTATTAACCCCTCCTAGTTATTTGGGGTTGTCCGATGTCCTGCCATCACCTCCTCCTTACCCTTCAAGCCCTGTCTTACATTCGTTCCCCAAAGAGCCTAGCTTCACCAGCACCACTCTTAGTGGGGCCTCTTACCAGCCGTCGAAGTTGACTCTTTGCTGTCTTCAGGAGCTGGCAGATGGTGACAGGGGCACTCTATGGGTACATGTACCCTTTTCTGTGCCTGACAGCCTTATGCCAGAAAAAATTCAGCTGGTTTTTAGAGGGTCTAGGAAAATTCATAGATGAATTTGAGAGACTAACATTGACATATTGTAGGGAAAAGAAAGAGAGATCAGACTGTTACTGTGTCTATGTAGAAAGGGAAGACATAAGATACTCCATTTTGAAAAAGACCTGTACTTTAAACAATTGCTTTGCTGAGATGTTGTTAATTTGTAGCTTTGCCCCAGCCACTTTGCCCCAACCTGGAGCTCACAAAAACATGTGTTGTATAAAATCAAGGTTTAAGGGATCTAGGGCTGTGCAGGACGTGCCTTGTTAACAAAATGTTTACAAGCAGTATACTTGGTAAAGGTCATCGCCATTCTCTAGTCTCAATAAACCAGAGGCACGATGCACTGCGGAAAGCCGCAGGGACCTCTGCCCTTGAAAGCGGGGTATTGTCCAAGGTTTCTCCCCATGTGATAGTCTGAAATATGGCCTCGTGGGATGAGAAAGCCTGACACCCGTAAAGGGTCTGTGCTGAGGTGGATTAGTAAAAGAGGAAAGCCCCTTGCAGTTGAGATAGAGGAAGGCCACTGTCTCCTGCCTGCCCCTGGGAACTGAATGTCTCGGTATAAAACCTGATTGTATATTTGTTCAATTCTGAGATCAGAGAAAAACCACCCTATGGTGGGAGTCAAGACATGTTTACAGCAATGCTGCCTTGTTATTCTTTACTCCGCTGAGATGTTTGGGTGGAGAGAAACATAAATCTGGCCTACGTGCACATCCAGGTATAGTACCATCCCTTGAACTTCATTATGACATAGATTCTATTGCTCACATGTTTGTTGCTGACCTTCTCCTTATTATCACCTTGCCCTCCTACTACATTCCTTTTTGCTGAAATAATGAAGATAATAATCAGAAAAAACTGAGGGAACTCAGAGACCGGTGCCGGTGCAGGTCCTTGGTATGCTAAGCGCTGGTCCCCTGGGCCCACTGTTGTTTCTCTATACTTTGTCTCTGTGTCTTATTTCTTTTCTCAGTCTCTCGTCCCACCCGACTAGAAATACCCACAGGTGTGGAGGGGCAGGCCACCCCTTCAACATATGATTTAACCTGGCAAGATTTGCATATACATCTGTCTACCTGCTTCACAGAAGAAGAAAAGCAGCATATTATGGGAGCTGTTAAAGCATATGCAGATGGAGTGGCAGCCTGCAACCAGGGGCATGACATCTATCCAGTAGGAGGTACAGCAGTTCCTGACTGGGACCTAAATTGGAGTTATTAAGAGGAAGTAAGTTTGGGCAGCCAAGGTTGGCAGATCACTTGAGGTCAGGAGTTTGAGACCAGCCTGGACAATGTGGTGAAACCCTGTCTCTACTAAAAACACAAAAATTAGCCGTATGTGGTGGCATGTGCTTGTGGTCCCAACTGCTTGGGAAGCTGAGCCAGGAGAACTCACCTGAATCTGGGAGGCGGAGGTTGCAGTGAGCCAAGATCTTGCCACTGCACCCCAGCCTGGGCAACAGAGTAAGACTCCGTCTTGAGGAAAAAAACAACAAAAAAAGGAAGTAAGAACCTAGAGAGGAGAAACCATATGATTATTTGCCTCCTTGAAGCAATGAGAAGATTTGTGATAAAGCCTGTTAATTATGATAAAGTCAGGGAAATTACTCATGGAAAGGATGAAAACCCAACCTTGTTCCAAGGGCAGTTAATTGAGGCCTTGAGGAAATATACTAACACTGACCCTGACTCCAAGGAGGGACAGGCATTGCCAGGAGTTCATTTCATAATCCAGTCTGCTCCTGATATCTGCAGGAAGCTACAAAAGCAAACTTAGGCCCCTGGACTTCCATAAATCAGCTTTTAGACATGACTTTTGCAATTTTCAATGGCCAAGATAGGGCAGAGGAGGCAGAGAAAGTAAAGCAAACCTCCCAAAGGCCCAGCTTTTAGCTGCAGCCTTGAGCTCTCCACCCCTTCAGAGCCAGCCCCTTATCCCCCAAGCCCTGCCAGAGGAAGCTAGCAGGCAGAAAGCCCCATTCTGGGCCTCCGAGCCACTGTGCCCTGGGCCACTGTGTCCTGGGTGTAAACCAATGTGTTTTCTGTAAGAAGGTTGGTCACTGGAAGAGGGAATGCCCTGTGTTCCCAAGAATCGGCTCCTGAACCCATAATGGCCCAGCAGACCTAAGAGTGACACCAGCCCAAGACTTCACACCTTATTTCCTGTTGGACAATTAGCCATTGCTCTGGAGGAGACTCAGGTGACTCTTGAAGTGGCAGATAAGATTATTAATTTCTTATTCAATATGGGAGCATTTTACTTTGTTCTGGCCCAGCATAATGGAGCCCTGTCTTCTATAGCTGTACAGGCATTGATGGGCAAGCCCAGAAATGCCACTTTCCTTATCCTTTAAGCTGTCCTTCAGGGACTCTGGTTTTCTTGCATGGCTTTTTAGTACTACCTGCATGCCCTACCCCTTACTGGGGAGGAATTTATTGATTCGGCTGCAAGGCATGGTTACCTTCAGAGAGCATAAAACAAACGAGTGTTACTTTTGTTCCTCTCCCCTGAGGAGAGAAAAAAGGAAGATAAGGATGCATTTTTCTGCACCCAGTGCATCCAGATCCACACCTCTGTTTGACTTTGAAAGGAATGATCCTGATACTCATTCAACCTCACAACTAACCTGGACAGTTCTCCCTCAAGGGTTGCGGGATAACCCACACTTGTCTGGAAATGCTCTAGCTAAGGACTTGAAGAATCTACAACTGCAAAAGGGCACAATTATCTAGTATGTAGATGATTTGCTCATTGCTAGCCCAACTAAAGAGAACTCAGATAATACTACCGTTAAATTGCTAAATTTCCTAGGAACTACTGGATATAGGGTGTCACCACACAAGGCTCAGATTTCTACTCAGAAAGTCAAATATTTTGAATATATCTTTTTTATAAATTTTTTTATTATTTACTATTTGTTTCTCTCTTTATTATTTATAACACTCCTCCAGAATCAATTTGGGTTGCATCTTAACCTCTGGTACCCAAGCAATAGCCTCAGAATGGAAGGAAGCTCATTCAAGAGCCCCATACCAAGAAACCTATGTGGGCCTTTTTAGGGATGGCTGGGTTCTGCCATTTATGGGTGCCTGGATTTGGGCAAACATTTCAAGTCTGTATGTGAGGTTCTATAAAGGACAGATTTAAAACGCTTTGATTGGAATGAGAATAGCAGACAAAACTTCAATACTGTCAAAGCGAAATTGGGCTCTGCTCCAGCCTTAGGAATCCCCAACTTGGATAAGCCATTTTTCCTTTATGTGGCCAAAAAGCAAGGTATGGTCTTGGATGTTCTTGTCCAAAAATTGGGGAATATTCCACAGCCAGTAGCCTATTTTTCTAAGCAACTCGACCATGTGGCTTCTGCATGGCCTGGATGCCTTTGGGCTGTTGCAGCTACTGCTCTTCTGGTAGATGAAGCTAATACGCTAACATTAGGACAGCACCTGGAGGTTTTGACCACACACCAAGTCCAGGGGGTCCTAGAAGCTAAAGGGCACCAGTGGATGATGGGAGGATGTTTATTAAAGCATCAGGCCTTACTGTTAGACACACCAGACATAATTCTTGAAGTTCTCCAAGTAAACCCAGCTGCTTGTCTGCCAGAGTCCACAGACGCTCTAAACCATTCCTGCATACAGGTTATGGAGCAAATTTATTCTAGCAGGCCAAACTTAAGAGATGAGCCTCTTAACAATCCTGAGACAGAATGGTTTACAGATGGAAGCTGAGCTAATTGCTCTTACTAGGGCCCTGCAATTGGAAAAGGATGTAAAAATTAACATTTCTGATGATTCCAAGCATGCCTTTTTAATGCTTCATGGTCATGCCGACATTTGGAAAGAGTGGGGACTTCTCACTGCTAAGGACTCCCCCAGAAAACATCACTCGGATATTTTGAGCTTGTTAGATGCTGTTTTACTGCCAAAAGAAATGGCTGTAATTCATTGCAGAGCACATTTTGATGATATTATTAAATGAAATGCCCTTGCAGATGTGGGGGCCAAGGCCACTGCACTAAAAGAGCCAGTTAACGCTTATGGGCATCCTAGTGCCCACAGCCCCAGACATAGCCGAGCCAGTGTACTCCAAGGAAGAACGAAAATGGGCCAGGGATCACGATTTGGCCCAGGACCCCTCTGGCTGGTTAATGATAACAAATTACTAATGCCAAGTGCCAATCAGTGTAAAATAGTTAAGCATTTTCATAATTCCACTCATTTGGGAAGGGATTCTTTATTTCAGTTGATATCTTATTTATTTATGGGAAAATTTTTCAAGACACTAAAACAGATGACTTCAGCCTGAAAGCTCTATGCCCAAAATAACCCAAGCAGCCAGCCATTGCCCCCACCTCTAGTTAAACCTGTCCAACATAAAGGAGCCTATCTGGGTGAAGTCTGGCAACTAGACTTTATTTAAATGCCTCTATGTAGGGGATTCAAATATTTACTGGTGTTTATTGTTACCTTCACTGGTTAGGTTAAGGCTTTCCCCCACTTGATCCAAAAGAGCTTTAGAGGTCTCGGCCAGGTGCGGTGGCTCACGCCTGTAATCCCAGCACTTTGGGAGGCCGAGGTGGGCGGATCACGAGGTCAGGAGATCGAGACCATCCTGGCTAACACAGTGAAACCCTGTCTCTACTAAAAATACAAAAAATTAGCCGGGCGTGGTGGTGGGCGCCTGTAGTCTCAGCTACTTGGGAGGCTGAGGCAGGAGAATGGCATGAACCCAGGAGGCGGAGCTTGCAGTGAGCCGAGATCGTGCCACTGCACTCCAGTCTGGACAACAGAGTGAGACTCCATCTCACAAAAAAAAAAAAAAAAAAAAAAAAAGAGCTTTAGAGGTCTCTCAATTTTTTTTTTTTTTTGAGATGGAGTTTCACTCTTGTCGCCCAAGCTGGAGTGCAATGGCATAATCTCGGCTCACTGCAACCTCAGCCTCCTGAGTTCAAGCGATTCTCCTGCCTCAGCCTTCCAAGTAGCTGGGACTACAGGCATGCACCACTATGCCCAGCTAATTTTTGTATTTTTAGTAGAGACAAGGTTTCACCATATTGGCCAGGCTAGTCTCAAACTCTTGACCTCGGGTGATCCACCTGCCTAGGCCTTTCAAAGTGCTGGGAATACAGGCATGAGCCACCACACCAAGCCTATCTAAAAGTTTATTAAAAGAAATAATTCCTCAGTTTGGATTACCTGAAAGATTGCAAAGTAGCTATGGCCCCTCTTTCACGGCAGGCATAACCCAATACCTATCCTTGGCATTGGGAATCCAATATCATCTTCATTCTGCATGGAGACCCCAATCCTCTGGAAAGGTGGAAAGGGTTAATCATAGGCTAAAGAGGACTCCGGCTAAATTTGCCAGGAAACATCAGAGACCTGGCTATCTCTATTGCCTGTAGCTTTACTGCAGGTTTGAGCTGCTCCAAAGGGAAACTTATAATTAAGTCCTTTTGCATTAACATATGGAAGGCCTTTCCTAACTGCAAATCTCCTAATAGATGAAATGATTCATTAATTACAAAAATATGTTATCAATCTAGGACAAGTGCAAAATGCATTGTGTGAATATGGATATAAAAGGCTTTCCCTCCCCACATGAGAGGAAAATTCTGTTTCAGTTCAACTAGGGTATTTAACCTTACTAAAGACTTGAATGGAAGGGTCTCTAGTGACCAGCTTTCCCCAATGTGGAAAGGTCCATATCAAGTGCTCTGAGCACTCCAATAGCAGTTAAACTGCAAGGGATTCACAGTTAGGTACATTTGTCTTGAATTAAACCTGTTTCTTATGGAGCCCCACAAGCTACCGACGCCCAGTCTGCTAATCTAGTCTACCGTTGTGAGCCAGTAGAAGGTCTACACTTCTGACACCCAGTCTGCTAATCTAGTTTACTCTTGTGAGCCAGTAGAAGGTCTATACTTCCTCTTCAGGAGAAATCCTTGGAAGCTTCTTACTACAAAGTGATGCTCTGGATAAGCTTGGGGGCAAGGTTAGTCTTCCTGATCCTCCTCCTGGTCGTCTTTTACTTTTACTGGTATGAGTCTGTCCCAGCTCTGGGTAAGCAATATCTATGTCCTTACAGGATATAACTATAGAATGTAGCTTCTCTTTTATTTGTGTCTATTTTGGGGCTTCTATCCTTCCTTTCACTATTGCTGGAGGTTCAAATCTTTTCTTACAATGGGCACAGGACTATGCCGATGTCCTCTTGCTGGATTTGTGAGCTATTGCCCTTCTCTAGCATCTCAGGCTTGCCCTGGTGGATATCCCCCACACAGGGACATGCTTAGATAACTTACAGACATACTTAGAGGGACTTAAACAATGGACAAAAGCACAGATGTCTGGCCTGACTTGGAACAATGTAACCCAATGGCCAATTAATAACAATTTTAGCAATTCTGGGCATAGGAAGCCATTCTCAGTAAATGAGACCACAGAAAAGTTTCTTGCACTGGGCACCTCCTTTCTAGACCCAAAGATAAACATCCAAACTAAAAAGCTCAAAAACTCCAGTTTTGAAGAATGATTTCTTCAGATTTGAGATGGTTTTCTATGACTAACCACCTCTGCAGGACACCTAAGTCAGGTAGTCCCACTGTGTTAGGAACAATGGAATCACTCCCTTGATGCCTTGACAAATGCTACTTGTGTCATGGGATGGATTCCTGCAAGACAATGCCAACATACCATAGTCCTGCAACAAATGGACTTATCTGCTACCGATTGGTCGCAACGACCAAAACCCAACTGATATGCATCCCTTAGGAACTCATTGGATATGTGGCACCAATCTTTGGCCATGATTGCCTTCTGGGTGGCTAGGACATTGTACATGAAGCTTATCTTGACCCCAGGTCACTGGACAAAGACTATTTAAAAAAGCCAGCCAGGCTGGCATGGTGGCTCATGCCTGTAATCCCAGCACTTTGGGAGGCCGAGGTGGATGAATCACTTGAGGTCAGGAATTTGAGACCAGCCTGGCCAATTATCCAGGTGTGGTGGTGCACACCAGTAATCACAGCTACTTGGCAGGCTGAGGCAGGAAAATTGCTTGAATCCAGGAAGTAGAGGTTGCAGTGAGCCGAGATCATGCCACCACACTCCAGCCTCGGCAACAGAGGGAGACTGTGTCAAATAAATAAATAAATAATAAATAAATAAATAAATAAATAAATAAATAAATAAATAAAGCCAGCCAACCTTCTCCACATAACCAGTATGTGGGCCAGATCCATTTTTCATGGGTATAACCACTTGGCCTCACTCTTCCTACCATCTGTTAGATTATAAGATGCTATCTGGCATGTTGAGGTCATTGCCAATGATACCCCATGGGCTGTAAGTAACAGCCTGTGAGATATATCTTTTATAAATGCTGAAATGTATTATATGCATAAGGCTATCATGCAAAACAGAATGTCATTAGATACTCTGACTGCGGCACAGGGAGGAACCTGTGCTATTATCAGAATCAAATATTGTATATATATCCCAAATAACTCAGACAATATTTCTTTGGCCCTCCAGATATGCATCAACAAATTAAAGCCATCTCTAATCCCACACTTTCTTTAGATAATGGCTAACATTGTGGTTTGGGTCAGGGCCATCATGGTGGAAAAAGTTCCTTTTGTCACCCCAGCTATAAAAATTGGAATAGGCATAGCTTTATGTTGTGGATTTTATTGTTGCTGCATGTTTTGCATGGAATGTAGGGTTTACTGGGCCCTATTCTTATTATTAATCCTTAATTCACAATGTATGGTACTCATATATCATGTTTTATAATTATAGCTATAATTCTTATAAGTTTCTATGTTTAGGATATCAACTTATGAGTGACCTACAAACCTACAGACCTATTGCTCCTCCAGTTAACTGCAACAGCTTCAAGCTACCTCTGGTTAAGACCCCTCCCAACATGACAGGTCCCTTAAAGCTAGGCAGAGTTAACATCAATGACGTTTCTCAGCAGGAAGAGGTTGCAGAAGACTGACCTCTGCCCTTCAGTGTCCCTTAGGATTAAGGGTCCACTCATGACAGAAGGGGGAAATATGTTAGAGGAACCCCTATTTACCAGGCCTCTGGCTTGATAAAACATGACCAGAGCTGGGCGTGGTGGCCCACGCCTGTAATCCCAGTACTTTGGGAGGCTGAGACAGGCAGATCACCAGGTCAAGAGATCGAGACCGTCCTGGCTAACATGGTGAAACCCCGTCTCTACTAACAATACAAAAAATTAGCTGGGTGTGGTGGCACATGCCTTTAGTCCCAGCTCCTTGGGAGGCTGAGGCAGGAGAATCGCTTGAGCTGGGGAGACAGAGGTTGCAGTGAGCTGAGATCGTGCCACTGCACTCCAGCCTGGGCGACAGAGTGAGACTCCATCTCAAAAAAAATAAAAATAAAAATAAAATAAAATAAAAAAGAACTATGACCAGAGTGATGTCACCTTTCAGTGAATAGTGAGGCACCCACAAAGCACCTATAAGGTTAATACTTATGGTCTGAAAATAGCCACATCCCAAGCTGACCACCACTTATAATTACAGAATATTTATGGCCAGACAAAACATCTCTCACCAAGCCTGCAGAATGTCCAGATGTCCTGACAGTGCAGCCCTCTTTGCTTAAAGATAATGTTAAAGAGCAAGCTGAGGTTAAAGGATTGATGGTCATCGATAACACTGACAGCCACTACCTTTAGTGAGCACATCAGAGCATGTCTGCACATTCCAAGTTTAATTTACCTCTTTATAGTTTCTTATAAGTACAGACACTAACAAAAGATGGAGTGCTCCTCCTCTTGCTGAGGATGCCCTAGACTGTAACAGAGTAGTTTCCAATAAACTTGCCATTTCACTGTGCTCTGTGACTTGCCTCGAATTCTTGCCTGTGGGAATCTGAGAATCTGCTCTTGGGGTCTGGATCAGGACACTCTTTTCTGGCAACAATTAAGACATCAGGGTAAAACCCTCATGAATAGAATTAGTGCCCTTATAAAAGAAGCCCAAGAGAGATCCTTTGTCCCTTCCACCACATGAGGACAGGAGTAAAAGATGGCAGTCTGTGACCCAAGAAGGCCCTTACGAGACACAGAATCTGCTGGCATCTTGATCTTGGCTTTTCCAGTCTCCAAATAGTTTCTGTTGTCTGTAAGCTGCCCAGTCTAGAATCTTTTGTTATAGAAGCCTGAATGGACAAAAATGGACTGTGATGGAGCAGAATAGGATCCAGCAGGAAACACATCTTTGGGTCCAAGAGCCCAGCTACTGATCTCTTAACATGCAGTGTAATGTAGAGGTAGATTCCTGCCATATTCCAGGTCACTTTTGGAAAAAAAAAAAGAGTCCATTATGGACTTAATGTGGAAATGTTTAAATATTAGGCTAAAGCATCTGGAATTATTTGATACACAATAGGGAGCCATTTAACACTGTAATTGGGGTGTTAAGTAAGAGTACTGGAGGAATAAATGGAGTAGGAAGACCTAGAGTTAGAAACTGCTGTGTAGAGAATGCGATGGAAGCTTGGATGGGTGAGACCAATGACAGTAAAAATAGTCAAGATGAGACACATAGAAGACATTACAAAGGGAGAATCACATTTTTATTTCTGGCTGGGATGGTAAAAAAGGAAACAAAGTTGATGCCAAGATTTCGAACCAGGAAGAAAGAATGTTGGCTATAATTTTTGAGAAAAATAGAGATCTAAAGAGGGAACAATTTGGGGAGGAGAGATGGGTCCTGAAAGTTTAATACAAGTTGCTTGAGAGGATGATAGATCTCATGGATGGGAAGATGAGGGACTGGAATGTGGAGATGCAGATTTGTGAAGTATCCACTTACAAGTGAGAGGGGAAGCCATATGTGGGAAAGTAAAAACAGAATAGAAATTGGAGCCATGAAGTACATAGCCAAGTATGATGGCTTTGGGGGAAATTAGGAAGAAGTAGAACCAGAGACGGAGAGATCAGAGAGCTAAAAGAGTCAGGACTATGTTGTCACAGATGCAAAGGAAAAAGTGAGCTACGGCCTCAAATGATACTGCAAAGTTAAGAACAATGATGACAATGTCACTGCTTATGGCAGGTCCCCAAAGAGCTCTTGCCAGAGCAAGTGTGGCATTTTAGCTGCGCAGTGGGACCCTTGGCCATTGAAAATGTGTTGTTTGCTTGTAGAGGAAGGAAAAGCTATTAAGCATACACTCCATTGTTGTCAGGGCCTGTCCTGGCTGAGAGAATGTGGCCATCTATTTTTATTCAGAAGAGAAATTCACCAATGATGACAAAGTCTGGATAATTCAGAGTCCCCTGCTGCTTTTTAGGTGGGAAAGAAGGGGAAAATCACAAATGGAATAATGCTCTGTGAAAAAAGCTACCAGCTCCAGGAAAGTCTAACTTCATATATGCCAGCCTGTTCTGTCATTAAGTTGAGCTCAGTTCCTGGAAAGGAAAAGAAGGGCTGGCTAGTTCAGTGTGCTTCTATGCGTGCAGTGAGAACTCTGCCCCAGCAGCAGGGCTGTGTCTGGCTGGAGGGACACTGGTGACTAACTCTTAAGCTCTATCATTTCTTACCCTTCAGCACTATGGAGTATGGTTCTTGGGAACAGTATTATTGAAGCTGGAAACATTTGTTGTGCAGCCTTATTGTTCTCCAGCTCCTTGAAGTTACTTGAAAATGTCCCTTTAAGAGATAACAAAGACGCTTTTTTTTTTTCATGTTGCTATTTAAAGCTCTCCTACCAGGCTTTGGAGCTACACCCGATGAGTGACTTTGAGAGAGGACATGTACAGAGCAGAAAGGCACGGTGAGTGGAGACCACTCCAGAGAAGTTTGACAATGAAAGGAAGGGGGAAGATGAAATAGCCTCACATCTATAAACAAATCACATCTGAGCCTTTGTTGTGTATGGGGGGGAAATTGTTCTCACTGATATAAGGGTCAATCTGGAACTCTCGATAGTCTAATCATGGCTGGGTAAGTGTGATGACCAATTTGTCCTGGTTTGCCTAGGACTCTCCTGGTTTAGCACTGAAAGTCCCATATCCCAGAAAATGCCTGAGTTCCGGGCAAATCTGGACAGTTGATTGATCACCTTAAGTAGGAACCAACTGGTGTTGCCCCAAAATGATCAAATTAGATATATCATTGGTTGCCTTGTGATAGAAGATGACCTGTTCTCCCAATCTTCTCTGTTCCTGTGCCCAGTAACAGGATCCTTATCCCCCATGGGGTTTGTGTGACTTTCCTAGATTGAGAGATTTCTCTGCATTTTGGGTGTCACGGAGGCAGAGAAATGAAATTTTAGTGCCTTTCCTATGCTTTTACATAACACCTCATTTAATTCTCACAACAACCATGTGAGGTGGGTACTACCATTTCCAATTTATGAATAAGGATTCTGAGGCACAAAGAGGCCTAGGCCTGTCTGTCTTCAAACTCTATACTCTTTGCTACATCACACTTGGCCCTCAAAGGCCCATGGAGACACAGGTGTTTGATCCACATGGTGTGGGAAAAATGCAAGCCCATCGCTAGAGTTGGGGCACAGAATAGTGTCCACATGTATTATTAATCTTTTCAGGTTGTAAAGGAGCCAGATGCCCTTCCTTAAGAAGCCCCTCCTTCCTTATGGCGATTATTTTGATACTTCTTTGGATCATATCCCATACTGTGCCCTCTCTGAGTACAGAAAACAAAAGGAACATCCAGGCCCAATGGCTTTGCATTTCAGAGGATATAACTGTGAAAGGGAAGGTTGTAGGGTTAAAAACTATGCACTACATAAGTCAGGTGCTGAGGCAAATGTCTGTAATCTCAGCACATTGGGAGGCCAAGGTGGGAGATTGCTTGAGCTCAGGAGATTGAGATCAGCCTGGGCAACACAGCAAGACCTCGTCTCTACTAAAAAAAAAAAAAAAAAAAAAAAAATCAGCCAAGTGTGACACATGCCTGTAGTCTTAGCTGCTTGGAGGGCTGGCACAGGAGGATTGCTTGAGCCTGGGAGATTGAAGCTACAGTGAGCCGTGATCATGCCACTGCACTCCAGCCTGGGCAACACAGCAAGATCCTGTGTGTGTGTGTATATATATATGTGTGTTTAGACAGGGCATGGTGGCTTATGCCTGTAATCCCACCACTTTGGGAGGCTGAGGCAGGCAGATCACCTGAGGTCAGGAGTTTGAGACCAGTTTGGTCAGCATGGAAAAACCTCATCTCTACTAAAAATACAAAAATTATCCAGGCATGATAGTGCACACTTGTAATCCCAGCTACTTGGGAGGCTGAGGCATGAGAATCTCTTGAACCCGGGAGGCAGAGTTTGCAGTGAGTGGAGATTGTGCCACTGCACTCCAGCCTGGGCACCAGAGTGAGACTCCGTCTCCAAAAAAAAAAAAAAATATATATATATATATATATGTGTGTGTGTGTGTGTGTGTGTGTGTGTGTGCATGTGTGTGTGTGTGTGTATGCACTACAATATGGATTCTGATATTTAAAATGAAATACCTACTAGATCAAAGCACTCAGATTATAGAAATTCTTCACTGTGAAAAGGTTGACAAAAATCTATGCCTGAGACAGAGTATGGCTATCCAGGTGCCATTTCCCTTTTAATTACTATGCCTTGTATTCACTTTTTTTTTTTTTTTTTTTGAGTCAGAGTCTCGCTCCTGTTGCCCAGGCTGGAGTGCAGTGGCACGATCTTGGCTTACTGCAACCTCCACCTCCCTGGTTCAAGTGACTCTCCTTCCTCAGCCTCCTGAGTAGCTGGGATTACAGGCATGCACCATCACACTCAACTAATTTTTGCATTTTTAGTAGAGACGGGGTTTTGCCATGTTGGCCAGGCTGGTCTCAAACTCCGGGCCTCAGGTGATCCGCCCACCTCGGCCTCCCAACGTGCTAGGATTACAGGTGTGAGCCACCACCCCTGGCCCCTGTGTTCACATTTAAATTCTTGCTTCTTGTCTGAAAAAGCAGTATGTTCTATCCTCTTAAAAATGAACTACAGTTAAATATATGGTCAACACATTTTCTCCAAAATATGAGTTTTAAAGTTCCCCTGTCTAGAGGAGTTAGCAGTCAAACTAATATAGTTTAGATTTAAATAGTCCCAAGATCTACACGGAATGTGCTGGACGTAGTTTAAATGAAACATAGGCTGGTGGAAGGACCAGGTGTGTGAGCCTGAGGCATAGCTTGTTTTTCAAAGAAATAGGGAAGCATTTAGCACCTGGCAAGGGGGCAGCAACTTGATTTGATGCAGATTGTGGTGCTGTGTGGACCACGCAGAAAGGTGTAAATTGGGCCCAGTTCAGTGGCTCATGCCTGTAATCCCAGCACTGTGGGAGACCAAGGTGGGAGGATTGCCAATTAGGTGGGAAGGCCTTGACAAAAGATCTGGAAAAGGAGTGGGCAAATTCTGCCCACTTCTTTCCATCTCCACCACTGCCCAATGCCAGGCATCATCCTTGCTCACCCGGTGTAGTGCAATGGGTTTATAATCAGTCTCACTCCTTCTATTTTGCACCATGTCTCAGTTCACACACCAGGTCCTTCCACCAACTCATATTCCATTTAAACTACATCTAGCACATCTAGAAAAATCTAGCTCTGTATGAATCTTTGTAGTATTTAAATCTAAATCATATTATGTTGACTGCTAAGACAGGGGAATTTTAAAGCTCCTATTTTGGGGAGAATGGATTGGCAATATTTACCAGCAGAAGGCGTAATTTTTCACAATTTACAAAACTAGGTTATTACTCCCCAACTTAAAACTTCCAGTGGATTCCCTTCACAAGGAAATAAACTCTGAAGTCCTTCTCTTGGCCCATGAGGCCATGCATGAGCTCTCCCTTGCTTGCTCTTTTGCCTGACCTCCCACCCTTATGCACTTTGCTCTGGTCTTGTCACTTATTCCAGCACAGGGCCTGTGTACCTGCTCTTTCTACGAGAATTCTCCTCTTGTTCTGTATTTGCTCTGTGGACTCCTTCTTGCCACTTAGTTTTCTGCTTACATGTTACCTCCACAGAGAGTCCTTACCTGACACCCCCAATATAAAGTAAATCAATGAGCACTCCCATGAATAAGCTGAGTGATTTTTGACAAGTTAATCTACCTAAAGCTAATTTATTAATTCAAAAGTAGGACTTATAAGCAGGGCACGGTGGCTGACACCTGTAATCCCAGCACTTTGGGAGGCCAAGGCAGGTGGATCACTTGAGGTCAGGAGTTTGACACCAGCCTGGCCAACATGGAGAAACCCTGTCTCTACTAAAAATACAAAAAAGTAGCCGGGTGTGGTGTCAGGCACCTGTAATCCCAGACGCTCGGGAGACTGAGGCTCAAGAACCACTTGAACCTGGGAGGCAGAGGTTGTGGTGAGCCAAGATCATGCCACTGCACTCCAGCCTGGGCAACAGAGTGAAATTCTGTCTCAAAAAAAAAAAAAAAAAAAAGGGGGCCTATAATAACCAATAGGGTTGCACAAGGATCCAATGAGATGAAATAGGGAGTGTGTAATAGATGAGTCACTCTATGAGGAAGGTCATTCTCATGGTCACCTCCCTCCTCCAGGCCTTCATGTGTTCCCACTGCCCTCCTGTAGCCATGTCTGGTCTTTCCATTTTCAGTCCCCCTCACTCCAATGTATCTTATATTCCACTGTCAGTTTGATGATATTCAAATTCTATTTTTTAAAAATTATTTCCTCACTCTTTTAAGAATGTAAGCCTCCACACTTCCCCCCACTTTCGGCCCCCTTTAATCACCACGAGCCATTCCTTAAGCACTTAGGAATTCAAATAGTACTGCTTTAGGACTGAAACTTTGTAGATGCCATAAAGACAACTTGAAGGCATCTTTGTTTCCTAGGCCAAAATTTGTAAATTTTTTTGCTCATCTGCATTATTCTGCTCATCAAGAAAAAAGGAAAGTGTGGTCCTTGAGACTTGCCTTCTCTCTTGTGATTGGCTGTGGCAGTTGGCAGAACCTGGCAAAGTTGCTGTGATGGTGAGAATGGTGAGAGAGGTTCCAATGATGGGCACAAGTGTTGTCGCCAGCGAGGTGTGTGCAGGCAGTGGAAGGAGGTCTGACCGGAATATCAACAGAGGGTGATAATACTTCTTAAGGACCCACCAAATGGGCTTCTAGGGACTGAGAGTGAGTAGAGCAAACACTGCCCCCAGCACTCAGTCAACGAGAACATTGAATAGGATTGAACTGAATTAAACTGAACCCTTAAAAAGGCAGCATTTTAAAAGCTGCGAGAGTAATTTGAAACAAATTTAGGAAGAAAGTAGAGTGGTGTCAGATGTATGCTAATTGGGGCTGCTTTTTTTTTTAAGGTGAAAAGGAAATCATTTCAACTTAGGTTAATGTAGGCCTCATTGAAGAAAAGACCTCAGTGGGCTGGATTTATAATAGATAATCTGAGCACTGCCAGATTGTTTGCAGGGGATTAAAGTACTTGTTCTTTTAAACACTTGACAGGCACAGAATCCGAAATCTGGATCAGGCAGATATTAAGAAATCCATATTCCATAGCTTCTCAAACTTCAACATGCAAAGGAATCACCCGGGCAAACTTTTTAAAATGCAGATTCTGATCCAGTGGGACCAGGGTGAGGCCTGAGACTCTTTCCTTGTAACAAAATCCAGATGAAGCTGATGGTCTAAGGACCTCATTTTGAAAGGAAAGGGTCTGTTTTAACCTCCTTGTTTCCTAGAGGAGAAACTGAGGCTCTGAGAAGTGAAATGTCTTGCCTATGCTCCCAGAGTCTCTGGCTCTAGTCACGTGCTTTTTTTCTATTGTGCTTTGATGTTTTATTGAAAGAGTCTGTAGAAATCACAGCACCACACAAAGCTACCTGAGTGGTGACAGCCAAGGCATGTTGGCAGCTTAGATGGTACCAAGGGCAGAGTAGGACAAAGCGTGGAAGAAGGAGGAGGAGGTGGTGACCAAGTGTTGCTGGTCAACAAAGTCATGCTAACACGTATAGCAGGTGTATTTAAATCACTGACTCAAGCAAAAGAGAATGGGATTAACAAACAATAGTTTTAACATTCTTTTCTATAATTTTAAAGTTAGTAGGCAAACAGGGTTGATGTCAGGGAGATATTTTTAGGCAAGGGGCCCTCTCAGCACCCCTCACATGATGTCAGTAACTAAACTATTCTGCCTCCTCATGTGGCTGGCGCTGGCAATAATGATTTATTTCTGAGCTTTAACTTCAGTGAAAGTGACAAGGTTAAAAGTTAAAGGTCAAAGATTTTTTAACTCTTAACCTGTTAACCAGCCAATTAATTAGTTACTTTAATTATGCATTGTTGACCTGTTTCCCTGCTATGGAAATATTTAATTGTAGGGAAAGAAAATGTATAAAGATAATTATTAAAGTAATCTCTTTGCCTTCTTGAGATTTTAACACAATCACTTTGCTGAGGCTAATTCCCACATTGGGTTCCATAATCCTTGGCTTCGACGCTGCGATTCCAGTACCTTCACTGTATCCTAAAACAGAACCACCCTCTCCCAGATCCATTCCACTTCACAATCTGAAGTTTTCCACCTATACTAGAAATCTCTCTAACTTTATACTTATTAGTTATTGAATTAGCTAGTTAATTCTTATATCTGGTGCTTTTGTATCAGTACTATTCTATTAAATTACAGTTGCATTGGCCAAGATAGTGCTAAAGTAACTGGATTATCTAGGGGTAGCTGGGACTCAATCTGTCTGCTTGGTTACTTGTAAGCCAACACACCCTAGTTTCACCAGGACAGCATCCCAGCATACACCTTGGAGACCTTGGTGCTGTGGAGGCCCTGGAAAAATTAAATGAAGTTAGGTGATTATACACAGTGAATTTGCTTGTGCCCAGGAAACAGGCATAATGATAACCCAGACACCTATAGCAGAGTCTTGGGGTACATATGGAGGTTACAGAGACAGGCAGGAAGGAACCAGGAGTTAAGGTATCTGAATAGTTAGTTTAGGTCTCCTTTTACTTGGCATCGGTGGCTTTAGCCTGTACACATCAAAGGTCAGAGTGTACAGAATCCCTTTTGCTGCATAGGCCACTTCCCAGGATGTCCTTAGCTGAACTTTGAACCAGTGAAAAACAAGAAAATAAACACTGCTCCCTTACCTTGCCAATTTTTAGTGCATGCAACACTATACAGTTATTCCAGAAGCGAGAAACTATCTGTCTAAAGTTATAACTTTTGATACCTCAAGTATCATTAGTCATTTTACTTTTATCCCTCTGAATATGCAAAATTGTTCAAGCTTGTAACAATCTTTGGTTTTGGTGCATAAGCCTATATAAGTTTTTCAACTTGAGAAATATTTCACTTATATTTCATGGATGCATTTTGGACTCAAGAGAGCTGGGGAGAAGAGGGCCACACTTAGAGAATATTGTTGGCGAAAAAAAGGTGTTAAACTCTGCGGAGTTTGAATAGTATATACAGAAAATACAGTTGTGCTTATTAACCAGTAGTATGACACAGCAGACGAAATTTTAAGCTACATGAGAATGACTTGCAAGCAAACATAGCAAATGTTGACTGGAGAAAAGATCACAGCATTTAGACTTTAGAAAACAGAAATTCTGATCAGGCACAGCGGCTCATGCTTGTATTCTCAGCACTTTGGGAGGCCGAAGCGGGTGGATCACTTGAGGCCAGGAGTTCAAGACCAGCCTGGCCAACATGGTGAAACCCCATCTCTACTAAAAATACAAAAATTAGCCAGGCGTGGTGGCACAGGCCTGTAGTCCCAGCTACTCAGGAGGCTGAAGCAGGAGGCTCTCTTGAACCTAGAAGGTGGAGGTTGCAGTGAGCTGAGACTGCACCACTGCACTCCAGCCTGGGCAACAGAGTGAGACTCTGTCTCAAAAAAATAATAACAATGAATTAAATAAATAAATAAATAATAGAAATTCTGGGCCAGGCACAGTGGCTCAGACCTGTAATCCCAGCGCTTTTGGAGGCTGAGGTGGGCGGATCATTTGAGGCCAGGAGTTCAAGACCAGCCTAGCCATCAAGGTGAAACTCTGTCTCTACTAAAAAAATACAAAAATTGGCCGGATGTGGTGGCATGTGCCTGTAGTCTCAGCTACTCGGAAGGCTGAGGCAGGAGAATCACTAGAACCTGGGAGGTAGGGGCTGCAGTGAGCCAAGATGGTGCCACTGCACTCCAGCCTGGGTGACAGAGCAAGACTGTCTCAAAAAAGAAAGAAAAGGGAATAGAAATCCTGGATTCTAGGCCTTCCACTTGTTTCCTCACCACCTCCTCCACTTCCCCAGATCCCCCCACCCATCACCATGTTGTAACTTTACAGATATCATAACTACTCTTGTTGATTATAGAAGAAAGAACCTAAGCTGTCAGAAAGCAAGTACTCTACCTGCTCTTGAAATGGAAACAGAAATTTACACACGGCTGGATCTCATTCTCAGTGCCAGCCTTTCCCCCACATCTTTACATAACTAATTTGCTTAACAATCCTCTTCCACAGGACACAAAAGTGATATGCGGCTCAGCTTCATCTGCATATTCACCACTGAATGTCCTCGTCATGGTGCACCTGCTCCTGTTTGAATACTTACCTTAATGGAACAGGCTGAGTCAGCATCTGCTTGCACCTGAACCCTTGATTGCAAGTAAGCGGATTGCCGGGAGGTGGCTGGGTTGCATCAGCTGCAGTAGAGGACAGCGTTCTGTTGGGAAGGCAGGGAAAGGAGAGAAAACTTCAACAGAAATAGTCCAAGTGTTGCGAAGTTAAAAATAAAACGATATCACAAGGGGCAATGTGACCAGGCTCAGCTTACGACTTTTTCCTTCCCCTGTATTTATCAACACTCAGTCTCTACTGGAGTGGCATTTAGCAGGGGAAACTGAATGGGAAGTGAAGTTTTATATCAATAGGTTTTCTTTCCCTTGAGGAAGGAGGAAAATCCTTTTAAGAAGGATCATTTTCAAGGCCAGAACAGCCTCTCAGATTCCTGCATGTGCAGTCGGCAGGCCCAGCTGTGCTGAAGGAGGCTGGCACAGCCTTCAGGACTGGCTGCTGCTCTAATTATAACCATGCTCCTCACCTAAACCCATCACTGGCTGAAGCAGCAACTTGTGCAAATGACATGGTGTCCTGCTTCAGTTTCTCCTATCTCTTGTCGTGACAAGTAAGTGTCTGTCCTCCCCTGGTCCTTTCATCTTTCCTGGAAAAGGGAGAGTTTGTAATTCAGATACCAGGTGTAGAGTAAATCCAGTGTGAGAGAATTAGAGGTTGTAGGAGGCTTTAGCTGTCATTTAGTCCAGCTCCCTCTTTTTACAGATGAGGAGACAGAGATTCAGAAAAGGGAAATTGCTCATCCAAGGTCACACATCTCGTTAGTGGAAGAGCCAGAGGAAAGCCCCAGAGAGCTTGTTTAACTCTCAGTCTAGCGTTCTTTATCTTATCATCTTCAGATAAACTCATTCAGGATCTTGTGAGTGAAAAAAATATAGAATCCCGGCTTTGGTGTTTTCTTTTTCTTTTTTTTTTTTTTGAGACAGAGTCTCGCTCTGTTGCCCAGGATAGAGTGCAGTGGCGTGATCTCGGCTCACTGCAACCTCCACCTCCTGGCTTCAAGTGATTCTCCTGCCTCAGCCTCCTGAGTATCTGGGATTACAGGCACGTACCACCATACCTGGCTAATTTTTGTATTTTTAGCAGAGACGGGGTTTCACCATGTTTGTCACGCTGGTCTCGAAATCCTGACCTCATGATCCTCCCACCTCAGCCTCCCAAAGTGCTGGGATTAGGTATGTGATTTTGACAAATTTACTTAACCATTTTCTATTTCAGTTTTCCCCATTGTGAAATGGCGATGATACTTGGTGCGACCACAGGTAACTGTGTCAGTACACATAAGGCACATGAATGATATGTACCACATGCCAAGTGCTCCACAATGCCAGCTGTTATTTGAATGTATTTGAATGTATTTTGACTAACAGCAGATGTGCTAAATTTGGCTGTGATTAACAGCCATCGAATTAACCTTTCCCCTGGATTCTTCATACATATATGTCCTTGGAGGTAAACTTATTTGGAATGAGCAAATAGCAGTTGAAAATTGTAAAAAATTTCTACACTGATCTTGTATCTTGAAACTTTGCTGAACTGGTTTATTAGTTCTAATAGTTTTCTTGTGGATTCCTTAGGATTTTCAAGACCATGCCATCTGTTAACAAAAATATTTTAACTTCTTTCTTTGCGATTTGGATGCCTTTAACTTCCTTTTCTTGCTGTTTTTCCCTGCCTAGAACTTCCAGCACTATGTTTAACAAGAGTGGTGAGAGTGGCCACACTTCACTTGTTCCTGATCTTAGGGGGGAAGCATTCAGTCTTCCACCAATAAGTACAATGTTACCTGTGGATTTTTGTAGATGGCCTTTATCAAGTTGAAGGAGAGGAGTTTGATAGTTTGTTCTAGTTTGTTGAGTGAATCAAGAAAGAGTGTGGATCTTCATCAAATGCTTTTTCTGTGCCCAGCAAGATGATCATGTGGTTTTTGTCCTTTATTCTATTAATATCGTGTATTACATTGATGAATTTTTTTATGTTGAATCAATCTTCCATTCCTGAATAAACCCTACTTGGTCATGGTATCTATCCTTTTTATATGTTGCTAAATTTAGTTTGTTAGTATTTTATTGAGAATTTGTTTTTTCAAGTCAGATGCATAATGTGCCAATGTTGAAACAAGCTTCGAGGGTAGCACTCACACATCCACGTGAATGCCCAATCATCACATTCATGAACTACAAAAGGATCTTATTGAGGATTTTTGCGTCTATATTCAGAAGAGGTATTACAGGTTGAGTATCCCCAATCTGAAATCTGAATTCCAAAATGCTTTAAAATCCAAAATTATTTGAGTGCTGATGTGACACCACAAGAGGAAAGTTCCACACTTGGCCTCATATGGTGGGTCATAGTCAAAACGCACTCGAAACTTTGTTTCATCCACAGAGTTACTTAAAATATTGTGCAATTACCTTCAGGCTATGTATATAAGGTGTATATGAAACATAAATGAGTTGTGTTTAGGCTGGTGTCCCATCCCCAAGATATCTCATTATGTATGTGCAAATATTCCAAAAACTCCAAATCTGAAACGCTTCTGGTTCCAAGCATTTCCAATAGGGGATACTCACTATAATCTGTAGTTCCCTTATGGCGTCTTTGTTCAGCTTTGGTATCCAGATAATATCGATCTCATAAAATGAGTTCCCTCCTCTTTTGTTTTTTTTGGAAAAGTTTATGAAGGATTGGTGTTAATTCTTCTTTAAACATTTTGGTAGAATTTAGCAGTGAAGCCATCTGGGACTGGGCTTTTCTTTGTGGGAAGTTTTCAATTGTTAACTCAATCTCTGTGCTTGTTATAACTCTGTCTCAGTCTGTTTTTGTGTTGTTATAACAGAATACCTGAGACTGGGTAATTTATGAAGAGAGATTTATTTCTTACAGTTCTGAAGGCTGGGAAGTCTTCCAGTCTCAGACGGAAGATGGAGGGGCCACACCTGGCCAGGGCCTTCATGTTTCATCCTCCCATGGCAGAAGGAAGGGAGAGGAGGAGGTAAGAGAGAGAGAGAAAGATAGAGGTGGGGGTGGGGATAAAGATTTTGGGGAAGAAGAAGGCCGAACTCATCCTTTTATCAGGAACCCACTTCTGAGATAACTAACCCACTCCCACAATAATGGCATTAATCCATTCATGGGGGCTCTGCCTAGTAACCCTTAAAGGTCTCACCTCTCAAAGCTGTTGCTTTGGGGATTAAGTTTCCAACGCATGAGCTGTGGGGGACACATTCATACCATAGCAAGCTCTATTCACAACATCTATTTCTTGTGGAGTCAGATTTGGTATTCTGTGTCTTCCTAGGAATTTGTCCATTTCATTTATCTAATTTGTTGGCATTCAATTGTTCATAGTATTTCTTTCTAATAATTTTTATTTCTATAAGTTTGGTAATAAAATCTTGACTTTTGTTTCTGATTCTAGTAATTTGAGTCTTTTGAGGGGGTGGTCAATCTAGCTAAATGTTTGCCATTTTGTAGATCTTTTCAAAGAACCAGCTTTTGATTTCATAATTTTTTTTCTGTATTGCTTTTCTATTCTCTATTTCATTTATTTCTGTTCTAGGCTTTCCTTCTTTCTGCTTTCTTTGGACTGTTATTATCAATTATTGAGAATGTTCTATGAATATACCACATTATGACTATATATTAGTGAAGTTTTCTTAAGAATTTTAATTTTTGCTAAAATTTGCCTCATATATTTTTGGTATATGTTGTTAAGTATATTTAAGTTCAAAGTTATTATATATTTCAGGTTAGTTGTTCCTTTTGTTGTTGTCTAATATACTTCATTTCTAAAAAAACTGTTTTGGCCAGGTGAGGTAGCTCACACCTGTAATCTCAGCCCTTTGGGAGGCTGAGACGGGAGGATCACTTGAGCTCAGGAGTTTGAGGCCAGCCTGGGCAACATGGCAAAACCTGTCCCTACTAAAAATACAAAAATTAGCTGGGTGTGGTGGCGTACACCTGTAGTCCCAGCTACTTGGGAGGCTAAAGCAGGAGAATCATTTGACCCAGGAGGCGGAGGTTGCAGTGAGCCGAGATTGCACGGCCTGGGTGACAGAGCAAGACTCCATCTCAATAAAAAAGTTTTGCCTTGAAGTTTAATTTGACAGATATTGATAAAACTATGCCACTTCCTTCCTATGTAAAGCTACTTTTAAAAAATATGTATATAAGTATTTGAAGCTATAAATTTCCTTCTAAGCATTGATTTAGCTTCATCCCATGTTTTGGTTTGTTGTGCTTTTGTTTTTTTCAGTTAAAAGTGTTTTCCAATTTTACTCATGATTTCTTCTATTTATTTATTTATTGAGACAGTATCACTGTGTTGCTCAAGCTGGAGTGCAGTGGCACAGTCACAGCTCACTGCAGCCTCGACCTCTGTGGCTCAAGGGATGCTCTTACCTCAGCCTCTCGAGTAGCTGGGACCATGGGCTCTGGCCGTCATGCCCAGCTAATTTTTTATTTTTTGTAGACACAGGGTTTTGCCATGTTGCTCAGACTGTGATTACCTCTTTAACCACTGGTTATTTAGGAATGTGTTGTTTAATATCCACATATTTGTGAATTTCCCAAATTTTATTGATTTCTAATTTCGTTCCATCATGTTTGGAGAACACACTGCATAGTTTCAATCCTTGTGATTCTCCTGCCTCAGCCTCCCAAGTAGCTGGGACTACAGGTGTGTGCCACCATGCCCAGCTAATTTTTTTTTTTTTTTGTATTTTTAGTAGAGGCAGGATTTCACCATGTTGGCCAGGATGGTCTTGATCTCTTGACCTCGTGATCTGCCCGCCTTGGCCTCCCAACGTGCTGGGATTACAGGTGTGAGCCACTGCGCCTGGCCTATTCAAAACATTTTCTATGTCCTTTTTTAAGTTTTGAAGTTTTCTCCACAGAGGTATTAATTTTTTTGTGAATTTCTAGGTACTTTTACATTTTTCATTGAGAGGTACTTATCTTATGTTTCTTTTATTTTTTATTTTTTATTTTTTATTTTTTTTTTGAGACAGAGTCTTGCTCTGTTGTCCAGGCTGGAGTGCAGTGGTGCGACCTCAGCTCACTGCAACCTCCACCTCCCAGGTTCAAGCAATTCTCCTTCCTCAGCCTCCCGAGTAGCTGGGATTACAGGTGTGTGCCACCATGCCTGGCTTTTTTTTTTTTTTTTTTTTGTATTTTTAGTAGAGACGGGATTTCACCATGTTAGTCAGGCTGGTCTCAATCTCCTGACCTCGTGATCCGCCCGCCTCGGCCTCCCAAAGTGCTGGGATTACAGGCATGAGCCACCACCCCCAGCCCTTATGTTTCTTTATTACTGGTGTTCAGAAATGGTATTAATTTTGTAGGTTGATCATGTGGCTGGAAAATATGCTAACTTGTCATTCTAAAAGTTTGACTCTTTATTTTGTGAGTTTTGCAAGTTTATCATCTCACCTTCAAAAATCTGTTTTTATTTCTTCCTGTGATAGTTTTTACACCTCTTATTATGTCTGGACCATTGTACTATATATATATATATTATTTTTTCATTGTACTATATTAAAACTAGTGGTGACAGTAATTTCCCCTCAAATTAGGACTGAAAGTCTCATTTTAAAAAAACCCAAATTCAGCCTGGGCAACAAGGCGAAACCCCATCTCCACTAAAAATACAAAAATTAGCCAGACATGGTGGCGCATGTCTGTAGTCTCAGCTACTCAGAAGGCTGAGGTGGGAGGACTGTTTGAGCCCAGGAGGCAGAGGCTGCAGTGAGCCAAGATGGTGCCACTGCACTCCAGCCTGGGTGACAGAGTGCTGTCTACAAAAAACAAATAACAAACAAAAAATGAAAAATTGGAAACAAAATGTAAGTTTATAACTTTCTGTCATTAAAAGTGGATGATAGTGTACTCACTTCCACAACACATATACTAAAATCAGAATGATACAGAGAGAAAAGTGGATGATGGTTTCTTCGGTTTCCTTGAAAAAAAGTGTTTTTAAACTAGATAACCCAGCCGGGTGCGATGGTGCACTCCTGTATTCCTAGCACTTTGGGAGGCTGTGGCAGGTGGATGGCGTTAAGTCCAGGAGTTGGAGACCAGCCTGGGCAACATGGCAAAACCTCGTCTCTACAAAAAACACAAAAATTGGCCAGGCTCGGTGGCTCATGTCTGTAATCCCAGCACTTTGGGAGGTCAAGGCAGGCGGATCACTGGAGGTCAGGAGTTCAAGACCAGCCTGGGCAACGTGGTGAAACCCCGTCTCTACTAAAAATACAAAAGTTAGCCAGGCATGGTGGCACACGCCTGTAATCCCAGCTACTCAGGAGGCTGACACAGGAGAATCACTTGAACCCCAGGAGGTGGAGGTTGCACTGAGCTGAGATCCCGCCACTGCACTCCACCCTGGGTGACAGTGCGAGACTCAGTCTCAAAAAAAAAAAATTAGCCAGGTGTGGTGGCGAGCATCTGTAGTCCTAGCTACTCAGGAGGCTGAGGTGGGAGGATCACCTGAGCCCAGGAGGTCAAGGCTTTTGTGAGCCGTGACTGTACCACTGTATTCCAGCCTGGGTGACAGAATGAGAGCTAGTTTCAAAAAAATAAAAGTGGATAACCCCCAAAACCACTGTCCTACTTTTAGAAAATCCAAGATAGTTTTGGGAAGGGAATTTTGGAGTCTCATTGGCCATGAAAGGGACTAGGCAGGCTTCTCAGGGAGACTTGTGGGGCTGATTACGTAGTGCCCAGCTCTACTTGGAAAACTCTTTTTGCAACATTTACATGGAAATCAGAGACACAGACCCAGATGTTGGGTTAAAATGAGACAAAGGAAAAAAACAGTCATGTACAAGAGGCAAGAAGACCACTTTTCTAAATGATCTATATTTATTAGTACTCTGGTCAGAGAAATCCCAAGTCTACCATATTGGAGGTTTTCTGGAATTCCAGGCTATCTGTTAGACTGTAGGCTTCAAAGGCTTGGCTTGTCATATTGGGCCAGGTTTGTGCAGGAGATAGGCCTACAGCTGGACCAGCAAAGATGCTGAGAGAGGAACCCTGTCCTCCTACCTGGTACTTTGTGGGTGAGAGATACTGATACAGACAGTGGAAAGAAGAGCTGGATATCTCATTCTCATCAGGAAGATTGTACAGTTCTATGATTTGGAATATGTCATAGGCATCAGAGTACAAAGCAGGAACCGAGGCCACCAGCCTCTCCCACTGAGTATCTTGCATTTGGAAGTCACTGGTAGAACTCTCAGTGAAGGTAGAGTTCCATGCCCAATTGGAAGGGTCTAAGGGCTGAGATGGAAGGGAGCTGTAGAAATCTGAAATCACAGGAGAAAAAGCATAAGGACTGGGGGATGTTCTGGGGGAGGTGGGCACATTCTTCTTGGATGGAAGGATCTGGTTTCGTTGCTTTGCTGATTGCTGCTGCTGCTGCTTCTTCAATTTGAATCGCCGGTTCCTGAACCAAACCTGGGAGTAGGGGAAGAGGGGGAGATTGTGGTCTGTTATTGGAGGAGGCATTGGAGGATTCTCCTGAGTGAAAACAGCCAGGTTATAATCTTCATGTCCTCTCTAATTCACCATGACACTGGGCTCTGCAAAAGCAGAGATGGGCATGACTGGAGTCAGTAGGAGGGATGATGAAGATCAGGTCTGGGACCCCAGAAAGGAAGGAAGCGGGTGTGTTTCAGGGTTTGTGCTGGGTGTTCAGAGATAGGGTCCTGAACTCTAGAGAAGAGAGGCTAGTTTAGGGATCTAGGATCTAGGGAGAGGTGAAGAATTTGAACTGAAGGATTTTTAAGGATTATTTTAGGAGGCCTCTCCTATAAGGAATACTCCAGTAAAAATGTATGGCCAGTCACGGTGGCTCACACCTGTAATCCCAGCACTTTGAGAGTCTGAGGTGAGAGGATCACTTGAGCTCAGGAGTTTGAGACCAGCCTGGGCAACATAGTGAGACCCCATCTCTGAAAAAAAGAGAAAAAAGAAAAACGTCATGGGCTTTAGCAGACTCAGAGGTTAGAGGGAGTATTATTTGTCTGTTGGTAGCATTATGAATAAACAGATTGCAGGGCTTTGCTTAAAAAGACTCTAAGCGAGGAGTCTGTCTGGATGAGCACCTTTCCGCTATTTGAACTCTATAGTACAAGTATTAAAAATAAGATTTCTGGGGTTTTAGTTCTAGCAACACTATTTCTTATCTCTGTGGCCCAGTCACTTTGCCTCTGAACCTCATTTTTTCTCATTTTTCAAACTGCATGAGAGTGAGGCCAGTATTTGCGATGTCCCCAGTTTGATACCGTTTCAGTAGGTACTCAATTAATGAAATATTATTGTGGGGCAGGGGTAGAGGGTGGGGAATTTCCAGGCTGGATAGGTGAATGTGGCTTGGATGGGGGTACCAAGCACACCACAGGGGATCAGACCTTTACTGTTGACTCCGGTAGGTCGAGTCTCAAAGCTAGTTTCTCCTGAAGATTTCTATCTGGGAACATGGTCTGGCTAAACAGAGCTTCTAGCTCCTCATACTGTTGGTGGGTGAAAGAAGTACGTTCTTTATGCCTTCTCCGTATTGCTTCAGGGCAGAGATAAAGAAGGGGTGGTTACATTTACATTACCAATCTCTCCCCCCAACCAAAAAAACAAAAACCAAAAAACAAATCACCATGGTGAATCTCTCATGCCTTTCCTCCAACCAGGCTTAGGATCCAGAAAATGCAGATCCCAGGTCTTGAGTCTGAATGGCTGAGCCCTGTGTAACAATGCTCTGTCCTCCGCTTTCTGAGATTTTGTCTCTGATAGGACATGAGTTACCTCTTCAATTTTCTGTGTACTCAGTCTGTTCACTCTGGAAACTGGCTCCCTTGAGTTTCAGTCTGCCCTGACTGCACTGAAAAGTTTTCTGTTTTACTTTTATTCTCTGGTACTCAGTCTTTCTACCCTACCTAACCTCAGGACAGTGGATAGTAGCTTCTGTCTTCTCATCTTTTTCACACTTTTGTTATTCTAGAAACTAGGAATATTCTGTGCAAGAGCTAGCCAAAAATTTTTTTAATTATGAAATAGAAAAAACTAGGAATAAACCCCATGTCTTTGCAACTGAATATAACCCACTCTTCTAAATGGGTTT